>NC_000011.10:133221493-133530681 GCF_000001405.40 Homo sapiens
CTGGCACAGTGCCTCGTCCATGGTGGGGGGTATTCGGAAACGCTGAAGCTCTTCTGTGGTGTCCATACCGGTGAATCACAACTCCCACGTCCAAGACCCGCCCCTGTGTGAAGGTGCAAGGCAGTGTCTCTGAACAGGAAGTGAGGGGTGCACGGGGAGGAGGTTGCTGCATTCACCTCTGGATTATCCTGAGGTGAGAAGGGAATTATGCTGAGCGAGTGTGACTGCAGAGAATGCTGTATTTGTACAGAAGGCTATTTTTACACTTTGGCTAATGAGTTTTGACCTGTGTGAATTTGGTCTCATAATTACACAACTCAGATTTCCTGTTAGCCAATCAGACTGATGTTGTGATCTCAGCCATTTCAACAATTCTCGATTATCAGAGCAGACACCAAGGATCAGGAAAAATAACTAATGTTCTCTTCTTCTGAAGATGTCTTATGTGAGCAGAACTGGCTTTCTGGGGTGACAAAGCTGAAGGAAGCTTTCTCTTCCCATTTGTCAATGCCAGCTCTAGTTCCTCCCAGTGTATACCCTCCCAAGCTCAGGGCAGTAATCGGACAGGCTTCAGAATCCCCAAATCTATGCCCTGTAGTCACTGTGTGCCCAGCAGGACCAGATGCTCAAGGATGGCTGCTGGGTTGTGGATGGGCAGGGCTGTAGAGACCAGACAGGGAAGAAGATGCAAATTCAGGGGCCTGCAGATGACCAGGTCACCATGTGAAGGTGAGTGGAAGGGCACCCTAAAGCTGCAGCCATACAGGCCAGCTATAAAGGAGAAAACAGGGAGAGGTTTCAGAGATGCAGGGTGGTTGTTCACTCGCCAGGCAGGAGGTGAAAGTGGCTTCTCCAAGGCAGTGGTGGCAGAGGTTATGGGGGAAAGTCAGGCTTGGGGTCTGTTTTAAAGGCAAAGCCAACAGGACGAGCTGAGGAAGGGGATGACACATGCTGTTCCTGTGGCCGCTCCTCACTGACGGGCTGCAGCCTGGACTGGGGAGACCACATCCACTCTAGGGACAGACACACACCTCGAAGAAGACAGTCTGAGCTACAGTCATCAGGCTGTGTTTGTTTCCAGCACTTAAGGATATAAACACCAGCCCAGCAGGTTGTGGGAAGTGGCCATGGGCTTGAACTCAGCCCGTCCAGCTCTGTCTGGCCTCTAGCATTATAAATTATGTAGCTGTCTTCATCTATTATTCAGCATAATTTATTTTGGACATTTGCATCAGCAATTTATATACAAAATAAACCAGATGCCAAAAGAGGGAGGAGAGAATTAAAATGGACATGCGTGGAGGTGGGGGGAGCAAAGGGGGGCCGAGCCGGGGACTAAGAGCCCTGTCATTAATCAAACACGGGCTCTGCAGTGACAGGAGGAGACGAAAGAGCAGGCTGGGAAGCACTTGGAATGAGAAGAAGTACCCGATTAGCCCTCCCCAGGTCCCAGCCTTGTGTACTTGGGACATTTAGATTTCGCTTGCAGAATCCCACATCTCCCACCTCCTTAGAACTACAACCATGGGTGCAAGAAGCAGAATCTACCAAGACGTGGGCAGCCCTCACCCCAACCAGTTCAGCCAAAAGTGAGGGTGCCTCCCTGGGTGGGGACCCAGCACCAAACCACAGTCCTTGACCCCAGAAGGAAGTGTCTCAATTACCCAATGTCCATTTAGTGAATTCAGTGGCCTAACCATTGTCTGTCTTCACCGCCCAGTGCAATGATTTCAGATTTGGAAATGGCTTCTAACAGGAGTCTGCTTTGCACAGAAAAGTCCTTTACAACCAGTTCTGGGTACTAATGAGGAGCAAAGGAGAGGAACAGGACAGCACATAGGAAAAGAAGGACAGAGTATTCTTTCTGGTCCCAATCAACTGTAGCTTTTGGGAGAAACGACTAAGCAGGTGCCGTGTTTTGTTTTATTTTTCTTGTTTCTTTTTCCTGTCCAAAGCCTCTAATCCTTTCCTCTGCCATTCATATCTGGTAGCAGAGAAAAAACTGGAGGGGAGGAGGAGGCATAGTCGGGAAAAATATGGGGACGGGGGTCAGAGGCAAGAAACTGCACCAGGGGAGCACTTAGAGAAAGGAAACCACATTCCAGTTGCGGCAGAATCAATAAAAGATTTTGTTTTGTGTTTCTGAAACCTTCAGGGTATGATTGGAAACAGTTATGAAGTACAAGTTTTCCTGTGGCAGAAAGATGTTTCCATTGTTTTGTTTTGTTTGTTTTGTTTCGTTTTGTTTTAAATGCATCTCTGCCTTACCTTACTTGCGGGCCAGTGAGCTAGCCTAAAATCGAAGCTCTGTGAAGCCCGCTCTTGCCATTTTATTTTTGAAGGCTGTCCCTTGGCCACATCTGACCCACCAGCTCCTGTCATTAGCATCTGAGTGTTAAGCCAGAGGAACTCAATCTGGGAACACCACCAACGTGGCCAGTAAGCTGCAATTTAGTTAATGTGCACTCCTTGTAGGCCCTGGTTTTGGCCCGAGTGTATTTGGGTAGAGTGTGTGGTGGTGATGGTAGGGAGCTAGAGAGGAAGGGGAGGGTGATGGACTCATTTGCAAGAACTGCCCAGCTGAGATAACATTTAAAATGAACAGGAGAAGGTCCAATGCTTTGTAATCCTCCAGCAGCTGCTCATTTTGGGTTGGGATCAGGAAGGAGCACTTTGCCATTAGTCCCCGAGCCAAAAGTGGCCGGTGGTGGTTTCTGGTCTCCCTAAGCCACCTCCAAAGGGGTCACTCAGCTGTGTCCTAGGGAAGCGAAACAAGAGAAAAAGAACAAGATGGCTTGTACGCTCCATCCATGTGTGTGGCCCCAGGGATGCCCCTGCAGATGGGCCTGGTTGGAGATGGTGATATCTTGGATGGGTTCACTGCAGCTCCGTGCCCGAAAAGGGCAGCTGGTGGGCTTGTTCCGCTGTTCTTCAGCCTGTCACTGCACCACTCTTAACAAGTTATCCACATCCCAGAGATGCAGATTATGCCTCAGCTTAGAGGGCCAAGCTTCCCTCCAAGAGACTGAGCCTGCAAAAAGCTGCCAGAGTCCCTGTAGCCTGCCCAGATCCTGCCTGAACCCAGCCCAAAGAGATGGTTGTCATTCCAGGCAAGGGCTCACCCGGGCCAGATGCCTTCCTTCCCCAGGCCTGTGGTTTCTCCCACTTGAGGAAGAATTGCTATTTCTTTTGCTGTATCATTACAAATAAAACAAAACTGACTTTGAACATATTAATGATAACAGATGGCTTCATAAAATGTAAACAGAGCAATGAAAGTACAAATGGGGGTCCTACCAGTAATTAACTTTTGATTTATACAGTCCCAAGGAATTTGGAGCTAGTACTGCCTTTCTCACCATTAGGTGGTAATCCTCTTTCCATCATCCTCCTAGGCTTGGCCTTGTTGGCTTTTCCATATCTCTTCCCTGACCCTCCATCCCAAGCTCAGAGGTACCTGCAAGTTTCACAGCACTGAAGAGTGGAAATCAACGCTTGCAGTCATCTCTTTGGAATCTGTCAATAGGCTGCCTCATTATGACAGCCATGAAGTACTTGGGGGACATGAAGTGCTCTGTAAATGTGTATTATTCTTGCTGTAATTATGACACAGTAGTAATAACTCAGCTCGTTGGGGCATTTTCACAGTAGCTCATATTCTCTTATTTATTTGGCAATCAGGCACTTTGCTACTTATGGATGGAAAATATTCTTTGGTGCCAAGGTCAGGTCACTGGATAAAGCCAACAGAGTAGAGAGATTCTGATTTCTCAGTTCACCTTGAGTTCAGAAATATTCTCAAAATCATAGTAACAGAAAACCACAGAATTAATTCAGCTCTATAGGCTCATGGTCTGAGTAGTGAATCTTCTTAGATCCAAACATTGGCACCTCTGCCTACCAGCTGGGCAACCCTCGGCCCGTGACCTGACTGACCTTCCAGCAGCTCGCTTCCCTCATCTTTAGAATGAAGGTGCTGATATCAAATTCCCCAATGCGAGTGCTGTATTAATTAACACGGGAAAGTGCTTGAAACAGTGCCTAGCTCATAATAGGTGTTCAGTAAGCGTAGCTGCCATGACTGGCCACAATCACCACAACAGAGCTGAAAGATGCCTCTAGAGATCATCTAGTTCTGTGTCTGCATACACAAAACAAAACAAAAGAAAAACTGAGGCCTACAGAGAGCCCAGGACTTATCCGCACTCAGTCAGGTAGTTTTGATAAAGGATTTGTGTTACCTCTGTGAGGCCAGTATAGGAAAAAGGGCCTTAAGTTATGGCAAACTGGATTTAGAACTCTTATGAAGTTTCTAGTCTTAATTAGGAAAAGGATGGATTAATGAAAAGCAAGATGGAAACAACACGTAGTAACTATAGTGATTAACATTTAAGTGTTTATGATAGATACCAAATATTCTTCAAACAGCTTCCCATGCATTACATCATTCAGTCTTCAAACAGCCCTATGAAGCACGTATTATTAGGAATGACATTTTATAGATGAGGGAACTGTACAGAGAGGCTAAGTTACCTGCACCAGTTGGCACAGCAATTAAGTGACAGAGCTGGGATTTGAAATTTCCTGTGGTCACTGCAGAGCCCTCTATGAGTGAGATAATTAAGCGGGGATATAGACTGACTGGATGTACCCCAAATTTTCTTCCAGTGCTATGATTCCTTCAACAAATATTCCCTATGTCTCCACACCACCTGAACTCCACTCCCCCTCCTGCCCCTTGGCAGGCACTGGAGTAGACTTGGAGGACACAGGGTTAACCTCATTTTTGGCTCTTGCCCTCATGGAGCTATAATCTGTGGTTCTAAAAATGCCGTGATTCGTATTTATGGTTTTGGGGGGTTAGGGGTGTTCCACTCCAGCCAGGACAGAGCCCCCTTCTTTTTACCCAGTCAAATGCTGATGGTTGTGATCCAAAGAGCCTACTATGACAAACTCCTCCCAACCTCTTTCTTGTATCCCTGAAGGAATTCCATCCCGACATGGCGGTCCTCTTCCCTTAATTAACTAGACACTTCCTAAATGATGACCTGAAGGCATCTCTTCCTGTTCATGGCCAGCTCAGAGTGGCAATGGCAATAATGTATCTAGATTAATCACATGTGATATTTTAACATCTAAATTAAATGGCAAGCAAGCCCCGAATCCATTACCTTCTCTATCACTACTAAAATCAAGCTAATGGGACCAATTCAATTTTTCTCTTACAGAGGGAGCTTCAGAGGGCACAAAAGCCAATAAAGAGCACAGTAACTCTGTCCTAGGGGAGAGGAGGAGGAGCTGGATAAACAGTCAACATAGCCCAGAGGAGCCCAAACCAGCGCAGTTTAACAACAGCAAGGACCACGTCCACCCAGCACCCTGAGAGAGAGTCCCTTGGCACCCACTCATAGACACATATAGCTCAGTAGACTCTTGTCATGAGCCAGTCTCACTGGGATTGATAGTGATTCCAAAATATATTTCATTTCATCAATTCCAGTTAAATTATTGCATCTGAGGAAAAGAATTTGCCTCGGCTGATGTGCCGGTGTCAGCTCGAACCTGTTTCAAGGAGACCGTCGTGTTAGGGGGGGGTGCTGTCCTCACCAGCCTTCGCCCCTGCACACCCTCTGTGCTGCTGCCTCAGCTGAGTGGATACCAATGGCCCCGGAGGGATCCTGTGAACTCCGAGGATGGCGCCTGTGCCCCAGGCATGGGATCCCTGTTTCACCCCAGCCGCACCCTGCACCGGCTCCTCACGGGCTTCTTTGGAGGCACACTACATCCTGGTACCATCTAAGCACATAAATCAGCTGTCAGCTGTACACCCAAATATCTCCATTCTTGTGATTTTGTCAGATCATCACCACTAATAGGATGTTGAAATTCATAAATGTGTCTATTCCAGTAATAGGGCGGTGTGCTGCCATCTCCCAGTTTGAAAAGAGAGAGGTTTTTGCTGAGGACACGAATCCCACACGTCTCAAGAGGGCACCTGGCTGACTTGAATTGGGGAGGTGATTTCCTCCTGGGAGAGGCTGCTGAGCTCTTTAATACCGAAACTTTAAATATACCGGTGGCTGTGAAGCACAGCCAGCAACCTAAGAATTGCTCAGAAAATCACAGGATTTTAAATCAAGGAAAGAAAAAAAAAGGCCGTTCCATTCTCCCCCTCAGGCTGGATTCCCTGTTTCTTTGTCTGGAAATGCAGTGGCCCTCCAGGGTGAAGGGCATCTGCAGAGCAAAGCCAGACAGCAGCCAGGAGGCCACCTGCCTCCCCAGAGAGTGCCTTTTCATCGCCAGGAGCTGCAGTTACAGTCTCCTAGGGGTCCCAGCAAAGAAGCATTCGACTTAATCGCTAAGATGCCCTGCGGTGCAAACGCTGGGCCCTGTGACCACATGCAAAAGGAAGTTGGGTCAGGCTTTGGCCCAGAGCGCGACATGACCAGTGTCCATTTCCTGAGCAGCAGTGGAGTGCCCCGACCAAGTCTGGGAACCTGGGGACTCTGCCCTGAGAGCTGGGGCTGGGTTGATCCAACTTCTTAGGTGAGGTTTTCATCTTTATTGGGAGACCTTTGTCCTTGGGATGGGAGATGTCCCATTCATTAATTATTGTGCTGGCTCTGAATAATTGCGGCCAGAGACTGCTATGCTGGGCAATTTCCAGTTCTACCGTGGCTGCTGCCGTGACACTGTATACGTCTTTCACTGGTACCGCACTGCATTTTACAAGACATGGTCCCTTCACCCGCTCAGCTGTTCCCCATAATAACATGAGGAGGTGAGCATAGCAGGTGTTCACACCCCGGTTTTACAGACAGAAACAGTTGGAAACCTGGAGGCCGAGGTTCATAAAGGTTAAATGTGGTGAAGGTCACACAGCATACATAAACACTTAACAAAACAGGACTAGATTCCTAGTTTTCTGCTTCTAATTCCAGTTCTTTCCGCTATAGCTCATGGAAACAGAATCTCAGAGAGAGTTTTCAAACTCATCCACAGTCCCTTCAGCACCTTCGCGGGCCAGCCACAAGCCGAGGTGCCCGCTGGTGCTCAACAGCGCCAAAGCGTGTGGCCCCTCCCAGGACGCTGCGCCCTGCCGGGCCTCCCCGTCCTAGAGCTCTGCTTCTTGCCACCTGCCCCCGCTTGGGCTGCCCCTCCTACTGCTCTCGCTGCCAGGCAGCTTGGGGCCTCCCACGAATTTATGGAAGGAGATTGGCTCCTGCAGAGCCCCTCAGCACGGGCCCAGGAGGCTTCGCATGAAAAATGATTGCACCGCACACGCGGAGGCTGTTTAAACCTGTCACTTTAAAATATCCCTTCTCCTCTGCCCAAGCTGGGCCAAGAGGAGCAGGTCCAGGAAAAGGAAATCAGTTTAAAGTGACAGCCCTTAATTTCTGAAGCCAAACCTCAGCATTTGTGGCAGACTTTTTATGTGCTGAGGTCTCAATTTAAAACCAAAGTGTCCCAGTGGCACCGCGTAATTCTCGGTAAGTTTCTGCACCTTGTGCTCAGGCCTTCTTATCAGAAAAAATCCAAAACTAGGAAGAGGCTTCATATTCATCTTGGAGCAGGCCCAGCACAGAAGCAGGCCAGGGCATGAAAGGGACAGCAAAGGCCCCCCGGAGAGCCAGCTGGGCCTGTTTAATTGCTTTTCTTTTGTTAAAAGCTGCTGTTACCAGGTTGCCCGGGGCAAGGACAGGATGCTCAGCATTCAGTTAAAATACATTTCATGATTGGAGGGCAGCTCTGAACCAAAGCCTGGTTATTTCTTAAATACGGTAGTCCCCCGCTTTAACCGTGGTTTGGCATGGTCTGAAAATATTATTTGGAAAATCCTGACCAGATCAATTGTCTTGGTATTGCAGTGTTTGTGTTCAAATAACTCTTATTTGACTTCGTAATGGCTCAAAACCTGTCAGTTTGAATATGTCAAAGAGAAGCTGTAAAGTACTTCCTTTAAGGGAAAAGGATTTTCCTTTTCCTGCTAAGATTTTTACCCAGAAGCAGAAAAATGAACAATTTAAAGGATTAAAAAAGAAAAGGGCTCCCAATGCATCCCACCATGCATTTTCCCTCACCGTTCTCAAATTAATAGGAAGACAAAAAAAATTGTATGCTGAGGTTACCAAGATCTACAGTAACAACAAATCTGTGAAACTGTAAAGAAAAAAAAGATGTACATAGTATATGCAGGATTTGGTACCGTTGGCAGCTTCAGGCATCCTCTGGGGGGCTTGGAGTATATTCCCTGAGGGTAAGGGGGAACTGCTGGACAAGTTTTCAGCATCCCACAAGACCGCACTTTGTTTTCACTTCTTCCAGGAAGTCTTCCCAGACCTGTCCAAAGCCTTTACTGTGCGCAGTTAGTGCGTATTTCCCTTTCAGTTTTATTGTGTGTGTGTGGATGTACATGTGGCGTGAATACATCATTTGTTGTCTAATAAGCTCTACTGTATGCACGTATTCTCACTTACGTGCCCAAGGCAATAGCTTGACTCTATTAGATATTTCATAAAAATGCCCTACTTAGATTTTTATCCAGAAGCAGAAAAATGATCAATTTAAAGGATTAAAAAAGAAAAAGCTTCCCAATGCGTCCCACCATGCATTTCTACTCACCGTGGTCTTAGAGTTTAGTTCCAAGGACACAGTTAGCTGCTTGGTGATACTTGTTGAATGAATGAAGAACTGAATACATTTTCGCATTTGTGTGGAAACACCACTCGCCAAATTCAGTGGAAAGGGGAACACTCATCTTGGCTCATGGTGTCATGAAGCGTGGTGATGCTGGTGGGGCTCATGGGCAGAGGTACAAATGCTAAGTGACAGCCTTTCATAAGCCCTAGATTGTGGCAAAGGCATTCACCCTCCCACTCCTATGGTCAAGGCGAGGTGCTGGACAGCCAGCTGCTGTCACTCGTTTCTATTTCTGCCTCCCCTTTCTCAACTTTCCTGTAGACCCAGAAGGGATGCTGACCTAAGGAACAAAAGCACAGGCCTTGAACCCTAACTGAAACAAGAGGTTTTCTCTCTAGTCCCCCACCACACCCAAACTTTCTTAGTTTATGAAGTTATTACTTTTAACAAGACCTTATCTGGCACTTCGCATTCCTAGAATGTTTGGTGGCCATAACTCAGTTAATCAGTCGCACGCAATAAAAGGCATCATAAAAGTAGATGGCATGCAGACAGTGGAGCAGCCTCAGCCTGGCCACCCCATCACAGCACCTCAGGGCCAGCTGGAGCCCATTTCACTGAGGACAGGCCCATTTTCCTGAGCTGTCTACTTTCGCAAAGTGCCGCATTTCCATGTTGCAGGACTCTGCTCCAGGGCTCTGCAGATCTGGCACTAGTATCCCCACTGTTTCTGAAATGTGGACAATCTGAGTGAAGAAAAGGGAGAAGAAAAGGGAAGGCAAATACTTCTGGGAGCCTGTGATTCAGACACCGGATCTGCCACCTCTCATAACCAGGGAGGGTGTGCAGGGCGCTTTCCACACATTTGCAAACAGATTTAATAATAAGGGGCTGTCTGCCTCAATGTGTCAAATTCCCCGCTAGCAGCACAAGAGAATATCAAGGAAGGAGGCAGAATGAGAAGCAATGCAAGGTCATGAGCTCTCCCTTTGTCTGTTCTAACATACGATATGATTTTCCTTCAAATGGAGATTTCATTGAAGCATAATCAGCCACCTAAGGAGTAGCTGCGGATGAAACATTTGAGGATAAAAAATTAAGCTCCAGCTTGGATACAGCAAGTGACTCTCCTCTTCTACCGCTTGATGAGTAACAGGCAGTGTAGCAGCATGGGGAAAAGAATGGCCCCTGTACCCCAAAACCCAAGATCAAATCCCTTCACATGTCATAACTGCTTAACCTTACTGACTTTCAATTCAAAAAGAGGGGGTGAGAGTTGGCAGCACAGGGCAGTCTGCACCCCACGGTGTTTTAAGATTCCTAGGTGAAGATGTCACGTCTTGTTGGAAAAACATTTCATTGTAATTTTAGGGCAGAGCTCTCCTGAGATCCCAAGTTGAAAATGGCATCATCTCCCATCTGTTTTTGGCACCTCTCACAGCACCTAGCTCAGTGTTAAGCACAGCAGATACCTCCCAGCAACATGTTGATGAACACAAGCAGTAATTGAGACCTTAGGCTCTGAAGTCAGACTTGCAGCTCTTCACCAGCTCTGTGACCTTGGGCAGTATGCATAACCTCCTGAGATGTGGTTTCCTTCATGGGGTGATAACTATACCTACATTACACATGGATTAAATGAGACCACACATGTAAAGAACATGCAACCAGTAAGCCCTCCATGAAGATGAGCTCTTATTGTCAAAGGAGAAGGGGCAAGGAAAGTAAGGAGAGGGGAGGGAGAAGCAGGCAGGGAGTGGGGAAGTCAGTAGATTAAAATGGACACATGATGTAAAAGGCTTAGGATCCTACAAGGAAGGGCAATGGACACATGATGTAAAAGGCTTAGGATCCTACAAGGAAGGGACTCCCCAGCCTCCTCAGGAAGGACGAGGGAGAGGAAGAGAGATGAAACAAATTCACTGAAGGCTGCTGGATTTACTCAGAACTCTGAACTTTTAGTTGCCTTGAACCTCACCATATGCCCCCATAGCAGAAGGCATGACCCAGACAGACCAAAGGCTTTGTGAACCCAGCCCCAGTGGCTCCCCAGATGTCCTTCAGCAAGAGTGAATTTCTAGTGTGGGCAGCTCCGTACTTGGTTCTCAAGGAAAAAAGATAAAAACTACTCTTTGATGAGAAACCATACGGTGTGGTAGAGAAAGCGCAGAGTTTAGACTGAGGTCTAGTTTTAAATTCCTGAATTACTCTGAGTTTCTCAAAGAGGTAATAAAATCTCCCAGTTTCTGTTCCTTCATCAGAGGTAGAACTATGTCATAGCTTTATTGTGAGGCATAAGTGACATGAAAGAACATGGAAACAATGTGCAAAGTGTGATGCATTATAAAGTCATGACAGTTATTAGGACTTGGAGTAAAGTGAAGAGAATGTAAGGTTATAAAAGAAGAGATTCCAGGTGTGAATCTCATGTGAAATTAAAAGAAAAAAAAAACCACCTCACTCTTCACTTTATCCTGTTATGTGACACAGCACATGCACACACACATGCACACCCACACAGGCTGGTGGTGAGAAGACATTGTGACATTGCTTTGATGGATTTACTTATTTACTTATTAGATTATTTTGAGCATCACAACTTCATAAATGTTTCAAATAGGAGAGAAAAAGTGGGGGAAAGAGGAGGGGAAAAGCGACCCTCACCAAACAGGTCGGACTGCCACCAAGTGAATAAAATTACCTTCTAATCAAATGCATCATTAAAAGTACAGACATTAGATCCCAGTGCTGACAGCTTTATGAGCAAAGCATTTGCAGTTAATTAGAATATACTGCCTTTGTAGTTGGGATGGCATCAGGGGTGCTGTTTGACTCCAGCTAAATAACACCTGCTTCCACTGTCATGGAACTGGGTACCTGGACTTTTTTGGGGGGTGGGTCTTCCTCCAGCTTGGTTTTGCAGACATCAGTGGGCAATACTTAACCTGCAAATGCTATCCTGGACATGTAGCAGCTAAGCTTATTCCTAAAAGATCAACAGCAACCTTTGTGAAAATATATCCAGAGAAACTGAGGACCAAAAGAGGGGCCGAGTTTCCAGACTGGGGAGAAGATGCAACTGCACCTCCCAGCTGCTATACCACCCTTTGTAGGAAGGATGTTCAGAGGATCAGAACGTGCCATCCCCAAATATGCCACTTTGGCCTATTGATTATTTTGAGCTGAAGGAAACTGGGAAACATCAGATGTGGGAAGGATTCTCTGCCATCCCCCTTTCTGTCTACGAGCAGGGCATAAGAGAAAGGTGCCCTCCCTGTACCAGGAAGAGGAGAATGCTCCTGTTACTGGGGATGGAGAGTCAATGCCATGGTAAATTAGTACAAACAACCCAACTAAAACACCCTTAGTGCCCATTAGTTTCTCCATATAATTTTGAAACAACCCAACTAAAACACCCCTTAGTGCTCATTAGTTTATCCATATAGTTTTGAGTCAACCCCACTTTACTACTCCTTGTTCAAATCCCTTTATCCTTTGTCTTGTCACATCTCCACATTTTATGGCTCCTTGTTAAAATGGTATATAAGTCTCAAGTCTAGCCACTTCATTAGGGTTTTCACTTCTTCCTATGAAGCCCCTGCCCGTAAAAATGTCTAACCTCCAATAAAATTTGCATGCTTTTCTCCTGTTAATCTGTCTTTTGTCAGCATCATCCATAGGCCTTAGCCACAGAATCTCAGAAAGTAGAGGAAAGGTCTTTCCTTCTCCACAGATGAGAACTAGAAGGTCCATGGAGCATCCCCCACCCCCTGCCCAGACCAATTGACCAGCTCCCCACTGACAAGCTCCAGAGTAACACCAGGCAGCCAATCTCTAACTTGCTCACTGTTCCAGCTATGTTAGATAATGTAACAATTGCAGAGCCAAACAGCTATCTGCATTAACCAGGAGATTGGAGAAGTCATAAAATAGATGTTCCCTTATCAACAAGACAATGGGAGTATTGTTATAAAGAGAGGGATTAGAATAGAATTGTTGACTTTTTGTCCATATTGATGGAAACTTATAATTGCTTCCCAAATCCTACTCTTCCAGATCCATTTTTAAAATTTTGTTTTGTTTTCTAAAAAAAAAAGAAACAAAAAGCAAAACCAAACAACAACAACAACAAAAAAAAAACACAGTTTTTACTTCTTTCCATGAATAACCAAACCTCTGGTCTCTGGAAATGGCCCTAAAACCTTTTTGGAGGATTACTTAGAGGCTTCTTCTCTCTCTAGGCAGGACCACAGCAGTCAGTACAAACTTGGCCTTTTTAAACCTAACCACCATTCTAATGATTCATTACAAACATGGAAAGGGAAGCAGGTCATCCAGTGGAAAGCAAGGAAAGGCGAATGGCCAGGGTCTTGCAGAGGACTTTTCTTGGAAAGGCCTAGACTGGGCACAGGCCTCCTGATGGCGCAGCTCAGCACTGTGTGTGGCCGTGACTACTCCTCTTGTATTGGCCTCAGAGAATGGCCAGAGCAGCTAGTCATCTCCCTCCTCATACATCATTCTATACATTTGCAGATAGTTATTGAATCACTCTTCAGCCTTCTTCTCCAAGTTAAACCATGCTAGTTCTCTAGCCTTTCTTCAGTGGTTTCATTCTCCTAACTCCATAATCACCTGCGGATCTCTCCAAGCCATTTTGAAATATCTGATTTGAAAAGGGAGATGATGTTATCTTAAAAGAGGCAAAGAAGCATTCAATCATTGATAGAAAAGCTCAGGAGTAATGATCAAAGTCCAGGCTCGTCTCTGGCCAAGCCTATTTCCATGGTGCGGATGGTCTGTTGGCATTTCAGAGGTACCACACAAGGAAGATGGTGTGTTCCTCCCTAATGCCGTATTAACTGCGGCTGCAGACATTTGTAGAGGTTGCTGGGTAATTGAATGACCGACAGCAGTATCGGAGCTGTGCACCGAGATAAGGGTAATCAAATTTCATGCTTCAGGGGCTCCGCGGCTTTAGCTGGCCACCTCAGGGGTCACAGAGAATTCCTTTCCCCACCCAACCACACTATCTTTTCCTACAAATAGTTCTGCACAATTGGTCAGTTGCATTTTGTGCTTTTGTGTTTTCCTCTGAAGAGTCCCCCAAAGGCAATTCCTGGAGGCAAGTAACCCTCAGTAAGAGACCAACGTGGGCCAGTTAGTCAGATACCCCAGAGCTCTCAGGAAAATGAATCCTTACTGTTTTTCATCCCTCTCTCCTAAGAGGCAGTTGATTATTTATGTAACTCTAGTACCAGATATTTACATGGGGACCATGGAATGAGAACAAAGGCAGGGAAATAAAATACAAGAAAGGGAAAAGAGGAGAAGGGAAGGGAAGAAAAAAGCAACTAGAAAGGAATCAAACATATTCAACTCAAACAACAGCAAAACGAGGAATGCTTGTGTCAGCACCAGCACCCAAGCTGCTTTACAAGACATGGCAGAAGTCAGAACACATTGCATGCAGCTGCTGCCTGTAAGAGCTGCAAGAGGTAAAGCTGTTAGGAAACTGAACGCTGGCTCAACAGACCCCAAAAAATTACTCCTTGAGGTCCTAAACCACCCGTTAGGGACCCCAGAAGAGCTTCCTACTGCAGGGATACCTGGATTTTCTGGTCAAGGTCATTCACAGCCATTAACTCAGAGCTACAACAAATGGGTGGGGAGTCAGGTATCAGATCTGGATTCAGTTACCAGCTCAGACAAGAAGTTGACTGCTCTTTGCCTCAACTGTGAAATGGGAGGGTTGGACAAGATTTGCATGAAAGCACCTTCTGATTCGAATACAATACCTTCCCTGTTATCAGCAGGGGATAGTTCCAAGACTCCCAGCGGATGCTTAAAACTGAGAATGGTAGTAAAACGTTATATATACTATGTTTTCTCCTATACATACATCCCTGTGATAACGTTTAATTTTTGGATTCGGCACAGTAAAAGTTTAACAACAACTAATATTAAAATAGAACAATGATGACCATATGACAGCATCACTACTTTTGCAATTTGGGGCCATTATTAAGAAAATAAGGGTGGCTTGAACACATGCACTGCGATAATCCCCACAGTCGATCTGGTAACCAAGGCAGCTGCTAATTGACACCAGGCAGGCAGCATAGACAGTGTGGAGATGCTGGACAAAGGGATGATTCATGTCTGGGGTTAGATGGCACAGGACGGCACGAGGTCTCATCATGCTACGTAGAATCGCACAAAATTTTAAACTTATAAATTGTTTATTTCTGGAATTTTTATTTAATCTTTCAGGCCACAATTGACCATGAGTATCCCAAGTCACAGAAGCCATGGAGAAGGGCCAACGACTGCAGTTAGTATTGTGGGTGTAAAAAGTAAAGTAGAGGTTCCTTTTCAAAGACTTGTCTCCCCGTCTAATTAGGAATAAATAGTAACTTCTCTTAGAAGCAAAATTTATTCAAAGACCTGTGCTAACATTCTTAAATACCTGCTAGCCGTAATAAAGAAATCAATGTATGTTATGTTCTTAGCTCCCACAATTTAGCCTAAATATTTGCCCTGGCATGCTTATAATGGTCCAAGCAAGCATTAGGTCATAGCCTGTTCCTCTTCCTTATTTAAAAGTGTTTTTACCTTTCTCAGCATTCTACAAGTTACTTCCTCCTTCCTTTGTTCTCCTCTACTTTTGCCTCTTTTGAAAAGTTCTAAGTTGCTAGCCAGTCAGGACAAATACAGAATGTGAGGTCCCATTCCAGCTAGTGGAAACCGGACATAGCAGTAGGGAGGATGCGTCAGGTTATAAATGACCCTGTCTCCTTTGTTCAATGTACTCTCGTGGCAAAACTGCTGGTGAGTGTACCCTTCCTGCAGGAAGTAAAAATGGCCTTACTAAATAAATTAAATTTATGTTCAAGTGCTGTTTCTTTACAGCACCGAGGAACAAACATTTCAAACATGGGGAAGGAGTCCTCTGCCTGAGCTGAGCTTTAAGAAGTGCTAACCAAAAAGATGTTTCCAGAAGCGATCATTTAATGATAGGGCAGCCCACATTTCCACTCTTGCTTCTTGTTTCAAAGTGAGTTAACGTGAAGGAATTCCTGTAGACAACATTTAGAAAGGTTGTGCTTCAGATGAAAGCACCCAGAATTTGTACACCCTGGGGTGGGGGGTGGAGCCCACATGCCCCGGCTGCTACAGCATCTTCTCCCATCACCTGATCACTTTTCTGTGGACAAAGCAAGGGTTCAGTGAGCATTTCTTGAGAAGTTAGTGTGCTCTGGTTGCCATGCTGTGAACGGTTAAGTGCAGTGAGGTATTACCAGGGCCAGGACTACAGTTAACACAGTATGTGTGAGTTGAGGGAGGGAAACAACTTTCTAGATGGAGAGAATGGAGTGAACAAAGGGGATGCAAGACCTTCTGACACTTTTAGAGGACCAAATCATTGCAAGAGGGAGGGTGTTAGGCTAAAGGCAGCCAAGAGTTATGGAGGGTCTAAACTCTTTCCTTAAGGCATAGCCAAAGAGGTAATTGAAGGGATGAGGGGCTTGCAGAAATAATTCCCCTTCATCCTTCCTCTCTTCAAACTATGTGACCCTCTAAAGCCTCCTGGTCCTGGGCACACATATAAGCATATATCAGTGTGCAAACACAGATCACACAGGCATTAAGGCTGAGGAAATTCATCTACCAACCCCACTGCCAAAGCCCAGCCAGGTGCAGAGTTGGAACTAGGATGCGCCTGGTGCCAGAGGAGGATGGGAGAGAGCCAGGGCCCTGAAATACAAGCTCATCCTATTCATATGATAATAGCTACTCTTTATTGCGTTATTATTACATGCTAGTCACTGCACTAAGTGCTTTACAAAAGTAATCTCATTTAATTCTTATAAAACTGTGACATTGCGGCTAGTAGCATTCCTTGATTATAGATGGAGAGAGTGAACTCAAATGGATTAAATCATATGTCCAGTGTCATGCAAGTAGTATTTCTGAATCAGTATCAATTTTAAGTCTGTCAGACTATAGACCATATACTTGACCCTGTATTACCCTGTGCTGTGAGTGACAGTCCCGGATAGCAGGACCAGGCGTTCTGGGCTGTCTTCCTCAAAGGCAGTCTGGATCTGTGCTGCTGTATACAGAGCCACTCTCCATAGGTGGCTGTTGGGCACTTGCAATGCAGCTGGTCCATGCTGAGATGTACTCTATGTGTAAAACACACACTGATTTCAAAGGCTTGGTACACAAAGATGTAAAATAAGAAAAGACTATTTACTGATAAATTTATGTTGATTACTTGTTATTACAATTATAATGTCTCAGCTCTATTGGCTTAAATAAATTATTCAAACTAATTTCACTCATATCTTTCTATTTTTTAAAACGTGATTCTAGGAAACTTAGAATCACCGGTGTGGCTCACGTAAGTGTATGCAGTGCTTCTGCTGACAGCGTTGGCTTGGCTTGTGCTCCAGTGTCCTACCCACCCACCTGCAAGTGCAGGCTTCTTCCCTGGTCATCAGAGCCTCCCGCCCTAAGAAGCCTGAAGTCTCGGAGTCATAAAGCAATGTGACTTCTGTCTCCGAGTCATAAAGCAATGTTTCCATTTAAGCCCAGACTCTCATCAGAGGCTACCCCTCCCAGTCCTTCGGGGAAAAAAACGACAGTATTCTGTGTTCATTAGTTAATATTTGCAAAGTGCTTTGAAGATGAAATGCGCTACATAAATGCTGATAATAGCCCACTGTACTTCTGTGGGCCTTTCATCTGGAGATTTCAAAGTCCCTACCACAGGCAGCCATTATTGTTCTATTACTCTAACGTTAATTGTGCATCATTGGAGTGCTGGATCATTATCGTCCTCACTCCCTGGCCCTAGGCAGCCTGGGTGGGGACAGAGTAGCAACCGGTGAAAATGGGGAGTGAAGCTCTCCTTCATCCCAGCCAGGTCTTCGTCAAAGTCAACTCAGAAGACTGCAGTCACAGGTGTGCAGGGGAAGGGTGTCTGTAAGAGGGACCCTGACAAAGTGCACTAGATAATACTTTCTTTGGGAATTACCCGCTAACTTTGCAGGGCTTTCATGAAGCTAGGCACACACCAAGTACTCGGTCAGATGTCGCTGGTTGACTGAGCTGCTTGGTGGAGATGTCTGACATTCTTTTGCCAGCCTTGGTGGAGGATGCAACAACCTTGGAAATGAACAGTCTTAGCTCTTAAATTAGGTGTTCAGTCCAATACAGACCAGACCTTGCTTGGACCCCTACCATTTTCTGTAGTCTACAGTTGGCTGAGACAGGGGAGTGACATTTGATGCTGGGTTTAGTGGAGTAGAGAGAAAAAGCCTGCAAAAATAGAAAGGGGCCTTGGGGGAGCTGTGCTCCCTGCAGCCAGGGCCTCAGCCCCAGCCTCAGGTGCAAAGTGCTTCAGGAATGTCACAGCACAGGCCAACTTAGGGCAGCCTCTGCAGCAGACACCCCACCCGCTGCCTGCCAAGTGAGAAAGACCAAAAAGTAAGGTTGCCCACCAGGTGCAAAGCCATGGCGCGGTGTGACATCCCCACGGAGGAGAAACTCCTTCGCGCTAATTACAGCCACCAGGAAGTCAGGCAGTGTGAGATGACACAGCTGGATTTCCCCACTGCTCAGGAAGAACTGCTGGAGATGCCAGAGAAAGCGGGAGATGGAGAGAGCTCAGGAACACAAAAGATCCCAGGAATGACAAGCACTCCACCACCAGGTAGGGGCTGGGTGTGTGTGCTCGCAAGCTTTTATAAAAAGGAATAAAATGTGTCATTTCAGATTGGATAAGTTGAACATTACTAATTAAGAAATTACTTAATTATGGAGAAGAAAATAAAACGAAGGTATTTTGCCCTAGAGGGAAAAAAATTTTCGATTTGCCAAATCAAGGAAATGATGAGATTCCAATTATTCATTAAATAATTGAAAATGGCTCCAACAAAAGCATTAGAATGTACGTGCTGCTCAGGCCTCCCAGGGAGCTCTGCCTTCCTCTCAAAGCCTCTGTGTTGTGTGCTTCCCTTCTGCAAATAAGTCTCCTCTAGAATGGACTGAATGAATACTCCCACACTTGGGGCAAAAAAAAAAAAAAAAAAAAAAACAGAGGGGCAAAAAAACAGACTTCCCTGCCATCTGTCTCATGTTAAGGATATGTATCCATAATGTTGTATTTATCGTCCCTCAACTATGCTTAATTTCTGTCCACCAAGGCTAAGCTTTCCCCAAGACTCAATTGCTTTCTTCTTCCCACACATGGCTCTTCAAAGAGTAGATTACAAATCCTTATCTATTGTTCACCGCACCAGACACCCGTGTTAGAGTGTGATGTCTTTGTCCCTCATCTGGCTCACCTGGTCTTCATTCCACATCTCAGATGTATCCCCATCATGGACCACAACAGCTAGCAGCCGGCCCACCAGGCCTCAGAGGCACAAAACCCCAACACTCCAACATTCTTTTTCAAATAACATAAAGAATGCTCTTTTACATGTCTTTGTCTAAACACTGACCTTGCCCCATGACTTTACTTCTATAGAGATTACTCCTCTTTCTCTAGCTAAACCCTGCCTATATTTTCAATCGCCTCCATCATAAGTCACCTTAAAGTCAACACATCCAGTGTTGTTCTCCTCATCACCTCCTTCTCCTTAGGCAACAAATATCACATCCCAAATCGTTAGACTTAATTTCAAGGAACTAGAAAGTCTCTCAAATCTTTTATTCCTCCAGGTTAAAAAACAAAGTCAGCACCCGTGCATCTTTTTACCTTTCCTCCATATCCAGTCGGTCACTACCCTCTGCCAATTCTTTCTTTAAAGCAGGCTACCCTATATTTGTTTAGCTTTTAGAGCTTCCATCCATTTATCTTACTCGCCCTTAAAGAAAGTTGAGGAACTAGGCAGAGAAAACGCAGCCCTTCCTCTTTCTCTCGATGAATAAAGAGATGGAGGCTCATGCTTAGGTGCATGTCTGACGTCATTTACTAGGGGCAGTCTTGACACCACCTCCCTAGGGAAGCCCTCCCTGAATCCTGAAGACTAGTTTTGTGTCCTCTTTAACTCTTGTAACATCCAATGCTTCCTCCATCGTTAACACTCGGTTGTTAGATACATGAGATCAGTAACTATTTTCTATCACTTCCACATTGCTCAGGAGTGTGCATGGAAGAAAATAAGCTCACACTGAATTATTCCCGAAAAATGAATTCATGTACAAAAATAAATAAATGAAACCAGATTCCTAAGATCCTTCACACAGCTAGGAAATGGTAGAGCCAAAGCTAAGCACTAAGTTTCTTTTTCCATTGTGCACCTAAATGGTATCCTTGGCATATGCTTCCAGCATATGGTCAGATTAATTATGTAGGCATGTTTTATCGTCATATATCATATCATTTACAAAGCTCTTCACTTGTTTCCAGTTATGTAACTGACAAAATCTAAATTCCACAATATACCTAACTAGCCTTCGCTCACATTTTAACCCTATTAGGAAATTTTATAGTTAAAAGAGATCATAGGTAATGTAGTTCACCTTCCCTCCTAATGTAAGGATTCCTTTGGAGGTACATTTTCCCAAGATCCGAAGGGAAGAGCATTTGCACTCCCCGCCGCCATCAGGAACACACCTTCATCTCCCATGGTTCACCACCCACTGCGGGCCATCCTCAGAACCACAGAACTGCCCACTGCCAACAACTTCCACGCTTCCACGCATGTATTTTTCAGGCGGTTCCCTCCTTTTCCACCCTTCAAATCCTGCCTATCCTACCGGGCTAGCTTGAGGCCCACCTTCAGAAGGTCCTTCCCTGGTATCCCAGCTAAAACCATCTACCAACATCTTTTTCTGCAATCTTTTAGATCTCTTTGTCTTGCACACTTAGAATCAATCATTTATTTTTACTTGACTCTCATAAATGTTTATGACATATGGCAGCTAAATTGTAAGAAGTTTGAATCCTCCCCACTCCTTGCATTCTCAGAAAATAAATCACCGAAGATGTATTGAGCCCCTGTAAGCTAGCCCCTGTGTGCAGGGTCCCTTCACACACATTTTGTACATGAGTCACCTGAAGAAGATTTAGAGAATGATACGATTACCACATCACCAGGAGAGGAAAACGGAGCTTCAGAGCGGCAAAGTGATATTCTAAAGATGAAACACCGAGTTAAGTGTCTTTGGTGTGGTTTTAATCCAAGTGCCCTGATTTGCACACAGGGTATTTGTAGTAATCTGCTCGGGCTGCTGAAACACAGCACCTCAGACGGTGTGGCTTAAATGGCGGCAATTTATTTTCTCACACTTCCAGAGGTAGGAGTCTGAGATCCAGGTATCCATGGGGACAGGTTCTCCTGAGGCTGCTCTCCTTGGCTTGCACATGGAGAATGCTATGTCCTCATGGGGTCTTTCTTTGTGCAGGTGCCTCCTGGTGCCTCTCCTTGCCCTCATAAGGGCACCAGTCATACTGGATTAAGGCCCAATTGTTATGATCATATTTAATTGTGTAATTACCTCTTTTTAAAGGTCCTTTCTCCAAATACTGTCACATTCTGAGGTACTGAGGATCAGGACTTAAACCTATGAATGTGAGAAAAGGGGAGGGGACAGAACTCAGTCCATAACAGGATTCCTGCTGCACTCTCTGCATAACTGCTCTGTGCCTGAGATAAACACTAGCCGAGTGCAGCTGAGGGGCTGGCTGTTAATTTTGGAAAGGGAATATTATACATGTGCTTGTGATTGTTTTATTTTTTGGCAGATCAAAAGAAATAAAAATACATTTTAGAAAAAAATAGTAAAAAATATAAGTCAAACAAAATCAGGCAGTACAATGAAAACAAATGTTACACCGTGGTCTCTGCTTTCTGTCTCTGTTTGGTCTTCTCTTTCCCTGGACTGTCTTTGCCGGGGAAATGGGGAGCTCATCGTGTGTTTGCTGCAGGCAATTTCTTCAAGCCTGGAGAGACCTGTGAAACTCCAGAATCTACTGAAACTTGCAGGAGTCCAGAACTCAGGGCAAACAAGATATTCTTGAGAGCAACTGGTTTCTAACACCAGTTACAACGCTGAAAGAATATCTAGTGCAGTACTCCAAACCCAGAGGGTACTCAAAAAATAGGCCAAATGAAGTGCCTGGAGTGGGGTTCCTGCAGTGGGACGGAGACAGCCTTTCTTGGAAAGGTGTAGGCTGGGTTTCCAGGTGAGTTAACAGTGAGTGGAGTGAGCTGATTTGCCATTTTCACCTGCAGTTATTTTTGTTGCAATAACCAGCCACCAAATAACTTGATCCCAGGGAGGAGAGGTGAGAACCATTTATTCTTCCAGGTGCAACAGAGCAAGGTGCAGTGACTTACTGTAAATGTGTTCACAGCAAGGTGAGAAGGCGCTGCAGAGGGGACCAGGCATCTGCTTTAAGAAAATGAGTAAAGCAGATAATGTTGAGAGGCAGAGAAAGTCAGAGCTGGGCCTCTGGAAAGACAGAGAAGCCAGCCAAACACACGGCTCCAGTCCTCAGTGTCAGTCTTTACTTTCTTTAGGGCACTGGAATTTTTTGCAGGGGATCTGGGAGTGGGTGACATAGCAAGCCATTTGTTTCAGTTTGGATTCTCAAAGAAGCAGACACTGAGATGAGGATATAAAGACAAATTGCTTATTTGCGAAATAAAGGACAGCACAGTCGGAAAAGCAACTGCTGCAAGCCAATGGGACTTCATCCTATTTGGGGACCTCTTGGAGCCAGGGTAGAACACACTCCTCAGAGTTATTGCCCTGGAGGTGGGCGAGGGAGCTGCAATGTGTGCACACCAAGTCCTAAAGGCATCGAGGGAGCTGCTTTGGGAGAGGGGTGGACATGCATCCAGCCCCAGTCCTTCCTGCCTGCCTTTCAGGACAGAGGGGCTCCAGGGGTGAGAAGGCAGACTCCACCTTGGGGCAGAACATGCAAGTGCAGAGAGCAGGAAATTAGAGGATGGGGCAGGTGCAATAGCACTGCTAGCCCATTAGAGCATGGGGGTGAGGACACAGGCTTTGGCATCAGACTATCCGGCTTGGAATGCCAGCTCCACCATTCAATAGTGCAGTGCCCTTAGCTGAGTTACTTAATCTTTCACATTTCAATGTCTTCATCTGTGAATAGCCAAAAACGACAAGGCATGGACATACCTCGAAGGGCTGAGGTAGGATTGAAGGAGATAAACCCAAACACTAAGAGCAATGCTCTTAGTGTTTGCCAAGCACCCCCAAAATGTTAGCCATTAGTATTGTTAACTACTAATATTATCAAGACCAATGAGTTAACCTAATAAGGTAGCAAACAGTGTGTTCCCGAACACACGGGGTATAGAACAGGTAAGTCCTGGAATACACATGGTCTGGGATATGGTTTGGCTCTGTGTTCCCACCTAAATCTCATGTCGAATTATAATCTCCAGCACTGGAGGAGGGGCCTCGTGGGAGGGGAATGGATCACAGGGCAGATTTCCCCCTTGCTGTTCTCAGGATAGTGAGTGAGTTCTCGTGAGATCTGACAATTTAAATGTGTGTGGAACTTCCCCCTTTGCTCACTCACTCTCTCTCTCCTGCTCTCGCCATATGAGGACTGTGCCTGCTTACACTTCACCTTCTGCCACAATTGTAAGTTTCCTGAGGCCTCCCCAGCCATGCCTCCTGTACAGCTGTTGAAGCTGGGAGTCGATTAAACTTCATTTCTTCATAAATTACCCAGTCTGAAGTAGTTCTTTATAGCAGTGTGAGAATGGACTAATACAGCCTGAGAAGGTCTGAGGGGGGAGACATGGTACCCTGAGATGGCGATGCCTGCCAGGCAACAGGCAGACAGGCCCCTGCTGCCCAGGAAATCTGTGCTGTGGAGGCAGTCCATGAGGATGTGTGGAATGTTCCCAAATGCCCATCTTCCTCATGATTTCCCTGGGTTGATTCTACTGTGAGTCTGCCATTGTGTAAAAGGTGGACTTCAAGGAAGTTGCAATCAGGTCTCAAGGGTGCACCCTCCTCTAGTTCTTTGGGGTGTGGAGCCATATAGCACAACGTGCAGCCTTACTCTCAGTCAGTTCCCAACCACCTGCACTACAGGGGTCGTTCAAAGATAGGGATGCACAAATTTTGGATAATTCAAAATTATCTGAATTAGAGAATTCAGTTCTGTAAGGAACTGAAAAGTTCTTTACAGTTAACTTTTAGGAACTTTTAGACACAGCAGATTGTCTTAGACCAATATTAAAATGAGTCTCTATTCCTTTATCGCAAACCAACTGGCAGTTCAAGGGGCCAGGTCAAAGCCTTCTGAATGGTGAGAGAAGCCATCTGGGAACTGCTTTTGCCGTTGTTGTAGAATGAAACCTCATGAGCACCCAAAGCAGCCATTAGGTCCCAGGAGAGAACAAGAATCCTGGAATGACTGAGTTAAGGCCTTCCTGAGACTCGTGTGTCAAAATCTCCAGCACAACCTTCCCATAGCTCAAGGTGGTAGAGCACCCATTCATTCTTTCACTCCAGATAACTTCAGTATGTTTTAAAGTCAAGAAGCTTGGTGAGTTATAATAGCAAAGACTTCGAACCAACCCAAATGCCCATTAATGATAGACTGGATAAAGAAAATGTGGCACATATACACCATGGAATACTATGCAGCCATAAAAAGGAGTGAGTTCATGTTCTTTGCAGGGACATGGATAAAGCCGGAAACCATCTTTCTCAGCAAACTAACACAGGAACAGAAAACCAAACACTGGATGTTCTCATTCATAAGTGGGAGTTGAACAATGAGAACACATGGACACATGGAGGGGAACATCACACACTGGGTCCTATTTGGGGGCTGGGGGTCAAGGGGAGGGAGAGCATTAGGACAATGCATGTGGGGCTTAAAACCTAGATAATGGGTTGATAGGTGCAGCAACCGCCATGGCACATGTATACCTATGTAAAAAACCACTTTCTGCACATGTATCCCAGAACTTAAAGTAAAATTTAAAAAAAATTAAAAAGAAGCTTGGTGGGAAAGGAGCCCACTTGTTTCATACTGGACATTAAAATGAAGAGTTCAAAACTAATTCAATGCACATTTATTATCTCTTACTATATAATGGATGCCAAGTGTCTTAGACATTGAGGATATGTAGTCTGTACCCTTTAAACTGTTCACAGTGGAGAGGTAGAGAAACAAACAGAGTTAGAGAACATCATGATAACCATTAAAGCAGAAGTAGAGACAGGGTTCTATGGAAAAGCAAAGGAGAGCATGTAACACATGTTAGTTTGGAAGCCTTTCCTGAGTTGATAATGAATGAACTAAATTATGAAGCAAGAGCAGTTTTACAGGTGGCAAGTTGCAGGGGGACAGTATTGGGCACACCTCAGATTGATGAAACAGTCTGTGCAGGGGAAGGGAAGGGTGAGAATGCACACTGTGTCAGGGCCCATAAGTAGCCCAGTGCTGCTGAAGGTCAGGGAGAGGACAGAGGGCAGAGACATCCGGGGCAAACTCAAGCTCAATGTGGATGCCATGAATTCTTCTGCATTTCTTACAAAAAGCACTCAGAAACTTTTCAACGTTTTTTGAGTAAGGAACTATAAAATTATAATTGTGTTATAGAAAATAGATTGATAAGTTTGGAAACCAGCAAACAAGTTAGAAAACTATTTTCCAAGCAAGAAATTGTAATGATAGTACCAGTGGGAATGGTCAGTAGAAGACAAATTAAAACCTATTAGGTGGGTAGAATTGGCAGGGTTGGTAGTAGCAGCAATAATGTGAAGAACAAGAATGAGCAGTGGCTTGCATTGACTTCCAGGTCTCTTGGGCTATGACATTGCTAATTGTGCCAGTAGCCGAAACATGAGCTATAAGAAGAGACTAGAATGAAAATAGAGGGAGAAGATGAGATCAGCTTTTGAAGAGATGAATTTAAAGTATCCCTGTCTAGAAAAAGTTGGATATATAATCTAAAGCTTAGAAAAGACTGAATACTTGAAACCACAGCAATGAACAGACTCTATAAACATATCACGAAGAATGAGAAAAGAGAAGCAAAAATAATACCCTGAAAAATAATCACATATGAAGGGTGGGCTAGTGAGGGAAACTGAATAGGAAAGCCCAGAGAAGGAAAAGAAACTCTAGGAGAAATAAGGGTGCTACATTTTTCATGAGAGCATCCAGTGATCCATGCATTCAAGTTAACATTAATTATACACCTACTATATATCCTAGGAACTAGGGTTAAAATATTTAGCAAAGATACACAGTTTCTCCCTGTACTGAGTTTACAATACAATTGGGGAGATGAGTATTCATCAAATAATTACATAAATATACAGTTTTTATTGCAAATAATGTCTTAAAGAATAACTGAAGTTTTCTTTTTTCTTTCTTTCTTTCCTTCTTTTTCTTTCTTTCTTTCTTTCTTTCTTTCTTTCTTTCTTTCTTTCATCTGTCTTTCTTTCTTTCTTTCTTTCTTTTTTTTTTGAGGCTGAGTCTCACTCTATTGCCCAGGCTAGAGTGCAGTGGTGTGATCTCAGCTCACTGCAACCACTGCCTCTCAGGTTCAAGCAATTCTCATGCCTCAGCCTCCAAGTAGCTGGGACTATCCACATGAGCCACCATGCCCAACTAATTTTTGTATTTTTAGTAGAGACGGGGTTTCACCATGTTGGTCATGGGCCAGGCTGGTCTCAAACTTCTGACTTCAGGTGATCACCCGCTTTGGTCTCCCAAAGTGCTGGGATTATAGGCATGAGCCACCGCACCCAGCCTCAAGGTTTAAAGAGAAAAGAGAAGGAATAGTTGCTAACATTAATACTAGAGAGATGTAAATTCAGATGAGTGCCAGGTTGGGAATTGGGAGACCATTTTTTATTTTAATGGAAGAAATATGAATTAGCAGGCACATAAAGAAGGGAAGCTGCCATGGCTTGAAGGGTGCCAAGAAAATAAGGAAATGCAAATCATGACTGTAGATCACTCTTTTATTCAGTGGATTATGAAGCAATGGAAGGAGATAAGACCAGCAGCAAGGAACGTACAATTGTGTGAAATTATTGTAAAGATGTAAAGATTTGAGCATGCCCCTTTTTTCAAAGAAAATGGCCAAAGAAGTGATTTTGAAAATACAAGAGAGCACATGGACACATTAGTGGAGTTAGGTACCTGTGGGTTAGGGCGTACCTTTGAGCAGAAGGTGGGACACCTCTTTGGCTAAGGTGGGAAGGAAGACGCAGAGTAGACAAGAATGCAGATAGCCTGCTGGTGGTGGTGGGTAAACATTTGAAAAAATTTGTAGCTGATGATTTTTCTCTGTAAATCTGGGGCAAGGCCATTTGTTAAGAATATAAGGAATACATAGGAAGCTTGAACAAGCCATAACTTTCTAGTGATATCAGTCTGTGGTGTTAAATTGTTTCCCTGCAGCTGTGCTCAGAATCCTGATGTAGAAGAGGCTATGATGGCGTGGCTGCTCAGCATGAGGTTCTGCAGGGCACTTGTGGAGAAAGGACAAGGTGGTAGGTAAGTAGTCCTAAGATGGATGGAGAAGTTCACTGATGCTAAGAGAAAACGAACAGACTTGGAGAAAAGGGCATAATTAAAGGGCTGGAGTTGTGGTTGTGGTGGGAGAGCATGGGCCACAGAAAGAGGGAATGGTGGTGTCAGAGAGTGGAATTTACAGTCATAGCATTTTCAAGTATTTTCATGTTCCAGTGTGTGATCAAGAGAGTGGACTACTGAGGCGAAGTGAAGGTGAATGTCTTTGGAATTCAGGAGAAATCGTGAGATTAAAGTGATCTGTGTCATCCCCTCATATGTTAATGTGTCTTGCAAACATGTCAGGATCTCATGATCCAACACTCTAGAGCTGTTGCCGGTATAAAACCAATGTTTCATTTCAGTTTCTTTTGCTGAACTACCTAGAATCTATGCAACCAGTAACATGAAAGGAGTAAGATTTAGTCTGGTTTTGTGTTGCTATAAAGGAATACCTGAGACTGGGGGTAATTTATAAAGAAAAGAGGTTTCTTGGGCTAGGGATTCTACAGGCTGTACTAGGAGCACAGGGCCAGCATTTGCTTCTGGTAGGGCTTAAGGGAGCTTCCACTCATGGCAGAAGGCAAAGCGGATTAGGCATCCCATGGTGAGAGAGGAAGGGAAAGAGAGAAAGGGGAGGAGGTGCCAGGCTCTTTTGAACGATCAGTTCTGGTGAGAACTAAAAGAGTGAGAACTCACTCACTAATGCAAGGAGGATGCAAAGCCATTTATGAGATATCTGCCCCCATGACCCAAATGCCTCCAACCAGGCCCCACCTCCAACATTGCGGATCAAATTTCAACTTGAGGTTTGGAGGGGACAAATATCTGAACCATATCAAATAGCTACTGGCCCCTCCCAACTGGACCCTTGAATCCTCTCTGCTCCGGAGTGGGCATTTTACGACAGGGTTGAGACACCAAGACAAAGGCGGAGGAGAGAAAGCTGGTGATGCCACTACCCATTTCTAATCTATCTGACTGTTGATATATTTCAAACTTCATCTGCCAGAGCTGCCAATAAAACCTCCACTGCCTGTGAAGATGTGATTCGAAGAAGACAGCTCAGTAGCAATTCCATCAGCATTAAGTGGTTCTATAGCACTCTAGAATGTCACAGCACTTTGTGGCTGTGATTATTAATTTTTCCAAATACAATGCTAGAAGGCAGTCCAACAGCCTGAGCACATCTTGTCAGAAGCACGATGAAAAAAAGGCATAGAAATGGACGATGGGAGAAGCTAGACCAGGGCTTAAGCCAAGAGGAAGCAACACAATTCAGGTTACTCTCCATGAGCTTGGGAAATTCCATCTAACAACCCCCAGAAACTCAACTTGCCTGGTCAGAGACAATGAAGGAACCAACCATGTCACCAAACTCAGCTTAAAGAATATCATCATAAAGTATAGACACTTTTGGTGGATAATAGGTACTCAATAACATAACAAATACATTAATGTAACTTCAAGCCCCCCTTGGGGAATATAATAAGTATGTTTAGTTTTTTGAAAAATTTCTTTAGGCTTTACACATATAATATGTTCCCTCTTATGTATTTCTGTTATAATCCAATTAGAAATGTTACTTGAGGAATTTTATAAGAGAGTGAAGCTGTCAATGTTTTGGACAATTCCTATAATTCTATATCAGCCAAACTATCAATCCAGGTGTGGGTAAAATAAATACACTTTCAGCCAAAAAGAAATGAGGAAGGAAGAAAGAAGGAAAGAAGAAGGAAGGAAGGAAGGAAAGAAGGAAGGAAGGAAGGAATTAAGGAAGGAAGGAAAGATGGAAGGAAGGGAGGGAAGAATGAAGAAAGGGAGGAAGGGAGGGAGAGAGGGAGGGAAGGGAGGGAGGGAGGGAAGGAAGGAAGGAAGGAAGGAGGGAGGGAAGGAAGGAAGAAAATTAAACAAAAAATATTTTAGAAAATGCAATTTAACATAGTTTATTGTGACAATGAGTGAAGAGAGTAAGACAAAAAATCATCTTAATCTTAGCTGTATTAGACTGAAAGAATACAGTGTTTACCAAGAACCACATTAGGAGACATTTCCTGAATTAGACTTTTCCAAACTTGTAAAATGGGCACCTAAAGGGAGAGAACAAAAAATTTTAAGAGCAAAGAAAGAACTGTAGTTGATGGCTCTTCTTTAATTTAAACTATGACTATCTTTAGCAATGGACCTCTAGAATTTAAACAGTTGCCAGTCCTGAAATGCCTCCCATTCCCCTTCACATTTCTGCTGCACCTGCCAGCACACTGCCACACCAAGCAGGAGGAGGAACAGCTTTTTGCAACACATCTACTGGGGCTGAAGGACTCCGGCATGCTGAGGGGAGAAGACGTTCATTAGAAATCAGAGAAGCCTTTTCCTTTGAGTAAAGGACCCGTGGTCACTCTTAGAACTCCATCATGTTTATATAGGGAATTCCACATTCATATGCTTATGGCTAAAAGATTATTGGAGAAATATATTCCTCATCAAAAGTAGGAACCTTCAAGGGTACTGAAAACATGTTTCACGACAGTGGGCTACAACAGAAGCCTCTTTATAGAGACTGTTTTAGACCCTCTGAATTCAAACGGGAGCCATTTTATAGAACAGAAAAAAAGGATTATATGGCAGGACTGGGGATAGAGCAGTAGCCTTAGTGCCCCAAGCAGGCAGGCATCTAGAAATGATGTTGAAATGGAGCCAATCGTGTAGGGCATAGAACTCTAGCCAACAATTATTTTCTGGAAATAAAAACAATCGCAGGTTCTCTCTGTCAGATGGAAAATGGCAGATAAAGGAAGGAGACTTCAGGGGAAGAACTGCCAGCTTGGAACATTTTTCCTTTACCCCCTTCAAGTGTGTACAAGAACCAGATCTAGTTTTTTGTTTGTTTGTGTTCTTTTTTTGGGGGGGGGAGGGGACACGGGGTACAGACCTGGAAAAGTTGTCTTAGAAGGTTTGTGTAGAAGAGGAAACATGATTGCTGAAATCACAATTTATCAGAAAAGTCAGTATCAAAGAGTCTGTCAAAATCCTGTATCTGAGAACCTAAATGCACCAGGCATTCGAAAGTGCTAAGTTCTTGGTCCTTTGAGCCTCCTCAACATGAAGGCAGACATTTCCCTGTCATCCTAGAGTAGTGAAATGCCTCTTGGTTGCCCAGAGAGGAAGGGTAGGAAAAGAGAGCAAAGGCTAATGCTATTAAAAGGCTAAGATATTTCAGGCAGTGCAAAATGCTGGGGTAGGTGAGTCCCATCCTTTGTCTGAGAGATTCTACCTAGAAACGCTGGTCTGATTTCACAGCTGTTGTGCAGGAGGGCCTCCCCCCAGAGTCGACAGGGGAGTGGGCCTTTAGGAAAAGTGCAGCCTCAGGCACGGATATTTCCAGAGGGATACCAAAAAAAGGCTACCCATTAAAATCTTTGCTGTAGTAGGAATTTCATTTTTAAAATAAATTATATTAGGCACCAGCAAGGTTAATCTATTAAGACATCAGGATTAATTCCTAATGGAAATTTCTAAAATACATACACACATACATACATATTCTTTATTAAAACAGGAGAGACAAGTTAGACCAGAAATACGTACAGCACAATCTCCAGCAAATTTCTCATAATATTTAACATTAACGTTTCATCCAGGTAAGGTATCATCTTATTATAGGGTTGATGAAGCTTCGGGTAAAGTATTCTAGGGAGTGCAAAATCACATTTTCCTCCCCTTATAAAGTGTATATTTGTTTTATTTTCAAATTTCTGTTGCTTGGCGTTCTTGTAAATTAATCTGTCACCCATCAGCAACCAAAGTCACCTGATCAGGTGCTGCAGTGCTTAGCTGGAGATGGGAAGCCTCTGGAGGTCCCATTTCTGATTAACTCTCTTAGTTCAGATGGTTCCCAGAGTCTCCCGAAGGGTTTTCAATTCTGGCTATTTTCTTCTAGGAATTTCATTAATATTAGCTATTGGGCTTTGCTCCATAAAACCTCCAGTCTAGTTTCTGCCTATTTCTCTGTGCTCCCAGTTAGAGCATGACAGCCACTCGGGCTTTTTTTTCTTTTTTTCCCTTGACCCTCATTCTGCTTCCCAAGTAGGGGAAAAGGTAGGAGGGTTATGGTCAATTTCCCCATGAAGCACAACTAAAGAAACCCAGATTATGTGAATCCCAGGTTCTACTATAGAAATAGTCTTCTTCGGCCAGGTACGGTGGCTCATGCCTGTAATCCCAGCACTTTGGGAGGCCAAGGCGGGTGGATCACAAGGTCGAGAGTTCGAGACCAGCCTGACCAACATGGTGAAACCCCGTCTCTACTAAAAATACAAAAATTAGCTGGGCGTGGTGGTGGGCACCGGTAATCCCAGCTACTCGGGAGGCTGAGGCAGGAGAACCACTTGAAACCGGGAGGAAGAGCTTTCAGTGAGCTGAGAGCATGCCATTGCACTCCAGCCTGGGTGACAGAGTGAGACTCTGTCTCAAAAAAAAAAAAAAAAGGAAAGAAATAATCTTTCTCTTTTATAAAGGAATTAGCAGGCCTTGGAATCAGAGCTGTGTAGAAATGACCACGTGATTAATGATGCTAATGATGAGTACTCTTTTGGGGTCTTCCTGTGAGTTTCACATAGTCAGTGCAAGTCACATTTTATTTTATTTTATTTTAAGACAGAATCTTGCTCTGTCACCCAGGCTGGAGTGCAGTGGTGCAACCTTGGCTCACTGCAGACTCTGCCTCCCAGGTTCAAGTGATTCTCTTGCCTTAGTCTCCCAAGTAACCAGGATTACAGACACGCACCACCATGCTTGGCTAATTTTTGTATTTTTAGTAGAGACAGGGTTTCACCATGTTGGCCAGGCTGGTCTCAAACTCTTGATCTCAAGTGATCCACCCACCTCGGCCTCGTAAAGTGCTGGGATTATAGCGTGAGCCAACACGCCTGGCTTGCGAGTCACATTTTAAATCTTCATAACAAATAAACCTTATAAGCAGCCTTCCACAGCCAGTTTAAAAGTGCTATTATATCACTTAAAATGAATAAGCAAATAAACAAACTAGTAAAACAAAGCAAGAAAACAAGACACAAGCAAGTTAAGTGCAGGGAAGCATTGTTAAAGGTTAGCATAAAGTTTCTTTTTTCCTTTTTCCCTCCTTCCCTTCCCTTCCATTCCCTTCCCTTCCCTTCCCTTCCCTTCCCTTCCCTTCCCTTCCCTTCCCTTCTCCTGCTCCCTCCCTCACTCCCTCCCTTCCTTCTTTCCTTCCTTTCTTCCTTCCTTCTTGTTTCTGCAAACATATATTAGGGAACATTACTCTCAATCTCCTATGGACAAAAGTCACAAAGATGAGTGTGATGCTGGTCCTATCTTCAAAGACATGCAATTAGTCAAGAGACAGCAGAACCTCAATTCACTAAGATAAATGCAAATGTTAGAATCAGGGTATTAAAAAATTCAAAGGGGCATCAAAAAAGGGGGTATTCATTTTTACTATGATCCTCAGGGAATATTCAGAGAGCAGATGACACTTGAATTGGGCTTTGAATGATGACAAGGACTTAGGCTCCCGGGGAAAGGGGGAAGCACATTTTGGGCAGCAGGAAAGGCGATGCAGCCCCAGAAAGAACTATGTGATGAGAGAGAGCAGGGCATGAGTTTCTTCCCTGTTCACACAGCTACAGAACATGCATCCCACAAGAGTACTGCCAATCATTTATGTGAATAGTCAGGATAAGGTGACAAAAGTAGTTTTGGATCAGAAAACAAAGGCATTTGGGTACCACACCAAGGATTTTATCCTTTAAGCACTAGTGCTTCTTCAACCCGGGAAGGCAAAAGATATGCTCTGGAAAGACAGCTTTGGCAGGATGGACTTGATACTGATTCCATTATGATGACTCAGGCCAAAGAAGATGAAGATGAAGTCAAGAGACCCTGAGCAGACAAGACTGGGAGGAGGAGATGGCTATAGCAGATGTCTTTGTAGACTGCATTTGAATTTATGCCTAAATTGTGTTGGGGCAAAGGTGAGAGGAGTCAAAGATAAATGGACAGCTTTAAACTTGGGCAATTGTGTGTCTGGGAACAGCTGGAGAGAGTCAAGTTTGCAGGGGAGTGCACTGGAGATGTGGTACCCAGAGGGGAACCTGAGAAACAGTCATCCTTTCACTACTTTGTCAGGTAGCAGGGGATCTTCATGAGAAACGTTAAATTAAATGTAGGTTTGACAAGCCCATTAAATACAACACTGAGTTCAAAAAAAGGGAAGAATCGGGCAAACAGACCAAATAAGAGGCAGGAAAGCCAAATTAACGCTCTACCTTGATTCAAAGACATGCTAGGTTTTTTAAATCCACCATTGTAATAGGATGTAATGAAGATTTAAGCTTTAAATATAACCTAATACCCACTAATTAGGATAATAAAATACAAGGAGTTGCTGTGCCATCCGTACACTAACATAACTCAACTCCCTCTGCACCTTTTTTTCTCCTCACTCTCCGGCCCTGAAGCCCTCCCAGTGCCTGCATGTGCTGGTTAATAGACAGGAATTAAAGTGTGAAGCACGAAACTGGGGTATAAAACACTTAAATACGAATGTCTCCAGTCCTGCTGTCTGGAGAGATTTAATGATATTTTACAGGGAAGGTCAGGGCATGGCACACATAGGGAATATTTTAGGTTCTGAGTCTTGCTAGGAAGACACTTCCAGTCGAGGTGTTATTTGGGTTTATTTGGTTTTCCTTCTTTCCCCACTTTTGACCTGAGATTGGAAAAAAAAATCCAGCAGCTTTAAAAAAGAAGATAAGCATGTCTGACTATACCATCAAAAACAAAACATTTTGTATATAAACAATTTATAACAAAGCCAAAAGACAAATAAAACATTTTTGGATTGGGGGATTGCAAAGAAGAGGCCACACACAAAAATGAAGAAGAAAAACAAAACTCTTGCAAATTAAAAAGAGGGGATTAATAAGCAAATAAAAATTTGCAAAGGCCTATTCTCAGAACAAATACAAATGGCAAGCTGGTATATGGAATCTTGTTCCTATTCACCAGCAGTGGGAAATACAAACTAAACAGCTCTCCCTTCACACTTTACTAGATAAGCAGGCACTTTTAAGGCTTAAAACCCCTATGGCTGGCAGTAGAAAGGATACTTTCAATGTATACTTTATAAAAAATGAGATTATTATACATGTTTTGTCTGCATTTTTCTTTTCTTCTACAATGATACCAATGGAAATGTCTCCAAGTTTCTGGTATAATTTGCATTCATTCTTTTTAAAGACTATTTAATATTCCATGTTGTATGTATAACCTAATTTATTCTGTCATTCACCTACTATTTCGTTCACTATTTTTGCTACAAAGGCGGCTAAGGCTATAATAACTTTATCACAAATTTGTACTCTTATTTATATGGATTTTGTTTCTATGGGATGGCTTCTAAAGTTTTCCAAAGTTTAGGAGTCCTGAAGGAACTCGAGCATTGTAAGTATTTTTAGTTTTAGCAGGAGTTGCCATTGCAGTGATGAAGTATAGTGAAGAAGGGCAAGGATTGATGAACCCAACTGTTTGGAGTTCATCTGGGCTTTGCCACTCACCTTGGGCAGGCTATATAAACTCTCTGTGCTTCAGTTTTCTTATGTGTAACATTGGGATATAATAATACCTTCCTTGTAGGATATTTTACACTGATTAAATGAGTTAATCTATGTAACTAATGCACTTATATTAATGTGTTTGTAATTATATGTTCATAATGTGTATGTAATATAGTAATGCCTCATTCATAGTAAATGTACCATAACCTTTGCTATGATTATTCCTTAGAGAAAAAACACTGTAGACTATGACAATAATTTATTTTATAACCTTTATTGTGTACTATACACACTTCTAGAAGTATGTGGGATGATTTTACGTGATATGTGGTGGGATTATTTTAAAGTTATTCATTTATTACAATTTAGTGTAGACTAAGAGGTTCTGTGTTCTTTTTCCCATTTACAGCTGTCAAAAAAGTTCCTTTAAAAATCAATGTATTTAAGTAAACACATAAATAGCTTTAAATTAGAAAGTAATAAAACATAATGATATAGATTACATAAAAATACAGTTAAAAGTGTGCAGTTTGGGAGTGACTGGTATTCTGTATTATTATCATGCATTGCTTTAATTCTCCAAACATTTATTGTGAAAAATTCCTCCAGGTAAATTCTCTTAACTGGTAACTGAACCATGTGAGTTCTATCCAGTGGTGGGCTGGTAGACCAGCTCTACAGTTAAAACAAAACAAAACAAAAAACAAGAAGAATGCTCCGATTTACAGTGTTTGCTGATTTCTATGGGGTAAACACTACTGCCAGGACCAATCTTAGGTTACCAACAATTTAATTGTCTTGCAAAATTCCTAAATATTTAGCAATCAGCTCTTTGCACCCTACCTCGGTCCACTCCAGAACACCACTGTCCTACTTAACTGTTAAAGTAAAGAGTTTTGATAACTGAAGTGGACAAAACCAGGTATGAAAGAAGCATTTAGAATTCGTCTCAGTAAGTTGTATTTCTATCTCAATGACCTATAATTTCAAAACTGTGCAAGAAAAGGTTATTCCTGAATAGGAGTCCAAGTGTTGAGAAATGAGTGAGAGTTCTTAAATTAAAGGGCAATACTCTGAGAAAGGCAGCCCTGTGGGATGATTCTCATTTTACTGTGATTTGAAACAAAGTCATAGTTTCATAGAACATGCCTCCCTAATAATAGGAATCACGCTGCATTACGATCGGTTGTTTCTGTACCTGTATCACAAGTTGGGTTGTGTGGCTGCTTCATCCATAGATGCCTAGGCCTCTCTCTGCTCCTGTGGCCCCTGGAGCTTATGCTATTAAAGTTCTTACACACTGAGCTACAATACTGTGTCCACATGGCTGAGAGCACCTCTCAACTGAGATTAGAACTCAGGTGTCTAATTCTCAGTGCCCTCTCTTCCTTTTGTTGCAACGTATCTTGTCTCCTCAGTGCCCAAAGAAGGCTGTATAGGTCCCATTCTGGCATTGATAACAATCTTGTTATGACTTATGCCAACCATTCATTCATCATCCAATAAACATTTATTGAGCATCTAGTCTATGCCAGATGCCCTATTCCTTCCTTTTTCTCGCCTTCCTTGTCTTTCTATCTTTTTTTTTTTTTTAACTTTCCTCCAGGAGATCAACGTAGCTGAACACCTTGGAGCCAACTTCCAGAAAATACAAAGTCAAGACCATTAAATCTATCGATGACTGGAAAACCTTATTGGACTTCAGATTTATTCTAAGATTGTATCTGGGGGTGAGTTAAGAAGCGGTGGTAGTCAGCTGCTGAGAATTTCAGGTGGCTCAGCATGGGCCCATAGCCCTTCTCTTCTCTTGCTGGCATGACAAACCACAAATAGTGACATGTCCTGGACCTTCTCCCTGGGGTCCCCTTGCCTTAGCTTATGCAGGCAAGTCACTGGCACCAAGGGCAAAGATGAGGATAGCTTGACATTGCCTGCATGCCCTAGCCCATGAACGACATCCAGTTTTGGAAGGCCACACACAAAGCAGTCAGTATAGAGTGGCAAAGATCTTTTTATTTCTGTGAATAGGGGATGTCAGGAGCTAATGAACATATTATCTTGGTAGGAAAGACTGGCTCTACAAGCTGAGTTTTATGGACAAGCATAATCTTCAACTCTTTGAGAATGGGTGGCAGGGCATAGGTGAAGGAAGAAGGGAAGGCTTGCCGATGAGCACGTGACCTACAGGCACAGTCTCTCTTCATCACCTTAGGGCGTGGCAAGGAATCCATTGTGACTTTGAACAAGAAGGTCCACCAGAGGTTATGATGATTGAGCTTCTACAGGAGGTTTTCCTGAGCATGGAAATGTGGGTTCCTTTCTTTCATTGCCCCACTTAGAGGTCACAGTTGCCAGTTGCCTTCCTGAGCGTTTGCCGAGCTGGGTCACTGGGGACTGCTGACAAAGACTTCTGCAAAGGCCTCCTGGGGCACAGGTCACTCTGTCACCGTGGCCCCCTCCCACTCACACCCATGGTTCTGGAGATCTAAGTACCCCCAGCTACCCCCAGCACTGCCAGGAGCCCTCACAGCCCAGGGGGCCCCACTCCACCCAGCCTGCCCCTGCCTGCCCAGAGATCTCCCCAGAGGCTTCTTAGAATGTTTCCTGGGCATCCGCTCTGCTTTTCAAGAAAAAAACTGCAGTGGAACAGCAGGGCCTGGCAGGCTTTGGATTTGAAATATGGATAATCCATTTGAAACCTCAAGGCCCGGGCAGAAGGAAACTAAAAATTAAATTAAATCAGAAGCACAAAATCTGTCTTCCTGGCTCTGAGACAGCCTCACCTCAGACTTTGAAAGTTAGAGTGGATAAAATCATAGTCAGAAATTGTTCAACCTTTCCTACCTCCCCCTTCATTTTATTGGTAGGAGAATTGAGGTGCAGTGACAGGAAATGACTTGTTCACGGTTCCAGAGACAGGAAAAGGAAGAGTGTTGTTTTGTTTTTATAAATAAACATTTTCATAAGTTAGGATGAGTTCTAACTACTCTTCAAGTGTTAATACATTTAATTCTCAATTCAAATTTATGGGCTTATATTATTAACCTCATCATTCACCTTCTCTAGTTTCTAGAAGTAAAGACTAAAGCAAAGAAAGGTTTAGTATTTGCTGAAGGCCACAGTTTGTAACTGGCTGAGTTAAGATTTGTACCCCAGCAGTGAGGTTACAAAGTGAATGCTTTTCACCCCTACTAGGCCACCCAGAACAGTATATTTCTTCTTGTAAAACTCTGACATTCAAAGTCAGTCCTGTCCTTGAAATCTGAGATGTAGAAACACAATGTGATGAAAATCCCAAGTATTTCCATCTAAGCACAAAAGCCTCTATCTATTTGGTAAGAACAAATTAATTCCCTGAATCTTTGATGCAAAAGTGAGAGAAGAATAGTAAAAACGAAATTATACTTTTTAAAAAATTAGAATTACAGTAAAAAATAGAATGTTAATTATGAAACAAATCTTATCTTGCTGAGAGAAAACCAAGGGCAAATGAGGGATACAATGAGATAAAGAGGACATCAATCAATGCTCTATGCCCTGGGAACATTTTTTGTATTTACTCATTCAATAGATATTTACTAAGCACCTTCTATGTCTAGGCACTACTCTCAGATTTGGGAATACGGTAGTGAACATAACAGACAACGTCCCTGTCTTCATAGAGTTTCCATTTAAATGAAAAGAAAGACAGACAATAGGCAAATAGAGAAATCAATCTGAATAAACAATATATGGGCATCGGTAACAAACCAAGAAAGGGAGATGGGGAGTTCTGGGATTAGGGATACGATTTTATGTAATAGGTGGATCAGCAATGACCCCCAAAATATAGTAGTGAGTCCTGTGGCTCTCGGGGGACAGAGTTTCAGGAAGAGGACAGAGCAATTGCAAAGGTCCCCAGACATGCTGGGCAAATTTGAAGAAGGTGGGAGCCGTGCATTGGGGCCAGTGAGTGGAGGGAAGGAGGTGAGAAGCCGGGGGAGGGGATCCAGTAGGGCTCTGGAGGCCATGCTCAAGGTTCTGGCTATTACTCAAAATGAGGCAGAAATGTAAGAGATGACATGGTGTACATTTGGAAACTGGCCACTGTGTTGAGACCTGACTAAAGAGGGTCTGAGGCTGGGACCAGGGGGCTATTGCAGAAATCCAGGCAGGGTGGCTTGGATTAGAGTGCCAACAGTATAGGTACTGATAAGGACGTACAGTCCTCAAAGGTGTTGAAGGTGGAGCTCTGGGATTTGCATCTGGACTGAATGTGGGGTATGGGAGTGGGAGTGGAGATCTAAGATCTAACTTTTTTTCAAGAAAAAATCTGCAGTGGAACAGCAGGACCTGGCAGGCTTTGGATTTGAAATCTGGATAATCCATTTGAAACCTCAAGGCCCAGGCAGAAGGAAACTAAAAATTAAATTAAACTAAAAATTAAATTAAATCAGAAGCACATCAGGAGTCGAGAATGACAGAAATTTCAGCCTGAGCTGATGGCTAGAGCCAGATTTCAGTTGCCATGACCACATCTGGAATCCACGTACTCTGCTTCCCCCAGCTCACTTGCTTTAAGAGTAAAAAGACTTACTTTCTTCCTTGATGCCTTAGTACATAGATTTTTTTTTTTCTGAAATAGACTAAGAAGAAAAGAAGAGAAACAAAAAAGGTGGAGGACAGAGGCAGAAGACTTCCTGGAACACTAATTTTTTGTTCTGGCATCTCCGAAGTGCAGCTCCAGGTGACCTGGCTACCAGCTCCATTTGGTTTATAAGGTCAGTTCTTTTGTCCATCTGACTTCCTTGGCTTAACAAAACAAGTGCTCAGAAACTATCTTCTTACTTGTTTTTGGATATCACATCAAGTGCTCAAGCTATATCACTTGATATAGTTTCAGATTAGAACCATTGCTAACTGCACAGAAAGCTTTTGGGTGTGGGACCCAGGCCTGAGACTACGTCACATCCAAATATGGCCACCTCTTGGATCTTCGAATAAGGAAACTTCCTCTTCATTCCTTAAGTGTCCACTTTCTGAGCTATGATCTGATTGACGGGTCTTGTAGCTCTCTCTTCCTTTAGAGACTGGAATGTCTGTCCCCCCCATCTTTCCAGTCTTGGGTTCTAATTCGAAACACTTTCAGTGGCTCCATGTTAAACACAATCATGATCTCTTCACCTCTGCTCAGCTGGCATCAGACGAAAGAGTGGTGAGGCTGGCACATGGTCTGCGTCCGGCTCTCTTCACTGCTGCTCAGCTGGCATCAGACGAAAGAGTGGTGAGGCTGGCACATGGTCTGCATCCGTCTCTACCTTTGGAAGCGCTTTCACCCTAGTCCTGTCTCTCAGATGACTCTGGGATGGGTGGGCTCTCACCATTTTTGTTCGCTGTCATATCCTCGGTGTATAAAGGAACAGCGCATAGTACATGCACAGTAACACTTGGTTGAAGGAAGAGAGGGTGGAGAAAGAGAGACGGGGAGGAGAGGGGGAGAGAGAAGAAATACATTATTCTGCTCTCCTCTACTTCAATTGCCTTCTTCTGTGAGCGGCACCCTCAGAGTGTGCTTCTGGCTGAGCGGTGGCTCTAGTGGAATGCAGCGGGCAGGAGCAATGGCTGTGCAGGCTAACCCAGTCATTAGGTTAACTCACTGCTCTCAGCCTCTGCCTGCCTTTGAGGGTTCGGATGTTCTTGATCTCATCCGGGCACCATTGTTCCTGTCCTGCCCTGCCGTGGGTGGCTCCAGCTACCTGACATTAAGCAAAGGGACTTTACTACTCTTGGCCTGAATTTTCTTTCTTTTTTTGAAAAAATAATTACTTTTAGTTGACAAATAAAAATTATATACGCTTTTGATGTACGGCATGATGTTTTGATATAGTATACATTGTGGCACAGCTAAATCAGGCTCATGAACCTATATGCATTATCTCACATATTTGACGTTTTTGTGTGTGGTGAAAACAATGCCTCCATTTTCCATAAAATCTAGTTAGTAATAGGATTCTCCCTTTAAAAATCTGTTCTCCAGGATAAATGGGCGAATGCATTCAGAATGCTTAGAAACATTCCTGGGTGTAGGATGCACCCAGTAAATATTAGCTGTCATTATCATGTAATGTGCGGAGCATGAGGTGTTTGTAGTACAGAGAAAAAGAGGAATGAGGAAAATGGAGAGACTGGGGCCTAACACCATCTAACAGGCATTCCTTTAACTCTCGCCATGGGATGGGAAATCAGATGTTAGATCCATTCTGCAGAGGAAAGTACTGAGACTGGGTGAGTTGTCATTACACCTAAAATCACACAGCAGTGAGCCGGCAGATGGATTCACACCTGCATCAATGGCCAGACACCCTTCCACTGTACCTACTGCCTTCTTTGCCAACGCTATGAATATCTTGAGCCCTCTCGTGTGGCTTCCTATCCAGGTCTTTCTGGCAAGCTCTTTGATGTACTTCCAGGATACCCTGACTGTGGAGTGGGAATGACATATGCAGAGTATTAGAGGGTCATTTTGGCCAAGGGCAGCTGACGGTGGAGTCCCCAGGAAGAGCGTGCAGGCTTGCAGGTGGATTGGCCCCTAGGAGATTCCAGCAGCAGAAAGTGGCGTGAGGACACTCACTCTACTACCAGTGGGGTGCCAGTGGGGCATCCCGAGATCAGCGATGTTCAGGAGAAATACCTAAAGAGAGCTGGGGAAGACACCCTAGACTTCTGGGAATAAAAGATGAGATGCCCCACTTAACCTTATCCCAAACCAATAATGCAAGCAGAAGAGTGGTCATGCAAAAGAAAATGCACAGAATCTGAAAACAAGTGGGTATGGTTGGACTGTGGCTCGGACATTTACCACTTATGTGACCCCGCACAAATAACCTAATTTCTTTGAACCCTCATTTTTTTCTCTTTAAAATGTAGATGATCAAAGACAATATCATCTATTGGACGAACTGTTTGCGGGGACTAAATTAAACAATTTATGTAAAGAAACAGACACTCAAATACAGTCATACATCATATAATGATGGCTCAGTGAACGACAGACTGAATATCAACAGTGGTCCCATAAGATTATATACTGTATTTTTACCTTTCCTATGTTTAGATACACAAATGCTTACCATTGTGTTACAGTTGCCTACAGTGTTCAATACAGTCACTGCTGTACAGGGGTATAACCTAGGAGCACTGTACAGTGTGTAACCTAGCAGCAGTAGGCTCTGCCCTACAGCCTAGGTGTGTAGTAGGCTGTACCTTCTAGGTGTGTTTAAGTGTACTCTATGGTGTTTGCACAGTGATGAAATTGTCCAACAGTGCATTTCTTGGAATGTATCCCCATTGTTAAGCAGTGTGTAACTGTAGTTACTATGCACTGGGTCCTCACTTGTTTCTCATGAGAGGCGTGTGTTTTGAATGAAACACCCGCCACTAATGGACAACTGGCCAGGGGTGTGACACAAGGACAGAATGTGGGTGTTTAGATTCTGCTGAACTGCGACAGACAGAGCCGCTCAAAAAGAGAAAACAGGAGCTAGAAAAAAATAACGGCATACTTCTTTTCATTCCCCACTCCAAAAATCTGCCATGTATTTTTCAGCCTTGCTACTTTCCAAGCTAAACGTGGAGTTATTTTGTAAAAGTTCTCCAGGCTCAGTTTGGGACCCAGGGACAATTCCCATTACACAGGCTGCTGTCTAAGCTCCTGATGTCACGTTTAAAATGGAACAGTGAAGGAATATTATTTTATCTTTTGTTCTTATCTTTCTATTTTATTCTCCCTTCCTGGACTCTGAAAAACGATTAAAAAATCCCACAGAAAATAAATATATTGATATTGAAAAACAGAAAGAAAAGTCAACCATTTGAGTTGCTGAGAGTGGCAGGTGCGTGAAATGTAAAGTCAGAGAAACAAGAAGAATAAGAATAAAGGCAAGGACCAAGGCAAGTTAATACCTGAAGGAAAGGAATTCCCAGGGGAAGCACTGATGCTGCGGAAAAATGACTCCTTCCAAGTGACGGAGACAACATATTGCAAATTATTACATGCAGGACAGGACGCTGTGGTTTCAGGAACAAGAGCATGTTCTCATCTCCTGGGCCTGATGAAGCTGACAAATACAATCAAAGCCTTTCTCAGTGAATTCTCAAGAGGGAAGTGTTCAGAAGGTGTTGCTGTCTTACAAGTGAGGCTAACTTGAGAACCCCCAACCATTTCCTTGCACCCAGCACAGACATGTGAACTCCTGGTATGGAGGGCCCTTCTCTAGGTCCTTGTCTGTTCTGCCCAACAGTCCTATGCGGTGAATGCACACTTACCCTCGAGGGAACCAGGAGTGAACTAACATGCTGGTGTCAACGAGAAATCAGAGCACATATGGCAATTTTATAAGAGCACTTAGAAGCAAGTGCAAACCTCAGATTCCTCAACTTTCAATCAACTCTATAATAATACCTCCTTTACCTAATTCACAGGGCTTTCAACAGAGAAAAATACACACAGCGGTTTTTAATAAAAAAAAAAAGTACGTGGTTATACATCTGTCATCAATATGTCATAATTAATCATAAATAGGGCATAGATCATTAAATAAACTAAGTACTTTCGGAGGGAGGGTTCTAATATTTGCTGCACGGAATAGTTAATTATGTGTTAGAGTTCTTCTACCACCTTTACAGGTTTAGTGGTTTTGTCTGCACTAGACATAGGAGTGAGGTAAAGCTTGGAGATTTTAAACTGCCAGGGTCCTACCGAGAGGCCTCGGGTCCTTGATGACTCGCTGCGCCGTGGGAATGGAGTGGGACAGTGAAATGGTGTGACACAGGGTAACTTTCTGGAGGAGAGGGACATAGTCCAGTTCTGTGACCAGCTGCCAGAGAGGAGTGGAGAGGAGAGAGAGGGACAGTTCCCAAGCGTCACATCTCCCTGCCGCTTCATCCTCCTGAAACCACTCATACTTGGACTAACTTGGAGGTTCATAGTGAGGAAGAAGTGGGGTGGGATGGTGAATCAACTAGCAATGTCTGACTCAGGGTAACGGGTGTGGGGACACAGCCACATAGCAAAGAGTCTGCCATCATACCAGGTTCTGCTCTGCAGGGTCTGATATATTGGCGTTGGCTATCCATTGATCAGCTCTGGGTGAAATGTGTCTTGAAAGTCTGATGGGCATTTCTATCTCTGCTACTGCAACTTCCTGTTTTCTGTCCTTCTAGAGAATGCAACATCAGGAGAGAGGAATGGATATTTGCTATCAATTTCTAGGGAAAGAAACTTACCATTAATTGTTTCTGACAAGCGCTTAAGAACACAACGTCCCTGAAAGCAAGACAAAGTGGGATTTGATTATTTTTGAAACAAGACGGAAGCCAGTGTTGGGGCTGTGTCCCCATCACAGTGGGGTTGGCTCAGCATCCCTCCTCCCGTCTGGGAGTGAAGATGTGTCTGAAGGAGTCAGGCTGAGTACCACAGACGCTGCCGGCGCTCCTCCCAGGTGTCAGATGATGACTGAGTAACAGACTCTGAGGAAACAGGCACTGGGATAAATTGCTGCTGCAGTCCCACAAAAACAGAAGGGGAAATGTGCCGGAAGCAATCAGGGCTTTTGAGAAACAGTGAGACTTCATGGCACATCTCTCAGCCAATCGTCTCAGATGGCTTTGCAGGCATCGGGTAATTAGTCCCAACAACTTCACTGTGAATAAAGTATTAATAGACCTCCGTTTACAAAAGGAGAAGGGGATGGAGAAATGAGGCACACAGGCCAAGAATCAAAATAGCAATTTGATAGCAACACTAGGAAAAAAAAAGTCAAGAAAATAGACATTAAATCTCAAGTCAGGGTAACCAATCCCAAGTCTTTAAAAACAAACAAACCTGTTTTGTTAAAGAAATACACAAGGCAATATAAGTCTTTATGCAAGAACCAGGACTTAGGGAACGAACTGAGGTGGCTTCCAATGCTTCCCTCCTTCAACCCCACCCTAGCACACTTTGGCTCCATCCAGAAGGAACTTTCAATTATTTGATTACCCCATTCTCCTGCTCATTTTCACTCCTTCAAACTTGCTGTCCCTGTAGCTGGGAGCCCTCACCAACCTCCAAGACCCCCAATCTTTCATGACTCCCACGTATCCTTTTGAGCTCCCCTTAGACATTCCCTCAAGGATCTCCCCCTGGTCTCTAAGTCTAGATTACATTTGCTTCCAGAATACACACTGTTCTTGCCCATCACAATCTTCATCATACCATGTTGTTGTCACTGCCATTTGGTATTTCCCACTAAAGTGTGTGGTCAGGAACTCATGTCTATCTTGCTCAGTAGTTACTCATCGGGACTTAGAACACTATCTGGCATGTATTAGGATCTCAATAAATATGTATTGAATGACTAGTTGGAGACAATTCTTGTCTTAAGGAAGCTTTCAATCTAGTGGGTAAGATAAATACATGAACACACAGTCCAAGGGAATGAGGATGGGTTGAGTATAAAGTATGAGTTAAAGTAGCAAGCTTTAACATTCCAAGCCAGAACAATGTGGTTAATACCATGGCATATGCTATTGCTTTCGATTAGAATCCCATCCTGATAGATTTTTCTGTGCTGGAGAGCTTCCCCAGCACAGAATAATGGATGTGATGAGATGTCCTCAGGGCAGGTGAGATGTCTACATGGAAGCTACCTTTTAAATTTAATCTCAGAGACTTGCCTGTCAATCTTTGGACAGATAAAGATCTTCAAGATACATCTCCTATGTTGTCTATCTTAAAGCAGAAGTATGATTCGGCACCTTGGGCAGATAAATAGTTGTTTGTTTCCCTAGAGAGGCTGTTTAGTATAACAGGAAGGACTTTGTAGGCGGTGGAATGCAATGTGTTGGAAAGAGTGTACATTTTGGAATTAAAATGACCTTGGCTCCAATCCCAGCTCTGCAATTTACTCGCAGTTTGATTTGGACCAAGTTACAGTGTCTCTGAGCGTCACACTTAGTATTGCTACAGAGTTGTACAGATTAACATTATATTACAGACTTGAGCCTCGGTAATTTTTATCGATGGTGTAAAATGGAAATGATTCAATTTCCCACCTCTGCCACATTCTAGCCATGTGCTCCTGAGCAAGTTTTCTGATCACTCCGAGCCTCAGTTTTCTCACTTGTAAGATGTAGACAATCAAATCCTCCTTGCATATCTACTGTGAAGATTAAGTGAGGTATGTATATAAAGTTCTTAATTTGGTACCTGCATCATAACAGGCACTCACTGAATATATTTTCTTGTCTTTTTGGTATTAAATATAATGGAATTTTATCAAATAATTGTTTTGCTGTGAGCCATGGTAGAATATGACTGCCTTCTGCCTTTTAAATTTTAACTCCCTGACATGGTTTTTCTGTGTCCCTACCCAAATCTCATCTGGAATTGTAGCTCTCACAATTCCCATGTGTCGTGGGAGGGACCCAGTGGGAGGTAATTGAATCATGTGGATGGGTCTTTCCCGTGCTGTTCTCGAGATAGTGAATAAGTCTCATGAGATCTGATGATTTTATAAAGGGCAGTTCTCCTGCACACGCTCTCTTGCCTGCCACCATGTAAGATGTGACTTTGCTCCTCCTTACCTTCTGCATGGTTGGGAGGCCTCCCCAGCCATGTGGAACTGTGAGTCAATTAAACTTCTTTTCTTTATAAATTATCCAGTCTCGGGTATGTCTTTATCAGCAGCATGAGAACAGACTAATATACTCCTTCTCTAGTTCATCCAGTAGGTGCAGTTCCTTCTGTGTGATCTCAGCCTCCCCATCCACTGATGTAACAATGGCCCTGACTATGTTTTTCCCTTTCTCTCTTTCCTAGCCCCAGTCAAGAATTTCTGGCAACCCCTCAAGGCCAGAGTGGACAGCCCTGGATATTCAGACCACATTTCAGGGAACTTCTTACATCCCACTGACTTTTCTGTCTTGACATTAATTTAGAAATCCAGTCACCAAACAGTTGGATAAAACATGTGTCATCTCATGCAACTGATAGAACAGTATCACCATTCAAGAGCTCTGATAAATAACTGAAAGGGACATTTCCATAAACATTCTTATTCTGTTCCTAACTGCAAGAGGATATTAGGTTGTTAGCATAAAATTTGCCTATTCAGCTTTCTGAGTCTACTTTATGAGGAGAAAACTGATTTTCTTTTTAGATACAAATATATTAAAGTTCACAATTAATTTAGATAACACCATGTGAGCTGATAATAAAATGTCTAGCAATTAAATAATGAATGCTAGGAAGCCATAGTCATCAGAGATAATCAGAATACACCTTTATTTTAATGATGTAAAATCAGTGTGTTTTCATATGATTTAATTATAGATTGACAGGAAAAAGTGCAAAACCATAGATTAACAATTTAAGGTAATGCATACACTAGAAACTGTTTCCAAAACTGTGATTAGTACTGAGCAAGTTAAATTCATCATCTTATAAAAGAGAATTTATAGATTTCAAATATAATAGCTTAGCATGAATAGAGATAGAAGACCTTTGAGTACGATATGAGTAGATAATTTTTCCTATAACATAGAATGAAGTGAAACTGCTAAGTAATGCACACATTTCTCTGAAGGCAGGTTTTGCCCATCATACTGTTTAGGCTTATAGTAGAAAACACTGGTCCCGAGGACTTACATCCATTGTAAAATGCAGACCCAACTATATCATGTTTTTGCACAATTCTAGGGGTACCTCTTTGATGTGTGCTCCAGGACAGCTGGTGGCCCTGGATCTAACAATATTCCACCTGTTCATAGAGACAATAAGATCTACAGGTTCAGATGGGGAGTCTGAGATGCAACAAAGACTCTTCAAGTTCTTCAATTAGGAAAGCCTCTTTATGTCTAAGAGTGATGCTACACTTCTCTGGGAAGAAGGGCATCTCTGAGCTCTAAATGCTTTATGTATCTGGCATTTTAAATAATACCACCAAATATGGGAGCCACTGAATTGATGAAATCACAAACTGGAAATTCCCCGAGAGTGAAACAAACAAACAAACAAACTTGGGTTCTGACATTCTGCAGAAAGCAGGTGTATATGACTGAACAGGGAGAAGGGACTTTCCTCAAAGAACCTCAGAGCCACAAGGTGCTTCTTTTCAGAGGAACATAGAACAGTTACTCTGGGGATTTCACGGACACCTTCTCACTCACTGATCTGGTCACATTCTGTACCCTAGTAGGCAGCCCAGATTTTCACATTGACATAGACTGAACTTTATTACTCATTTATTGACACAGACTGAACTTTATTACTCATGTTTTTTCTTTTTCTGGTTGAAAAAATGATGAACACTGTGAATTTCACTTAAAGCCACCTGCTACCCATTTCAGGCAATGGTAAAAACTAACATCAACAGGCTAGACAAAGTAGCCATGGGAGCTGAATTTCATTCCAGAAATGGACAATATCGTTAACATGCACTAAGAGCAGCAAACCATCTCTCTAACTAGGGAAGCATTATCGATAAGATTACCTTTCTGTAAGAGCAAGAAGAATATCCCATCATTTACTGCAGAAGAGAGTATTGTGCAAAGGTTTGGGCTAACCTCAGCACCCCTGTAGTTAAAGATCTTCATGATAATGAAAGAAATGAATAAAAAGAAAATGCTTCCAAGAGGTGTGATTTTATACATTTTATTCTCGTAGCTAGATAACTATGAGATATAACTTCAAAATACAAGAAGGCTTAAATAAAAGATGATACTTGGGAGCTCCTGCATGCCGACATTGGAATCTAATTCTCACATTTTAGTCTCCTGTCCTATTCATGTGGAGGTGCTAAGAATGACAGCAAAGACACCAAGAACTGATTACTTGCTACTCTGTTAATTTTTATGTTTAATTTCAAGTTTTGTGTTGTGTTTGTGTTGGATTGATTGATTGATTAATAGAAAACAGAGAGCAAACCTATTCTCTGGGCCCCATTCAGCACACTGTGGAGTTCTTGATACACTGCAAAATTCCCAGTGTTTTCTTCATGTGTCCTCACTCTATAAGCTTTAGCTAGATGGGAAATTATTCTGCTAGGGAGCTTTAAAATATCACACAGTTGGGACAAAGAAAAAAAAAACCATCTCTTTGTTCATCTGGAAAATGAGAAGGCTAGACAAATGATCCCTCTGGTCTCCTCCAAGTCTTAAATTCTCTATTTCTCTGATGCTTGGAGACATATAAGGGATTGTTTTAGGAAAGAAATACTAAGTACCAATGACATTTTTTGGCTTCCATTTAAAATAGATATCAAATACCTGTTTATGCTTTCAGATGTGTGCATTCCCATAGCAATTTCTTGTTCAATTCAACATGGAGGTACACTGGCTGACAGAGTGGAAACACTGTAAACAGGTGGTTTTCGTGGTTTATATTTTAACACTGAAAGGACTCAAAGAACCTCAGACAGCCAGGAATAGGAGAAAATATTTCCCTCCAATTAAATTGTTCCTATATATCCTAACATGCTTGCGACACGTGTGACTCATTCCAAGTCCAGAATCGTAGGTATGAGACAGTGAAAAGGACACTCTGCTTCCACCTGATATAGTCTCTGCTGTGCTACCAAGTTTACAGAAGAAGTATACAAGGCCCAGAGAGATTCACAGGGACGTTAGCCTGAGGAAGCTGTTGATTAAAATCAAGGCTACTGTGTCCTCGTTAAGGTCTGTGTATAGGATTCTGAATTGCTCCTTGAAGTAAATGCACCAATTCGACATTTATGCTGAGGCTGATGAGGAAGGTTACGCTGATCTAACACAGTAAGACATCAGACTTTGTGGCCAGGAATGCCTGGATTCATCATTTACTTGATGTGTGACTTCTAATGAGTTGTATACCCTTTGTGCGTCTAAATTCCCTACTCTATAAAATAAGAGGGTGATAATGCCTACCTCAAAACATTTTTATAGAGATTAAAAAGGGTAACATACATAAAGTATCTCAATATCCCAGAACCTGGCCCAGAGTAAACATCCACAAAATAATCATCCTCTCTTGCCATTTTCAAAGTGTTAAGGGATAAAGCACACACACAAAGCACTCTTCTTCAGTTCTCACCAGCTGGATCTTTGCCTGACATTGATAGATGTTGTCTGAATCTAAACTGAAAACATGAAGGTAGATGGGCCTTAAACACATTAAGGATCAACAATTTCAGTAGAATTAAATGGTAGGAAGAGAGGATATCATCATAGCCATCAATAATAATGATACTAATTAGCTTCCATTTAACAAGCACTTACTGTGTGTGTGGCACTATGATAAACACATGCATTGTTTCACTGAACACATACAACACTAAGAAATAGCTAGAGTTGTTCCTCCCATTTTACTGAGGAAGGAGCTAAAGCTTAGAAACTGATTGGTAGAACCAATATTCTCACCCCTATGCAATATCACCAGTCTATGACAGTGCTTCAAAAACTACTACAAATATAAAATTGCCACCAGAAGTATGCCAGCATAAAATTGCACAGATAGGCAGCATTGAATCCAAAATGACTTTCTCATTCATTTGTTTGTGCACTGATTTATTGTACAAAATTCGATGAGCACTTAGTATGCACTCGGCAGGATGCTCAATCCAAGGGTTATAAAGATAATCACATATAGTCCCTGCATCTGTGATGCTCAGAGTCTAACACACAGATGCAAACTAATTAAAATGATGCAACATAGTTGGGGTGGACACCCACTCACTGCCCTTTCTGTCCACACCACTGCAGGTATGCCTCTTGGTGCAAGCTCTCTGAGCACAGGGACAATTCCTGAAGGAAAGGAGTGCTTCAGATGCAGTAACCACCTGCACACAACAGTATCCAATGCAGAGATTAGCCCCTTACAAGAGGCTCATGTTTCTTAGCCCTTATACTGCTTGCTGTGATAGTTAGGGTTAGTAATAAATTGAAAGTTGAAGTGGTCTTTATTTAAGCAGTTGTAGGATATTTGGACTAAAAAAAAAAAAAAAAAGAAAACTGAAAGATAAATGCAATTTTCTTGTAGAACAAGAAAAAAATCTAACAGCCCAGAATATCATGCAAATTGCAGTTATTTATTATCAGACAGTGCTGTACAGCATTATTGACTAAATAAAATGCACTGCAATAAGACCCACAAAGCACTATATTATGAGGCATATATCAGGATGCAGATTTTTTCATATACAGAACACCACCTCGAAACAGTATTCCCTGTCAGGGAGTTATATTTCTATCTCTGAGCAGGCCTGAACCCTGTGTCCCTTCTGGCCACGTGAAAGCCATGCTCCTTCCCCTCTGGGCCGGCCCGGGGACGCTCGGGGCAGGGTATGAGGCAAGAGAAAGGGACCCAAGAAAGGGGCAGGAGGAGGTGGATTGAGGGTGGTGGACAAGGCAGGCCTGCACATGCACCATTGTGTGCTGAGAATACATCTTTCTTATTTTACCAAACTCACAAATACATATCAATTTGTTCCCTTCCTCAGCTTCAATGCATTTCTTGTTAAGGAACATCTCTTTGAGAAGAAAGCCTCTGACAGAATATCCAAGCACAAAGGAATGATCCAGACCCGGAGAAGCCAAGTTTCTACGAAGTGAGGAGTCAGCAGGGGGCAGAAGAAATGTTATTGCTTTCACTCCTTGTTGGAAAATTACGGGCCTTCTTTTAAATCAAAATTTCTCTTTGCTCTCAATAAGATGACAGTCTAGAACACTTGACCTGCTGCTGAGAGAGTGACTTCTTGCTGGGTTTAGATTACTCAAGAGCTCTGCATTTAATCTCGGAAGGCTGCCAGGGGTTTCAAGGAGAGCTGGCAGAGCACCAGATAGCAGCCACCCACTGAAAGTGGATGTCCCTCCCTAGGACGCACGACTATCCTATTTCATTTATTCTAGCTGGGGTCAAAGGACACATTCAAACCAGCACCTTCTCTTAGGCACCTGAGTGAACCAGAGGGATGGGGAGGGGTTATGAGGGAAGAAAATGTCCTAGGAGCAAGGTGGGAAGTGTACCAGGCCTCTGGACTGCAAAAGCGACCCCTGTGAGCCAGCAGGGTGCACACCCAAGAGCCAGTGAGGTGCTGGGGGCCGGGAATCAGCTCCCATGGCACCCACCAAACCACACTTCCAAGTCCTGCGGCATCCTGAGGAGCTGAGGAACTGACCCCACAGCCCTCAACAAGTTCCCACCATCTCATTAAGCCTCTCCATGAAAGGTCAAGATTGTAATAGTCTGGGCCCATTATGTTCTTTCTCTCGCAGAACCAAAGTTCAGGAGACAGAAGCTTTTTTTTTCTTTTGGCAAAAACTATGTTTTAAAATTAATCAGTAAAAATTCTTCCTGGATTTTCAGTAGTCCCTCAAGGGATCTGCTAAGCCAGAAGCTGAAGAGAGATGGCCTCTTCCTTCCGCAGGAAGAAGGAGCCCTCTTGGAGCCCTCTTTCCTAAAATGGGGGCCACTTCCTATCCAGAGGGCCCTCAGTCTTGGCAATGGTTGACTGCTTTAAGAGGGAATTGTCGCATTGCAAGCCAATGTCCGTCATTATCAATGGAATCTTTCAATCAGGAAAAATCTCACGAGTGTGAGGAATTGGAAGACCATGGGTGACATCTGCAGTGTGCATAAGTTTAATTATTACTACTTTGAAATTCGTGTGTTAGACCTTTCAAAAGCACACAATAACATCATGATATAATTTTTACTATTATACATGTAATATACAAATATATAAACATATTTGCACACATACATATATTTATCTATCTAGTTCTATCTATATCTATATCTGTATTCAGCACTAAGGCGAGTACACACCTGTTTGTTCAAATGCTGTCATCCCCACAGCCAAAGTCTTAACTGGTGCTAGTTCCCAGAATCATTTATTCACATGTTCATTACTGAGCACTTGTCATGGGTTGAATTGTGTCCTCTCATCCTCCCAGAAAAGCTGTGTTGAAGTCCTATTACCTGGTCCCTCATACCATGAACTGATTTGGCTATAGAGTCTTGGCAGATGTGATTAGTTCCTGTGCGGTCATACTGGAATAGGGTGGGCCATTAATCCAATATGGCTCGTAAGAAAAGGAGAAAAGACACAGAGACAGAGACGTGTGAGGGAAGAAGGTCCTGGGACAACAGAGGCAGGGACTGAAGTGCTGAGCCCACAAGCCAATGAACACCAGGATTTTCAGTGAAACACCAGACATGGGAAGAGTCAAAGAGGGGTTCTCCCCTGTAGGTTTCTGAGGCAGCATGGCCCTGCCAGTGCCCTGGTTTTGAACCTACAGCCTCTGGCCCTGTGAAACAATCACCTCGAAGTTCCCTGGTTGTGGTACTTTGTTATGGGAGCCCTGGGAAACCGGCACAGCCCCTCGGTGCTGGGCTTGGGGAGGGTGCGTGACTAAAGTGACTGCCCCAACTTCCAGGAGCACAGGGTCCAGTTGACCCTACGGCCAGGCGGCCTCTATGTTACCATCCCATCTTCAGTCACGAGCTTTTACAAAGAATTAATTAGTCAAGTTTAACTGAGTTCTCCCTTGGAATTTCTCCTTCAAATGCTGTAGAAGACAAAGAGACAGAGAGATAAACGCAAAGTACAGTTCAGCTGGAAAGCTCGAGACCTGCCGTTTCTCAGGAATCCCGGGTGTCGTTTATATTAATTTGCCTTTGGGACTTTTAGATTTTGTCTTTTAAGTGGATGTCTCTTATCCTTAGGGTTAGAGTGACAGCTATGATTTTAGATGAACATTTTTGGGTCTGGCCACAATTAACAATTAAATTGATTTACTGACAAGCACCCTTCAGTTTCCTGGTGAGTTTGCTTGGCAGAATCCCAGCAAAGGGGGTGGGAGGCTGGGTAAATATTGGGTAAATTGGATCAATTGTCCACAGCCTACCTGGGTTGAGCCAACTGGAAGATCCTTTTTTTCTCAAAAAAATATGTATTTCCTGCATAACCTAGATATCTTGTAACAGAAATTCTCAGACTTTCGGGGTTTATAGATCAGTAAAATTTAAAAGAAAAGAAAGGGCAGAAGTTAGGTGCCAATTTTTTTTTATTTTGCCAAGTAACAGTGTCTACTTCTTCTCATCATTAATTCTTAAAAACTAAGGGTGCATTTTAATTCCATAGAGAGAGAGGATATAATTTCAGAAAGGACAGTTGTTGACATGATGGCTCCCTCTGGCTTTGTTCTCCCAATTGTTTTCATTCCTCACAGGCGTGGGACTTCATCATGGGCCAGCATCATCATGGGTCAGCATTTTGAAACCACTGACCTAGAGAATGTTAACACTGTCCATCTTGCTTTGCCTCTACAAATACAGACATGAGCTCTAGCCCCCACCAGAGAATGACAAGTTGAGATTAATATGCCACAGTTGAAAATATTAACCTCTCTCTGCTGGACACTAAGAGCACAGAAGCTGCAGATCTATTTATTCACCACTGTGTCCCTAGCACCCAGAAAGGCGCCTGGCACATGGATATTCAATAGACATTTGTTCAGGAGTGGACAGAGGGCATTATATGAGTAATTGTTGGAGCTGCTACCATCTCCTTCCTTGACTCAAACCTGTGTCATTACACCACTCAAACTCTTATCTTTTTTATCCTCACATATTTTATGCTGTCTCCTCCTGCTCCTCATCAATGACTGAATGTATTCATTCAATGTTGAAGTTGTCCACATCCCCACTAAGGGTAATGACAAAGAAAACAAAAAAAGAGAGATGGTTAGAAAATGAATCGTGGCCAGAGACCCAAAAATAAATTAATCCCTAGATTCAGTATAAAAAATGACTTCCCAGAAATCAGCAACAATTTGGGGATATACAAACCATGGAAAATATGTCTTTCTTTTGCAGGAAATATTTTTTATTAGTGGCAAAGAGGGAAAATGAGGGAAAGATAGAATCGCTGGGTTTCTTTGTTTCTTTCTTCTTTATAAAGAAAAATTTAGACCTAAGCATATTTACAGGTAGAAGTAAGGAATCGTGGAAGAGATTGAAGATTTACAAGTGGGAAAGAACAGAGAACCTGAAAGAGCTGGACGAGCCAAGAGCAAGGGAGAAAAGGAAGAGGGGCCAAGTGGGGAGGTTCTTCAGACTTCACTCTCAGGAGTAGGCAGTGGGGTCAACTCTCAGCAGGAAGGATAGAGGGTGAGGTTTGCAACAGCCATGCACACAATGCAGGAGGGAGCAAAACCTACCCAGATATGGCGATATGATTTGGAGCATACTTGTTAATAAAATGTCGGTGCTCCATATACATCCAAAAGCGTAATATTGAAAAACAGATTCTGACCTTGGCAGCTCTGACATGCTGTACAAATAAAATGAAAAATGTGAAATTATTTTGAAATCTAATGATCAAATCTAGAGACCTTTTCTTATATTCCATTTTTCTCGATCTCTCTGGAGTATCTGAAACTGTTGGTCATCTTCTTCTTGAAATGCACTTCTCCCATGATGCCAATTCTATTAGACCACCCGAGTTTGTTTTTATAACTTCTATGACAGTTCTTTTTCTTTATCCAACCCTTCCCCAACGACTTTGCCCCAATTATTTTACTCTTACTTAAGATCTTTGAAAGACTTCATCCATTTCAATGGCCTCACTTATTTCTTCTGTGCAGAAGACTTACAAATGTTTCTGAAATTTCAGACATAGTTCCAATAGTTTATAGATGGATAAATACAGATATAGATGTCCTGTCGGTATTTCAAATGTATCGACTCTTTTACGTTAGCCACAAACATATTCTACTTCCTTGCATCCTTAATTTTGTTTACTGCAACATGCTCAGAATCCTCCCCTCCCTCTCCAGGCTCAGCTACTCAGGAGACGAAGACTTACTCATCCCAGACTCCTTTCTGTCCTTGAGTCACTCCTTACTTCCAAATATGTGTCACGTCCAGCCATCTACTTTTAGCCCACGACTAGTCCCCTAACTCAGACAGCACAGATGCAGTCAATTTGCCTCCCTGTTCTGAAGTTCTTGTTTTCTTAACAATTTGGTTTTCGGGGAAGAAAGAAAATGTGCCAATTGGTTAACATGAGTCATTGAGAGTCAAACATTTTATAGAAAATAAAACTCATTCCTTCAGGTGTAAAAAAAAAACACCCACAAAACAAACATTTTAGGCATCTATGCATTCATTAATTTATACATTAGTTTAGGCATTTGGGTTTCTTCCAGACGAAGTTAAAATCTCATGCAGAAAAAGTGCTGCAACACCACTGTTGCTGTTGGGCCATCTGAGCCTGGACAATGGCCTCTTCCACTTCCAGATCATTCACCTTTAAGTCACCTTTAAGTTACGCGAGGCCAGGTGAGCAGGAAAGACAACTGAATGATTCCTTATCATATGTATTCCTTTCAGATCCAGTACATGTATCCAGTGTATATATACATATACATATATGTGTGTGTATATATGTATGTGTGTGTATATATATGTGTATTACAGACCTTGACAATAACAGGTGCTTAAATATATATATATGTATAATATACATATAATGTATGTAACATAAGTACTTTGCTCATCTCGTCAGAAACCCCATAAGATAGGCATTATTGTCCCCGTTTTGTAGGGGAGGAAAATGAGACTAGGAGACACGGAGTAACTAGTTGCCCAAGGTCACTCTGCTAGGACATGGCAGAGGCAGGATTGAAGCATATATCCTTGCTCCAGGTTAATGGCTATTTCTGGAATGCCTCAGCAGCCCTTTTAAATTCTGTGGTCTGTAAGTGAGATTCTATCAGCACTGGAATTCTGAAAGTGAGCCGGGGACACCTTGGTCTGGATATCCGTTGTCCCACTGTAGCGTATGTTCAGCCTCCACCATGACGGGCTCTTTTAAGCCTGCTTGAATATCAGGCTTGGATCTCTTGGCATGGGAAGCACCCAAATGCCACAACTACAGAGAGTGACACCATGAGTACTGATTTCTGTCTTCAGCTCCCTATGAAAACCAGCCCAAAGACAGCTGGAAATGAAGAAAATGTGCAATGATGAGGGTTTTGGGGTTTTCTTTTTCTTTTTTAGGGGGGGTTATTGTTTGGTTTTGCTTTCCCTCAAAAAGCTTAAGGTTCTTTATAAATCTCTTTCTTTACAGATACATGAGAATGAAAAGTAATATCAATGAAAGGATAATTCTATAAATACGTGGGGCCAGTGGCATTTGATGCACCTTTCTCACTGTCAGCTTGGACTCATTCTTCTCTCATTACGTTCTTATGAGGGAATCTCTGCTTACTTATTTGTGTGTCTATGGTTGGGGGAGTGGGAAGTGAGAGGGCATATATAAGAGGAGGAGATTGAGATGAGAGGCTATACTACTAGATGTGTGAGTTTCATACTGCAGATAGTAGAAAGCCCAATTTTAGCTAAAGATTCAAGCTATATTCTCTAATTTAATACAAGTAGCAACAAACCTCATCTTTTTATTTGTTTGATTAAAAAAAAAATCTGTCAGCCACCTACTCAATTGATTCCAGATTCAGTGTTGAGGAATAAAATGGTATGGTTAATGGTCCTACCTCAACTCTCATAGAAATTCCATGAAGTCTATAAAGTCTATATTATCTCCATTTTACAGATGAGAAAACTGAGACTTCCAGACTTTAAGTAACTTGACCACTTTCATGCGCCTAATCAAGAGGAGAAGAGGAATTACATCCCGAGCATGTTCAACTCCAAAGCCTGTGCAATCACCCGCTGGATTAACAAATGCTAGCGCTTAAACCTGGGTGATTTCACAGAATCAGGGTCTTGTTCTCCAGACCTTGCCACTAGTAGTCCACGGCTAATAGGAAGAACTGACAATAGAACCTCGCTGTTTCCAAACCTGGGCTTTCAGTCATTTGACAGTAAATAAGTAAGCAGCAATCTCCCCTCCTTGAATGCATTCACACAGATAATTTTACATGTCACCAATCTCCCCATCTCACAAATCGTCATCATGTTGTGGTTAAATGATCCCCGGTGCTCTGATCCTCTCAGAATAGGTCATTTCTTTTTCAGGTCTTTATTCATGCTACAAAATGCCTGATGCTGCTCTCTGAAAGCACAGAGGTATGGCCAGGGTTCAGTGCTATGAGCCTCCCAAGCAACCATGGGCAGCTTAGCACAAATGGACCTACAATCCAACATTAATTTCCTGTCTTCCAGTCTGAACACTCCTGATAAGCAGCCGTCTGGCTAAAGACCGTAGGCAGAATCAGTCTCTGGTCTTAGCAAACTCACTACTTTGTTCCCCTCTGCCAGAGTTCCCTGCAGCTGCAGTTGCCCAGAGCTAAGGACACCTCTCAGAGCAGTTTTCAGACACGGCCCCTTCCTCTCACCACCTCCACCCCATGCCCGGCTGCTGCTGGTGTCTCTACCAGCCTGGCCATCCACCTCTTCAGAGAATCTCAATGCATTATTGAAATATGTCTTCCCACAGCAGGCAGAGAAATGAAAATTTCTCTTATTTCAATTATTTCCCTTTCTTAAGCAGAGAAATAAAAAAAACTCTACCCATAAAGAATAAAAAAGGAATCCAAATTATTTTTAAATTTATTTTTCTCTCAAGATTTAGTAGATAGTGGTGTAAATACTGGTGCAGGAGTTAATTGGTTATTTGTGAGGAAATAATGATAGAGGCAATACATGTGCCTCTCTTCTTCAGCCACTCCCCCAGCCCTCAATCCAGATAAAAATAAGAGCAGGACTAACAGGATGAGAAGTAGATTTGGACAGGGAAGAAGTATTTATTGAACCTAAACAGTTGCATTGTGTATGAGCATTGGGAGTGCAGAGTGAAGATGGATATGGCCTCTGTTCTCAATGAGTTTATAATCATCAGGCAAAATAGTTGTACCCTCCTAGATTTGCATATAAAACCACTCTCTCTGTTTCATTGTATCTTTCCATTTACTTAAGCCTTGCAAATAAATTCTGTCTCTTTACCAGCCTGTCCTTTTCTCTCCTTAGAAAGAGTATGTTCAGAATTTTGCATGATCTTAGAAGTATTTGTGGCAGTGTGAGAATACAAACACCATTAGATGTTGCAGTAGGAAAAAATGTTGAGCAGGAACCACTCAGAATTATTCTTCACCTCTGGCAGGGGAGAAAGTGGTTTGAATGAACTAACAGATCTTCTGTCACCTCAGCTAAAATTTCAACTGCCAGATTGCTTTCAAGGAACACTTCATTAGGGACACCTACTCTGCCCTCCCCATTTTAAATTTCAAGACAAGATCAAATCCCCTAACATTTGCGCATATCTCCAGAGCAACACCTAACATTGGCTCTGTTGACTGTCAATTGCTTGAGGTACTATGTGTGAATAATTGCATGTCCTGTGTCTTTTAGCAGGATATTCATATGCATTTCAGGAAGGGGAGGAGACAAAATAGTAACAGTGCATATGGAATATGACATTGTTGGTAGAAGCTGGTACCCTGGTTGCATAAAAACAATGAGGCCTCTTAGATCTTTCTTGATCCATTATATCGGCAAGGGATATGATGTTAAGAGTGGCATTTCAAGAAAGTGAGGACTTCTTGTGGCTTGGGATCAACCGGTAACCAGAATGGCAAATGGTGAGAAAGAAAGTTTTTATCAAGAGCAATGAGAGAGTAGTGGCTAAGTACTGCCCCTTGGTACCTTTCCTCATTGTCCTAACGTTCTTGGGCAATGTTCTCGTCCCTTAGGGAAGATTATCCCAACCTGGTAGCTCAAGAGTTTCAACAGAGGCACTGGAGAAATTGTCTGAATAAGAGAACTGCCACTGTGGGCTGATCTGTCCTGCAGACTGTCCCTCACTGGGCATCACCCCTCGCTCTAGAGACACTTTGGAAGCTTGGAAAGGGGGAAGCCCTGCTTAAAGAGACAAACCATGGGTCCATCTGATATGGTGATATGGTTTGGATATTTGTCGCCTCCAAACCTCATGTTGAAATATGATCCCCAATGTTGGAGGTGGGGCCTGGTGGGAGGGGTTTTGATCATGAGGATAGATCCCTCATGAATGGCTTGGTGCTGTTCTTAAGGTAATGTGGAGTTCTTGCTCTGAGCTGATGTGAGATCTGGTTGTTTAAAAGAGTGTGGCATTCCCCCACATCTGTTGCTCCTGCTCTTGCCATGTGACATGCTGGGTCCCTGTCACCTTCTGCCATGACTGGTAAATTCCTGAGACCTTCACCAGAAGCAGATGCAGAACCATGAACCAAGTAAACTTCTTTTCTTTATAAATTACCCAGCCTCATGTATTCCTTTACAGAGATGCAAAAATGGACTAACACAAAAACATTGGTACCAAGGAGTGGGGTGTTGGCATAGAGATGCCTGAAAATATGAATGTAGCTTTGGAACTGGGTAACAAGCAGAAGTTGGAAGAGTGTAGAGGGCTCAGAAGAAGACAGGAAGATGAGGAGAAGTTTGGAACTTCTTAGAGACTGGTTGAATGGTTGTGACCAAAATGCCGGTAGAAATATGGACAGTAAAATCCAGACTGTCAATGGTCTCGGGTGGAAATAATGAACTTATCGGAAACTGCTGTAAAGGTCACCCTTGTTACACCTTAGCAAAGAGCTTGACTGTACTGTATCCGCACCCTAGGGATCTGTGAAAGGTTGAACTTAAGAGTGACAACTCACAGTATCTGGCAGAAGAAATTTCTAAGTAGCAAAGCATTCAAGAAGTGGTGTGGCTGCTTTTAATGGCCTAGAATCAGGTTTGGGAACAACAACAACAACAAAAAAAAACTTAAACTAGTAACTTATATTTAAAAGGGAAGCAGAGAGTAAAAGTAAGTTTGCAGCCTGGCCCTGTTGTAGAGAAGGAATCTAGACAGGTTGTGTAGCAACCACTTGCTAGAGAGATTAACATGACTAAAAGGGAGCCAAGGCATTTCGAAAGTCTTTGGAACGGCCCTTCCCATCACAGACCCAGAGGCTTAGGAGAAAATAATGGTTTCAGGAGCCAGGTCCAAGACCCCACTGTCCTGAGCAATCTCCAGACACTGCTCCCCACATCCTGGCTGCTCCAGCTCCAGCTGTGGCTCTAAGGGCCCTAGGTACAGCTCTGACCACTACTCCAGAGAGTGCAGGCCATAAGCCTTGGCAGCTTGCACATGGCGCTAAGTCAGCAGGCTCACAGAATGCAAGCATGAAGGAAGCCTGGCAGCTTCCTCCAAGATTTCAGAGGATGTATGGGAAAGCCTGGGTGCCCAGGCAGAAGCTTGCCACAGGGGTGGAGCACTCACAGAGAACCACCACTAGGGCAGTGCAGAGGGAGGGGAAATGGGGGGATGAAGCCCCCATGCAGTTTCCACCAGGGAACTGCCTAGTGGAGTTGTGGGAAGAGGGCCACCACCCTCCAGCCCCCAGAATGATGGAGCCATGAGCAGCTTGCCTCTTGAGTCTGGAAAAGCCATAGGCACTCAACTCCAACCTGTGAGAGCAGCCACAGGGTCTACACCCTGCAAAGCCACAGGAGCAGAGTTTCCCAAAGGCCTTGAAGCCCACCCATTGTACCAGTGTGGCTTGGATATGGGACATGGAGTCAAAGGAGATTATATTGGATCTTTAAGGTGTAATGGCTGCTGAGTTTGAGACTTGTGTGTGGCCTACTGCCCCTTCCTGTTGGACAATTTCTCCATTTTGGAACAGGAACATTTACCCAATGCCTATATCATCATTGTGACTTGGAAGTAAATAACTTCGTTTGATTTTATAGGCTCATAGGCAGAAGAAGATAAGTCTCAGATGAGACTTAGGACTTTGGACTTGATGTTGGAACGAGTTAAGGCTTTGAGGGACTGTTGGGAAGAGGTGACTGTATTTTGCAATGTGAGAAGAACATGATATTTTGGGGGGTAGGGAAGGGGCAGAATAATGCAGTTTAGATGTTTATCCTTTCCAAATCTCATGTTGAAATGTGACCTCTAATGTTGCAGATGGGGCCTGGTGGGATGCATTTCAGTCACGGGGGCAGATCCTGCATGAATGGTTTGGTGTCTTCCCCACCGTAATGAATGATAATGAGTTGTCTACCATTACCAACCACGATATTTGGCTATTTAAAAGAGTGTGGCACCTCCCCCACCCCTTGTTCCTACTCTTGCCATGTGACACGCCTGCCCCCACCCCACCCCACACTGCTTAGCTCTCTGCTGTGATTAGAAGCTTCCTGAGGCCCTTACCAGAAGCTGAGCAGATATTGGCACCATGCTTCCTGTAAAGCCTGCAGAACTAGGGACCAATGAAACCTCTTTCCTTTATAAATTACCCAGCCAAAGGTATTTGTTTACACTGACACAAAAATGGACTAATACATGTGGTCATCCTCACAGTTAACATTCTAACTGTTCTTGGGGCCAGATGGGTTTGCCCTTTAGCACAGATCAAAGAGGAATGCCAACCCCAAACCACAAGGTAACTCCACCAGATAAATTTTAAAATAGAAGTTGGGGGAATAGGCCCCGGTATATGAGGTTCATTTTGCTGGAGGTAATGTTTTGGGATAGTTCTATGGGCTTCATGCCTTAGAAAACCCACTTTCTAGTCTGTGCTCAGCTCCACATACCTGTGAGCCTTAAGAACACCCACCAGTTTCCAGCGTTTCTTTTACTCCTTTCTAAATTGAGGAGCTGGCCTGACACTCTCCTGGATCGCTTCCCCCCCCAGTACCTAAAAGTCAAGCCCTAAAACACCTTCTCACTTTGTCACTTTCCGCCAGCAGTAATCAGCCAAGCTCTTTTACCAAAATGGAGAATCACTGGAAATATTAACAGAAGAGGTCAATATATTGAGCCGTGTGGCCTTTTCCTGTTCTGAGAATATTTCATGTCTTTATGTTCTTACATTGAGAAAAACCTGGTCTGTGCCAATCTACATCAAATGGAAAGGGGAGGTAAGAGGGAGGATAAACCCAAACCCAACCTGTACCGTGGCTCTTTCAAATGGCAGGCTCATTACGACCCAGTGCCTGACAGCCTCAGGATGGCCTGTCTCGTCAGAGGCCCCTCTGGCTGTTGCAAGCTCTTACACACAACTCTGTGTCACGAGAATCACAGCAGGTCTTGGCAGCGGACACTGAAAATGTCAGAAAGCAAAAGCGGGTGTTTGGGAGAAGTCATTGTGAGCTGGGAGGAGCACTTGCAATGTTTGCAGCACATACAAAACAATCAACAACAAAAAAACGACCTGCCTTCTTCGTGAGACAGCACAGGTGAAAAGGAGGAAGACAGAGATGGGAAGGGAAGGGCGGCAACAAATGGGAAGGGAGTCGGACTTTTACTCAAGAGAAACTGGGATACTGGGAATTTGGCCTCATTCATTTACCTGGCGTTTTACTTATTACCATCTTGTGGTACTAGGCACAGAAAATAGAAGTGTGAATGAGCAACAGTAGCACACTGCAGAGTAAAGACCACTGGCCTTAGAACAGAACATACATGTAAGTCTCGGTTTTTAGCATTCACCAGTTGTGATTTTGGGTAATGAAAACACTCAGAGCCTCAGGTTCATCATATGCAAAATAGGGATAATAATAGGTCTTATGAAATAATTTAAAAATTTAAATGAGCTGTTATAAGTAAAATGCCAGCCACATAGCAGGAATACCCCAAATGGAAAAAGGTAGACATGGTTCTTGCTCTAGGAGAACTTGGAGTCTGGGGGCAGTGGGGGTGGGGTGAGGGGTCTTATTTGTATGCTGCAATTACTTACAACTCTATATGTTACGAGATACATAAACAAATCAAATCAGAACACAAGAAGTGGGGTAACTAATTCTCCCTAGAGTAATGAGAGACCTCATGAGGAAGGGAAATAAGGAGAATTCTAGATGAGAACCCAAGACACGGAAGAGTATATGTGAAATTAGAGGGGTGAGTCAAGCAAGGTGTGTTTGTCCCATTTAGAAGACGTCAGTGGCTGAGCACAGGGTATGTGGGGAGGAGGGACATGCAGTGAGCTAGATGAAGCTCAAGGCACGAAGGGTCACACGTGGCAATTTAAGTTATCTGACTTCCCCTACCACAGGTAATGACCAACCACTGAAGTCTTTTTCAGCCCTGTAGTGACCTTAGAAATATAACTCAGCTGGTATTTGGAGGATAAATTTGAATGGGAGCCGGACTGGAGGACAATCTTAGGAGACCCGTACGTGGGGAATCTTTGTTGTGCCGGTCTGTTTTAGTTGCTGTGATCCATTATAATGCTTCATTTGAAATAGTGTCAGACCTAACGAAGGGCAGTGGCAGTGAGAATAGAGAGGAAGGGTAATAACAAAGGCTCAGACTTCAGCTGTTAAAAGGAGCCAGCTAGGGAAGGAGTGCTACGTCTCCAATTAACTGTGACCCATTTCTGACAATGCTGCTCATTAACATAGCTTTGTTTACCTACATATTTTAGAACTATTCATAAACTTTAAGAAACTTCTTTTCAGCTGAGTAATGATTTAACTCCTTAAAGAAGGTGTATGAGATTTTGCCATTTTGTAGAATCTCTCCTAACTAATGGAAGCATATTGGTATGCTGAGTTCCCACCCTCTGTAAGGCCCTGCACATTCTGTAAGGCTGCAGTACAAAGATGTGAACAGTAAAACGTATGGTCCTGCCTGGTAGGAGTTGACTGATTCATTGGAAAGACATAAACATACACCAAGTGCATGGAGCAGTTCAAAAGATAACTGACAACTCAAAACAATAGTACAAGTCCCAAAAAAATATGGAGAAAGAGAAATGATGGAGAGGCAGGCTTCCTTGAAAGGGGGAGACAAGTCAGGGTGTTCAAGGGCAGGTAGACTTGGATAGAACCAGCCTCCTTCTGCCCCACCCAGCCCCTGGCTTCTAAATCCATGTCTCCAGACACACTGTGGAAAAGTATTCACCTTGCTGGGCGCGGTGGCTCACGCCTGCAATTCCAGCACTTTGGGAGGCCGAGGTGGGCGGATCTCGAGGTCAGGAGATCGCAACCATCCTGGCTAACACAGTGAAAACCCGTCTCTACTAAAAATACAAAATAAATAAATAAATAAAAATAAATAAGCCGGGCGTGGTGGCGGGCGCCTATAGTCCCAGCTACTCGGGAGGTTGAGGCAGGAGAATGGCGTGAACCCGGGAGGCGGAGCTTGCAGTGAGCCGAGATCGCGCCACTGCACTCCAGCCTGGCGACAGAGCGAGACTGTGTCTCACAAAAAAAAAAAAAAAAAAAAAAAAGGACTCACCTAAGAAGATGCCATATTCACGACAACCTCAGTGTTCATTTGATTTCTCACTGATTCATTTGTGAATATTGGATATTTTGTTAACTAACTGACCGAGTCTTGCGGGCAGTGGCCTCGGCGGCCTTGTTGCTCATTTATTCGTGGTGTGATTTACTTGCTGGTCAGTAAGACTGGAGCCTGACCATCTACCTGCACTAACCTCAAGAATGTGGAGCAGACAGATGCATTTCCAGATAAAACGAACCTAAGCACTCTAAAATCCATGAATAAAAGGAACAACATTGGTTTTAAAAGGGCTACAGAAAACCATGCTGGATAAATAATAATTGCATACATGAACCGGTCAATCATTATTTGTCGAGCACCTACCCTATCTGAGGCACTGTGCAGAGGAAGTTTGGATGATTTAGAAAAAGTGAAATATATCACTGAGAGAATTAAAGGGCAAGGGCAAGATCTTGGTCATCTTTTATCTTCTGCGCACTGCCTGGGAGGAGATGGGTGAGGCTGTGGACAGAAGGAGAAGTTGAGATACAAAGAGAAACACTAGTGAGAGCAATTCCTGGCCCTTTGTTTCCGACTGCAGACCAGAGCTTTTCTGCAGAAATGTAATATCAACCATATGGCTCATTTTTTTGCCATACATATAATTTTAAGTGTTCTAGAGGTCACATTTTAAAAAGCAAAAAAGATAAAGTAAAATTATTTTGAAATTTTAATTTAACCAAATGTATTCAAAATATTTTTTTTAATTCTTTTTCTTTCTTTCTTTCTTTTTTTTTTTTTTTTTTTAGAGATAAGGTTTCACTATGTTGCCCAGGCTAGTCTCAAACTCCTGGCCTCATGGGCTCCTCTCACCTTGGCCTCCCGACGTGCTGGGATTATAGCCATGAGCCGAAACAAGTGGGCAAAATATTGCTTCGACATGCACAGGAACCAGATTTTAGCTGTTTGATAGCCCCCTGAGGCTCATGCCCACCAGACCGGAAACAGTAACTACAGATATTGACTCTGATTTCTTTCATGGGAATGTTCAGAAAAAAAAAAAAAAAAGACCAACAAATAAACAGATAAGCAGACAAAAATTGGTGTGAACCAGTGTATAGAGGAGGCATGGAGAATGGGCTGCAGCGCCTGGGGCAGGGGCTCCCAGCAGACAGGCAGAACCAGGGGAGGCTTCTGGAGAGACCCCTGAGGCAGGCAGGACTTTCCAGGTCAGCAGGGGCCCGTGCAGGAAAGGAGGCAGAGAGCAGTGTGAGACTCAAGCAGGGCTGGCCATTCAAAGAGCTGTCCAGGTACCATGAAGGAAAACTGGAGAAGGAGGAAACTGTCAGAGCCCAAGGAGCCTCTGCAGCCAGGCTCCTGAAATTTGGATTGCATCTTTGGGCTGTGGGGAGTGTTCCTGGTGGACTGGTTTCTGGCTCCCGCACCACGGCAGTCTTCTTGAAGACAGGCTCACAGCTGGCCATCTTTCTGTCCTGGCTGATGCTAACTACATGCTCTACTCCAGTTTAGCTCTTGATGTGACTCCACTTCCAAGAAGGATGAGAGCTGAGAACTTGGATGGATTCTAAGCATCTTATTGTGTGTCCATGATAGCACTGCAGCTTCCTGCGGTGAATGAAGGTGCTAAAGATGTGAGCCACCATGAGGAATTCTCTCTGACCTCTGTCCTTCCACAGGCTAAGGCTGGCATGGAGAGAAGTGCTTTTAAAAGGCACTGGTCAGGCATCAAGCCTACCTCCTGTTCTCTCTGTGGATCTCCCTAGACTTCTGCTTCCTGGAGACTTAGCAGGTTATGCTGGCCTGGAGGTATTCCTGCTGGGATCTCTTCCACCATGAGACAACCCATGGTCAAGTTGCCTACCTCAGCATCTAAGCAATGGGCAAATTCCTTAAGCTACCAGGCCCACTGTTTCTCAGCACTTGTGCTCCCAAAGTGGCATTTCCTCTGAAGTAGAGTGCTTTAGAAAAAAAGTGGAGGCAGGCTCAACCACGAACCTGGGGAAATAGGAAATATGGACTGTTGCGGTGTAAGGCCACAGCTCACATAAGAGGAGCTCACATCTTTGCATCTGTGGTTCTCAAACTGGGCTTTGTATTAAAATCATCTGGGAACTTTAAAAACATATGGACACCCAGGGTCTACCTTGGATCAATTAAATCAGAATCCCTTGGGGGTGCCGAGGGAAAAGCCCCTGAACACCACTGGTTTTGTTTGTTTGTTTTTGTTTTTTCAAATCTCCCAGGTGATTCTAATGAATAGCTAGAATTGCGAGAGACCTCTGCTTTCTATGTTGGGGTTAGTTCACAGGAGGCCAACTAGACTGGGGTGTCGGCCAAAGGCTCATGGTAATTAAGAGCATGCATTTGCCTGACCTCGTCCCTTAGTGCAACTCTCGTGGGCATCTTGAGGGGATGATAAGAAGCAAGACAAGAATAGCCAGCACAGTGCTGGGCCCAACCCATCAGGGACGCACATGTGGAACTCTTAGAACACAGTCACAGACATGCAGGGAGAAACTGAGGGCCCTGGGACATGGGTGAGAAAGTCACAGCCATGATTTTGATGAAGAATAATGCAGACCAGAATTATCCGAGGATTAGATGATGTGTTGCTTGTTTTTGTTGAAATGAGAGTATTGCAAATAATGGATTAGGTTGATACCATTTGTTTGTTAATTTGTTTTGGATAGTAAACCCTGATTTAGGAAATGTTCACATAAGAAATAAGGCAAATACTTATGATTCCTGACTTCTCCTTCATGTTTTGATAGCAATTTGATTTGATTTTAAAATTGACATATTAGTGGCCGGGCGCGGTGGCTCACGCCTGTAATCCCAGCACTTTGGGAGGCCGAGGCGGGCGGATCACGAGGTCAGGAGATCGAGACCATCCCGGCTAAAACGGTGAAACCCCGTGTCTACTAAAAATACAAAAAATTAGCCGGGCGTAGTGGCGGGCGCCTGTAGTCCCAGCTACTCGGGAGGCTGAGGCAGGAGAATGGCGTGAACCCGGGAGGCGGAGCTTGCAGTGAGCCGAGATCCCGCCACTGCACTCCAGCCTGGGCGACAGAGCGAGACTCCATCTCAAAAAAAAAAAAAAAAAAAAAAAATTGACATATTAGTTTCACGCTATTCCCATCAGTACGGTCTTAGAGACTAGGGCTAGTTTCGTTGTTCTTTATTCACTGTTAAGGAAAAGGAGCTTGAGACAGCGGTGCTGAACTGAGCGCACTGAGGTTACACAGTTAATGTTTAAGCCTGGACATGAGCTACATTCTTGTTTCTTCTTCCTTGGTGTTTTAAAAATTCTAATGGCCCACGGACACCCACAGATAACCCTCTCTCCTCATCATATAACTGAAGGGTGCTGGGTCTGCACAGGTGCTGGGGGATTAACGTCCATTTCCCCCCTGGGCTGTTCTGACCCGGCCATCTAATCACTGTGGAGGCAACTGAGGAACCTTGGAAGAAAACTTGACCATGGGCAAATCACAGAGAACCCTTTTCCCAGTGGAAAAAGCTCCAGATCTTTTCCTTCCTAGCCCACTAAGAAAATCTTCTCAAATCTCCTCAAATTCCACAGTGACAAAGGCTGCATGCTTCTGAATGGGGCCCTACATGCAAGGAACATTCAGGAAAACCTGTGAATGCAGCATCACAAAGTTCTGTCTCAGCAGCTGCACTGCTTTTGCCCTGGCATTCAGGTGTATCTGGGCACCCGTGGAGACCCAGAGGGTAGGGCAGCCAATGAGGGATGGTAGAGTTGCCATAGTTTCGTTCAACAAGAGCAGGCAAATGCTAGATTAGAGAGGTGACCCTCAGCAGAGCGTGGTGCCTGTAATTCAGATCACCTCCTGGCCTGTACCTGAGCCCTGAGGTGACTTTGAGTGCAATCAATGGACAAATCAAAACTCCAAGAGGTAATTTACTCTCCCCCGTAAGGACCATCAGAAAGAAAAGACTAATGCCTCTAGGATGTTGGGGGATGGGATGTGATAGTAAGTGTGGCAGCAGAAAAGAAGTCCAGGTCCCTGGGTGCATATAGGGCCACCCTCCATAGTCAGAGGCACTGCAGGCACCAGACCCAGAGACCCCTGAGTGGCACCTGTGGCTGGTTTGGGATTGTGCCAGGAGATGTCACCAGACAACAGAAGGAGGAGAGCAAAAAATAACAGCCACCCCAGAAGCCCAGGAGCCCATTCCATGGAGTACATGGGCAGCATGCCCTGGCTTCCCAGAACTATTTGGAAAGGATTTCAGAAGAGCTTCCATTTCCACTGAGTGGGTGAAGGCAGAGCTTGAGAATGCCTTGTCTGGAATCTTCTTCCAATTACTTTAAGCCCTGTGAGGCCACAGCAATGGAGTTTCAAGAAGTAGCCGCAGCTTACATTGTTACTCTCCCAGGGCCACTTGAATTGTGCTAAGTCTCAACTCCTCAAAGTCAAGGTGTGTTTTCAGACATCAGCCTGAGATGCTCAGGTGAATATTATCAGCCGCAGGGATTTCTGGGAAAGAATATTTCTTAAGTGTTTAAAATCACATCTCATAAATAGTTTCCTGCTTCGCTTGCATGTAACACCAACATTATTCGTGCCACGCACAGCTCAATGCCCAAGGCTGTGTCATAAGACAAAAACCTGGGTTCTAATTCTGGCCCTGCCACTTACTAGCTCAACCACCAAAAGGCAAATTTTGGAGTTGTTTTGTTGATGTTCCTTTGCTTTTGTTTGTTTTATAAACTTCTTTGAAGCTGTTTCATCATCTCCAAAATCATGATAATGATCGATGCTTCATGGGGTGTCTGTCGGTTAAAGAGGATGCAGGAAGAGCTGTTGGCATAGGTGCTCCCCAACCCGAGAGATGAGCCCTGCGTCCACTGCACCAGCATCCAGCCATGGACTGCCAAGGAAATCTACACCCTGGCCCCCTTCCCTTGGTGGTCAGCCTGCTGCTGGTGGGCACCCCTCAGGGGCTCAGCCCCTATCCTTCCCCAGGGAAAGCCGGTATCTACCGTCCTCCTAGAAAGGCAGCTGACATGGTTGCAGGTTCTGCGCACTGCATGCTCTGTTCATTTTCTCACCTCTTCTACCCATTATTCCATCTCCCCACACTCTTCCCACTGCTTCTTATTTTTTTGGCAAACGGTGAGATCACACAGGCTTATAGCCCTGGGGGAAGGTATTCCACAGCTGCTTTTGAGCCCCAGCCCTTCCAGCAGCCTGGGCATCTGAGCACAAATTGAACAACATTAATGAGACACCCAATCTCAGCATTTTACTCTCCACTGCTATTCTAAAATCTTCACAAAAAAGTTCAGGTGGTTCTTTTCAAGCTGCCCACACACATGCACACACACCAAGCCTCCCACCCCAGGGCCTGTGGCCGGCTTGTGTGTGAGAAGCCAGCTCGCTCTGGATGTGCGATTCTGCAGTCTGTGAAGGCACAGTGGTAGATTACACAAGAGAATGGCCTTACAGTTTTATAAACTATTTATTAGGCCCGTCCTGGAGAGCTACATCAATATGGCCGTCGGTGAAGCAAAGCAGAAGCTATAAAAATATCATCTATCCCAAACAAGCTTCATAATCAAACAAAGCCCCGTGCTGGCTGGGACAGGCTTGTGTTCTGACACATAAGGGCCCTTTCCATCTTTAAAACAGACCATTAAAACACCAGAACACTTTGGCTCACAGAAGTCTAAATCAAAAGGGAGGGGAAAAAAGAGAGATCTCTTTTCTCCAAGAGTAATAATGCCTTTTCCAGCTCCTGGAAAAGCTCATTGCGATAGAGATGCAATATTGCTTTTTTCATAGTGGCTTTTCCGTTTCTTTCCAATACCCAGAAAATCTTCTAGGGGTTCAACATTTCCACTTGTTTCCCTCTAGGAATCCCTTTCTTTTTACTCCACGTGTACACAGTAGCTATGCGGCGATCCCTTCAATATTATTTTGTTGTTTTCCCAATAAATAAAGATATACAGTTTGATACATATTCCAGAAGGGAAATCATCATCATAATAATAACCTGAAGTAGAATGTTACCAGCCCAGTACTGTGCTCCAATTCCCCAAGGCAAACGAACACGGGAGGCAGGTCCGTACGCTGGGGTTTACTGTGATTAACATTTCCAGCCAGTGCTCCTCCAATTGGCTCCAAAACATGTCTTAATAAACTGCATTCCAAAAGCCCTTATATTTCCACCTTATTGCATTCTGCTAGAATGAGATATAATATGTGGACGCAAGGAAAAGTGACATTCAGTGAATGAGCTGCAGAGAGTTATATAAGGAAGCTAAATCTCACTCCCTACCACCTGGCATACTGCTTGTGGCTCCTCATCATGATTCTAGAAATCAGTCTGCAACTAAAATTCATGCATGGGGATGCTCTGCTTTGGACCGTGGGCTGGGGAAGAGAGGTGTGATATGCTTTTGAGAGGGCAGAAGGCAAAAGAGAGGAAGAAGGGCTGCAGAGGTGGTTGGTCCACTCAGAGTTGCACTCCCATGGCAAGGTGCTCCATAAAGAAGTCTGAGAATGGAGATATGCAGAACTGAGTCACTCAGAGCTAGGCAGATAATCCAGCACCTCAGTCTGGGAGAAGTTTTCTATGACATTTTGATTGTTTTTAGATCTGGGTAGAATTTTTGGACAAGAAGAAGAGACACGGGATGGACTGCAGAGCCTGAGCAGACACATGCAAAGGACAGTCACGGCACCCCACGCTCTTTCCCTATCCCCCATTTTCAACCTTTATTTTCTTTCCATCATCCTGGAGATGCACACCCTCTGTGACCTAGGAGGTTGCATAGAGAGGAAAAAATAGTATCTGTGATCACATTTTCTTGTATTTACAAAACACAAGAAAGTACATTGACGGCGAAGTCCATGAGCCCTGAGGAAATGTGAATAGCTTTCAGACTGAAGAGTATTCACCCTGAGTATATGCCTGATAGGTAATTCTTAGAGGTGTGGGGGCCATTCAAGTAATTGGCAGTAAATGCTGGCTACTAAGTAATAAATAACTAAATGTGTAGCATCTCTCCTTCCCATCTGAGCCCTGCACGTGCCACGGAGAATCAAACACATGACAGAGAGTAAACGGATCTGAGTTCTGGACTCAGCCCACACATGGTCACCTTCAGCATCTCAGTCAAGTCAGTGACACTGTCTGGTTCCAATTTACCCCAAAGAAGAAAGGATCAAGGCTGAGATACATCACACAACAGTGATCTTAAGGTCTGATCTGGAAGAGAAACCCACACAGTAAATCCACTAGCACACAGGTGCCCATTAGGGCTTGAAGACGCAGGTGACAGATCTTGGTTGAAGAGTCTGCTCTCTTTGAGCATATTACCCTTAACATCCTAAAGAAAAAAAAAAAAGACTTCACACACACACACACACACACACACACACACACACACACACAAAAGCATCCAGATGGTTTACAAAGAAGAAAAATATTGGAGCAGGTCTTTCACTTTCAAACTTCTCTTAGTAGCACAGCTGGATCTTCTGTGTGAGAAGAGTTAAGGGAATCTCAGTGAGAGCTGCTCACAGTGAAAATGATATGATTTTCTGGGATGTGGTGGAAAGAAGCACCGCCTCCCTGAAAAAGTCATCACTGTGGGTCCATGTGGTACCATAGCTTTAGACCACCGAGAAGGATTTTCATCACTGACAACAGCATGAAGCGGTGTTCTGCAGAGGCAAACGGGCACATGCAGAAATGACTCTCACACATCTGCTGGGAGGCAATCACACCCACAGATAGAACAGAGCAGTGGCCTCCCCTGGTGCTTGAGATCAGGGGCTGAAGTCGCAAGGCTATACCAGGAAGAATTCTATCACTGCTGGGCAGCACCTGCCTTCTCCTCCTCTTCAGCTTGAGCCACCTCTTTTCCTTTCCAGTCCTTACTTCATCAATGTGGAGGTGGACCAAGTTGATAAGTTAATGCATAGGGTTAAAGGTCTCTTCATTTGTTGAACAAATATTTCTTAAGAATCTACACTTTTCCAAGAAAATATTAAACATTTCTTCATTGATGAAGAAGATGGACTTCTTCATGAGGAGGTGGACCAAGCTGATAATTTAGGCATCCTGATTCACACCCCCATTTGAAACAACCCACCACACAGCTAATATAATGTGCTATGGCTTCATCACAATTCTATTGACACAAACCAGGTGTGAGGTCTGCGGGATGCCACACCAAAAAGGGTAATGAATTAATATGGACAAAACATGTTTCAAGGGCAAACCTGCAAACAGAAACTTTCTTTTTTTTTTTCTTTCTTTCTTTCTTTCTTTTTTTTTTTTTTTTTTTTTTTTTGAGACTGAGTTTTGCTTTTGTCACCCAGGCTGGAGTGCAGTGGTGCAGTCTCGGCCCACTGCAACCTCCGCCTCCCAGGTTGAAGCAATTCTCCTGCCTCAGCCTCTCTAGTAGCTGGGATTACAGGCACCTGCCACCATGCCCAGCTAATTATTGTATTTTTAGTAGAGATAGGGTTTCACCATGTTGGCCAGGCTGGTCTTGAACTCCTGACCTCAGGCGATCCACCTGCCTCGGCCTCCCAAAGTGCTGGGATTACAGGCATGAGCCACCACACCCAGCCTGCAAACAGAAAGCTTCAAACCCAACTTCTTTCACTAGGGGGATATTTTCATCATGTCACTCAGTAAATAACCAAAGAGTAAAGAACGTCTAGTTAATGCATAGGTTTAAAGATTTCTTCATTTGTTGAGCAAATATTTCTTAAGAATCTACACTTTTCCAAGAAAATACTAAAAATTTCTTCATTGATAGAAGTGGTAAAACTAGGCATTCCAGGAGTCATACAAAGCTAAGGTAGGTAAGCTTACAAAATCCAAGGAAGGCTGGCATTCCAGGCTTTACACCGATCTGAACTTTGATACAGGAGCATAGGCAGGATCTGAAAGTATGGTGGATGACAACTTCCTATTGCAGAATCTGTACTCTTAAGTGTGTAAGGAAATTACAAATAAGCAAAAAGATTACCAAACATCTTCAGGGAAAAACAATGCATTGTTTAGAGCATGCCTTACTGGGTTATTATTTTTTTCAAGTAAAAGCAAGTTTATTAGAGAAGTAAGAATGGCCTAAGAATGGCCGCTCCCTAGACAGAGCACCCCAGAGGGCTGCTGGTTGGCTTGGGTTATTTCATTCTAGATGTTCCTTGCTTCTGAGCTATTTTACTACTCTATAAATTGTAGATAATTGATAGCAATGCAAAATAGTTCTTGTCTAAAGACATACAAATAAATTCTATCTGGTACAGGTTCAGTTGACTTCCCTCAAATTCATAGAAAAAGCCAGTTTTTTGTCCATTTGCAAATCACAGTCAATAGTGCTATATTTCATATACATTTGCACTCCTTTGACTTACATTTTGAAACGAATATAACATCTGCCAGATTTCCTCATTAATGAGTTAAATAAAATATTTAATGATCATCTATTTTTGGTCTATATGAGAATCATGATTTTAGTTTTACTGAAAATTATCCCTTAACAAGTAAAGAGAGATGCTCCATGTATTTAAACTAATAAAGAACATAACATAAACATTAACCGCCATGGAATGTAAAACTGTGTCCGTAAATGATACAGAACTAGGATGATGAATGAAGGACATGTCCTCTGCCTGAATCCGAGTGAAAAATTTCCTTTAGCCACATTTGGGTAACGTTTTCATTGATTTGGCAGAGGGAGGGGATTTCTGGTAGTAATACTCAAAATACACTGTCGTCCTGTCTGTATTTTATTTAGATTGAGGTCTGCAGTTAGCGGTTTATTTGCTTCTGGTGCAGATTCCAGTCATTGTCAGCCCATGATTTGCCTTCACAGTCACCTGAATTAAAAGACTCCGCAGGTACTGTGGAGTGAGGTTCATGATTCTGGAAGCCCGCTCAACAATTACATTACAGACTCTGATCATAGAGGTGATAGAACAGTTTTGCAGTAACTTTTATGGAATGGTGCCTCAATGTACCATAAGCGATAGACACAAAGAAAATGTTAATTTCATTTCTCAGAATTGCATCACCCATTGTCCCTCTGTGCTTTTGTTTTCCTGATGTCTTATACGATGCTTCCAACTCCTGCGTAGAAGCGTGTGGAACTCTGTAATTCGGGAACAAGGCAGATTGACTTTTCTCAGACCCAACTGTGTATTCAATGGGTATATAAATAAAATACATTTTAAGACTGTTTTCTTCTATTTCATAAAAGGTAGACATTATTTGTGATGTCATTGGTAGAAATGAAATTATTATAATTCACTTAGATGTTTGGTTGAAGTTCACTTTTAGTAAATAGGTTAACATAGAATTCATGAGAACCCACACAATAATTTGACGTACAGAGGTAAAATAATAGTTTTTTGGCCTTCAGTTCCCAGGAATTGCTCATAATTGTATCATTGACACTGATCCAAAACTCACATTTATTTTACCATGAACAGTTGCAAACCCATTAACAGTGAACAGTCATACCTCCATGTGCCCCGCCATGCTGCAGGAGCCAAAAGATGGAATGGGACCACTTGGGAAGGATGAATAGGAACTGGCCAAAGACTTCCTTCCAATGGGATTGACAGGTAGGTAGGCTTCTGAGGTCTCTCCTGAAGAAGCTCAAAACAATAATCAAATATCACTTACCTAGGGAAAGACAAAGGGAAAAGGGATAGAGAATAAGGTGGGTTAGAGTTTACTGCAACCACCTTATATTCCACTGAGATTATCTATTTTAAGCAAAGGGATGTTTAGTGCAATGCAAATTATCCACAAGCTCCAAGTAAAACCCAAGTTTTAAATACCCAGGGAAAGGTCAGTTGTGAAAATGGAACTTTGTTGCAAAGGCCATGCACCCTGCTGTTTGTTTTCTTTTCTGTTCTGGCATTCTTATACAGGTGCATTTAACTACTACTAGAACATAGGCCTTGTAACAAGGGACTGATTGGGGACTCTGTGATGTGCCAAGGAAAGGAGAAAAAATGCATACGTCCCAGCTGCCTTAATGATTATGGAGGTTCTGTAGCTATGTGGTTCAGATGCTGAGAAGATTGAACTAATAAAAAAGAAATGAGAGAACTGTCATCACAGATTACATAGTATTTATCCCAAAATCTGTTCATTATAGATATTTGCAAGACAAATGGGTTTTTAGCCAGGAATGGCAGCATTTTCCTCCTGGTAAGTGTATAATGAGGCACCCAATTTGTCTAGAGCATGATCTCTCTCTCTTTTAAAAAACATATGCCTGGCTCTAAATCTTAGTAAAATTCCTGAAAACATCCATTAGGAGGTCAGCAAAAAAAGTTGAATTCGTAGAGTTCTTTACAATTTACAGAGGATTTTCATAGGCACTGTCTCCTTTGATTTTTATGGCAACATTTTACTATGGGTAGAATAGGTATTACTACTGTTCCCTCCTCCCCTTCTTTCTCCAATTTCTCATCCTCTTCCTTCTATTTCTCCCCCTTCTCCTCCTTCTCCCCTTCTTTCTTCTTCATTCCTTCCTGCTTCTCTTCTTACTCCTCCTTCTTCATCTCCTCCTTTTCCTTCTTCTTTATAAGCAACATAGGGCCCAATTTGATTCATCAGCTTGCTCAAAATCACACTCATGTCTAGTGGTAGTTCCAGGGCTTGAATTGTGTTCTTCAGGTTTCATATTGCTTTCTCTTTCTCCCTTGATCAAATCCCAGACACAGTATAAAGATAGCCAAGAAGAAAGATAGGGAGGGAGAGCAGGAGAAAGGAGCAGAGAGGAAATAGATAAATTCAGGAAGAGAGGGATGGTAAAAATAAGGAAGTAAGAAAGACAGAAAATGGTAAAAATCATCAAATATTTGGAGCAAATTCTTCATTAAATAAATATGTTCAAGTAAAGAGCATAGAAAAGTACCTGGCATGTAGAAAACTCCATACAAGTAGTTGCTATTATTCATTTTTTAAAAAATTCTATTGACCCAAGGAAAACTTGACTAGAACAGAGGATGCCATCCCTACAATGGCTCCTCTTGGTCTCTCTGCCTTAACATCAAAACGATACTGGTCAAAGGAATAACTGTGTCAGAGAAATGTCATTCCACAGGGGAAAAAAAACTATAAAGAAAACATTTTTTGATCATGTTTTAATCTCTTGACATGGACAAATGGTTGATTCCTGGCCTGCTCACCAGCAACAACGTACTAGACACTTTGTTGTCTCCCAGTAGCCCCAATGAACCTTGACTTTCTTCTCAGGCAGCTACAAGAGTCTCAAGCTTACTTGACATCTACATTGCATATCAGACTGCTTGTGTGATAACAAAAGCGGCCATAATAAATGTCATAAAACAAGATATGCGCTGGAGGTGCAGAAAGAGGAAACAGTCAACTTTCATATATAACTACAAATTTCTCTGTATTATGGCCATTATTTGACTAGAGAAGGAAGTTCTTAGACCCAGATCAGCAGGAAAAAAAAAAATGAAAGGGGACTTGGTGTAGTATCATAGGGTCATCCTATTTGTAGCTTTTTAATGAAAAGTAATTATAGCCTTATTCAATTATGACCCAAATGCACCTAATCCCCTCATAAATGCTTCTTATTCACCACCCAGCACTTTCTGACACTGCTGGCCAAATAAATGGTGGCTGTTTCTACCTGGGTGATGGCAAGGTTGTTCATTGTAACACTCCATGAAACTTAATTATGCAAAACAAAGAGGCAACTCTGGAGCCATTAATCAGAGGTTTCATTCAGAAGTAATTTGTTGCTGGGACCCAAAGAACTGTTCTTCTGGTTCCTTCCACTGTGCTGCACTAATAGTTAATCCCTGGCTTTAATGGAAGTTGCTGGGGTTGAAGCTCTGAGGCCAATAGTGGCAAAGCAGCTTATGAACATCACCTTGCTTATTAGTGGGCAGACACCTAATTTCTTCTACTTAAGTCACCTTTAATTACAGCAACCAGAAACCAAAACCATCCACAAGTTATCAAGAACAAGTGCCCAATCACTTATTTCCCAATTGCCTAAAGGCAGAACAAGAGAAAATGGGTAGATTATTAAAAGTGAGTTAATACGTATGAGAAAGTGAGACAAGCATACCTGAAATTGACAGAAGAAAATAATTTATACCATCTCTGAATATCTCCAGACAGAACATACTGTACCTAGCTTTTTATTAGGGAGGATTTCAGTATTTCCTCCTAAGTAGATGAAGGGGTCAAATTATTAGGATGACCCTAATTTGGATGGTGCCTGAGGAGCTCCATACTTGTCTGTGATGAAGAGCAGGTGAACGGGAAGAGGAGGAAAGAAGGGATCCCTACCTAGAAAAAATAATTAAATACCGCCACGACCACCACTAACATCAGCACCATCATTAAAGACCTTCAGTGAAGTTGAGGGTCCTTGGTATAAATCTCCATACTGATTCATTCACCCCTTATAAATTACTCCCTGTGCTAATTAAATTCTGGAGACACAAAGATGCACATGCCACGGTCCTTTCTTTCAGTGAGCTCACAGTCAAATGCAGAAGAGCTGCAAAGCAAAGCAGTAGGAACAGCAGTACAGACAGAGGGGAATCACTATGGCAGAACTTAGGAAGAGTTCAGAAGCAGAGCATCAGAAATCATCAAAGGGGAAAAGAAATGAAGGATCATGGAGGTGTAAAGATTAACTGACTGAAAGATTAAGGAGAAAGAGAGTTTTCAAGTAAATAAAGTAGAAAAATGAGAAGAGCTTGGAATGAGGAAAAACCAGCCCCCTGATGCCAAACTGACGTTCATGCTTCTCCCCTGCTGCTCTTGTGTGAACTCTATATTCAAGGCAAGGTGGTCTCCTTTTTTGTCCCCCAAACATCCTTGCTTAGCCCCTCTTCCAAACCTTTGCTTGTGCTTTACCTGTCAGTGATGCATTCCTCTGTATTTTTCCAAATTCTGCCTATTCTTTCAAGGTAAGGGTGCCTCAAGGTCAAGTGATTTGTTTCTTCTACAGCACAGTATTGTCCATATCACTCATGTGTCACCAAATCACAATACTTCCTGATGAGGTGTCTAATTTTAAAAGATGGGAATCGTGTGGTGAGCGGAATAATATCTTCTAAAGATATCAGGCCTTTTCCCTAGAATTTGTAAACATCGTTTTGTATGAGGAGAAGGGGTCTTTGCAGCTATGGTTAAGTTAACATGGAGATGGAGATATTGCCCTGGAATATTTTGGTGGACTCTGAACACCATCACAAGTGTTCCCTTAAGAGGGAGGCAGAGCGTGATTTCATAAAGACAGAAGAGGAGGAAGCAATGCTACCACATAGGCAGAGACTGGATTGGTGCGGGCACAAGCCAAGGCATGTGGGCAGCCGCCAGAAGCTGGAAGAGAGGAGAAAAGGACTCTCCTGAGAGTCTCCAGGAGTACAGCCAGTCAACATGGAGATTTTGGCTCAGTGATACTAATTTTGGACTTCTGGCCTCTGGAACTGTCACAGAATAAATTTATGTTATTTCAAACCACCAGGTTTATGGTAATTGTTAGAGTAGCCATAAGAAACTGACACAGATGTACAGGGTGGCTACACATGCAGAATTTTGTTTATGCTCATCAGCCTAGCAGGATTCTAACAACTCTCCTTTCACTCTCAAAACAGTTCTAGTTTGGTGATAAACTATATAGTCACCCTAGATATGCATGGTATTTTAGTCTTTGTTACATCATCCATGGTACAATTAACACAATCCCATGCCTAGAGTAGGCATGCAATATATAGTTTTTGAAGTACAGAGGAAAAAGTCTGTCATTTTAGAAATAATTTGCTCACAAGCTTTTCTACAAATTTTGGAAACAAGGAATTACTTTGGTGGCTGAAGTAGAGAGAATCTGCTCAGAGATATTTATTGCTTAAAGATGAGGTTTTCAATTTGGTCTCACCACAAAAATACGAATTTGAGGTTTGTTCCAAAATGAATACAGGTCTCAATTCCAGGTTGTATTTTTTTAATTGATAACATTGAGAGCTTTTGTTAGGGATGAGGACATGTTCCATATGTTTAGGTAAATGTGGTTTTAAGTCTTTCTTGGCTTTATTTCAGAAGAAATATCTATGTAAACTTTTTTGATAAAATCGGAGGGGGAAACTGGAAGTCTCACTTAAAATAATTCTTTGACATGCGCTTAGGTAGTGTACCTGGACTCCTTCAGAGTAAATGTCTGCTTGTTTGTTCATATTTATGTGTGGAGGGTGGGGAAACAATCAGACAACAACTTAATTTGGACACTGAACATATACAAGATAGTATGAAGAGGCATTAAAAAAAGTTAACATAATTTCAGCCAATGACATCTTCTGGATCCATAGTCAGAAACTATATGGACTCAAATTACAAATACCCATGAATGTGAATTACTATATACTAGGCACTGGAAAATGTAAAAAGTAGAATATTTAGTCCACATACGTAATTTTGTTGGAGACATAAAAAGCTTGGAAAGACATAGAAGATGTTAATCAATCCAAGGTCAATGCAAGACTTTATTGTGCTAAGTTACATGATTCTGACTATAAGTGTCAGAAAAATTAGGAGAAGGAAGAGTCCATTGTGAGCTAAGATAACTGCTAAAAGCTTCTGATATGGCTTGGCTCTGTGTCCCCACCCAGATCTCACCTTGAATTGTAATCTCCATAATCCCCTCATTTCCAGGGCAGGACCAGGTGGAGGTAATTGAATCACAGGGGCGGTTCCCCCATGCTGTTCTCATGATAGTGAGTTCTCGGGAGATCTGTTGGTTTTGTAAGCATCTGTCATTTCCCCTGCCGGCTCTCATTCTCTCTCCTGCCACCCTGTGAAGAGGTGCCTTCCACCATGATTGTAAGTTTCCTGAGGCCTTCCCTGCCATGTGGAACTGTGAGTCAATTAAATCTCATTCCTTTATAAATTACCCAGCCTCGGGTATTTCTTCATAGCAAAGTGAGAACGGACTAATTCAGCTTCATACAGAGAAGCGAAATGACCTGGTGTGTGAACACATGTAGGATTCACACTGGCATTCAAAGGGCAGGTGGGGTGGTGGGCAAGGCTACTTCAGGTAACAGTATATGACAGAAATTTCACATGGCACGTGCAAGGAGCACCACACAACACCTTTGTCTCAGCATTAACTACTGCATTTGGTTTAAAATACATGTTATAATATTTCTGAAACCTCATATATCTTAGAACTCATTCCTCCCTATTCCTCGAGGTAACGTGAAAATTTCAACCTATCCTCTGAATCTAAATTCTTATGAATTGAGCTGATTAGAAGAGATTCTCACAATTTAAAGAGATGTTACATATTGGGATGTAGTGATGCAAATTCATTTAAATAAATTTAATTAAGAAAGATCACACAAACCTCTTCCTTTCTCTAATGCTACTGAATTAAATCAACATAGGAATGATTAATTTGACAACATACTAAAATGCCAAGATTTTCCATTGACTAACACTCTTCACGAACTAATTGTGTTTGGATATCGGTTATTGAGCAAAATACCTGAATATTGGATGACTTAGGCTGATCGTGGTTATGAAATATTTGCAAATAAATAAGCATTGTGAAGTAAGTGAAAAATATCTGGAAAGAAAATGCAGCCCAAAAGTAAATACACTGACGTATGTTTTTAGATAATGAAGTTGGAGCAAAAGAGGGAAAATATGAGCCCCCCTGGTGCACAGGAAAGACAATTAAGACACAGAAATGGAGGTTGGCATAAGGGAAGAGCAGCACTTCAAAAGTATTTAAGCATGTAGATCCAATTTCCTTACCAGGAGGCAATCATACGCATTGCATGAGAAGAGAAACTCTAACAAAAATGTGCCTTATCACTTGCTTTCTACCTTCATCTACCTACTGCACAACAGAATGCAAATGGTAAACTAGAAGGTTTCATGACTGCTAATTGCTGAGTCTGCTATTCATTGCGGTTGGCCTGTTGGTTCATCAGTGTTTCACTAAATAATAGAGCGAGAAAGTCTAGCAACAAAACAAAGAACACCTGGATTCTATTAATAACTTGCATCACAATGGATATTTGAATCCGGTCTGATGTCGAATGAGACTTGCATAAAATATGCTACCATATGTGTTCTAAGATTGACCTTGGCCTATTACTGAGGGTACGTTATTGATAAACTGATGTTAGTCATTTACTAGTTAGCACAAATTAATAATGAGAGAGCAGCTTGAAATGTGGGGATGATGAGAACTCCAGAAAGTTTGTAGAAACAAAAAAAAAGGTGGAAGACACTGTTGAATAGAAAAAAAGTTGCAGAATAGGGTCACCTAGGGCAAATGATGCACACACACAGCAAGTGTCTCTGTGTTATCCATTCCATGCTGTCAGAGCAAAGAATGGAAGCCTGAAAACTATACTGCTATCATTCTATGTTTTTGGTTGTAGATTTAAACTTTAATAACTACTGGAACACTTAATGTGAAAATTACTCTTCCTAAGTCAAGTTTATGTGTCATATTTTTAACTGATAGAATTGATAAATTTGCGTACTGTCCTTTCTATTTTACAAGGCTCTTTGAAATTTAGAGATGTTCGCACAAGGGAATACAGTGCTCTACATGACTGAATCCACAAGGGAGGTAAGCGTCTACTGCCAACAGCTCTAGCATGGGTAGGCCCATAAATGCAGCAAACGTCTGCTGGGACATGAAGCTTACATTCACTATAACGTAGCCCCTTAATTGTAGGATAACAATAAGAGGGATGCAAGGTATCTGAATAATCACATATAACATTTATGGAGCTCAGCTTCTTGGCCCGTTTCCTTCTTAAAATACAAAAGACCTGACAGGCCTGGAGGACAGAATAAACTTAGTAAACAGCAGACACTATGCTAAGCACTTCACAACGATTCCATGAACTGGGACCTGTTATGCCTTCCATTTTACAGATGCAAAAGCAATGCCAGAGAAAGGATGCAATTTCAGCTCCACAACGTGTGCTTGGATACCACCATGTGCTTGGCCATTCTATGCCGATGCCTTCTTGAACTCTTGGCCTCCCAAGTGCTAAGGTTACAGACACGAGCCCCTGCTCCCATACCCAATGCCTTCTTGAAGCAAAAGTGTGAAAACATGGAATATCCCAAGCGTCTGGGCCAAGATGAAGGAAGGTACCCTAAAAATCCCTGAATATGGCAGGAGAATTGATTAAGGGACACAAATGTTGCCATGGAAAGTAAACAACTAATGCCCAGTATCTTGGCCCACATACCTTAACCACCACGTAACCCCTTCCTTTTCAAAAACACTTTTGAGGGATTTTTCCTTATGAAAATGAATTTCAAATTATGAAATTGAGTTGATACAAAAGTAAAATTCATTCACAACAATTTGCTGTATAGTCAAATATCTTGAATTCTATCTTAAGTGTAAAAAGACCCACCTACACCAAGATATGAACTATAGGAACTACAGTCTCAAAACTGCAACTCAGATGGAGTAAGCAACGCCCCTGCCCTGCAGCTTTTCATGCAGAGAGTGATAAGCAGAGTCTGATTCCTAACTTCATTCTCCCTCATTACAATCACTATCTCTTTCTCCTATTCCTATCAAAGGAGAAAAAAAACCTTTCTCTTAATATTTATCTCACAGAGATGTTGTGAGTATTACATAAGATAGCAGACACGAAGCAGGCACAGTGACTGTCTTAGAGGGATGTAATGAACACTTATTATTATAAGGTTCTTCAGATTCATGGGCTTCCCCCCTGTACCCCTCTCCAAGGACGACCACAGCAACATGAGGATGTCAACACTGGAAAAGGATGACTGACTCACAAGTATTTTCATTGCATGTGGAAATAGACCAAGCCCTGTGGGAGGTTAAAGAGCCTTCCCTTCAGCTAAGAACACAGAGAACTCAAATAAACATATCATAAAATACAGGAAGTCTGACTGTGAGAATTATTTAAGTGCCTTGCACATGGATATGTAGTTACGTTTAATTAAATCAATAGCTTTAAGTGATTGCCTATTACAGCCATGCTTATCATTCTCCCTAATCTGTTTTCTAAGGCCAAATTTTGCCACCCTTTTCTCTCATATTTCCTGATGTATAGATTTACATTAGGGTTCCCCTCCACCCCATTTATGTAGACCAGCATCTGCTCTCTTCTTCCCTGAATAATTAATAACTATGCATGTTCCCAGAGCATCCTGGGACCTCCTTCCGCAGGCGTTCCCTCAGAGCAGAAGTCTTTTTCTGTTGATCATAGGCAGTTCATCTTAGAATTACACAAGTGGGAGCCAAGATCAATGGCAACCTGATTTACAGCAGCTCTTACCAACAGCTTGTGGAAATTAGAAATAAATATGGGGTCAAACGACTCACCAGTAATTTGACATTGGTAAATCTGGCTTATTTAGAAGTCTTAAATAATAAGGACCTTCACATCGTTATTTCAACTGAAAGAACGTCAGTGCTTTGCCTTAAGAGCCTTTGAAAGCTGAAAAGGTGATTTAAGGTATATTACCATTAGAAGTACTTTTCTATTATCTTAAGTATTGCAATGCATCTGAATTGGTAGCACAGTAGTGTAACCATTCACAGCCCTAACTGGCATACATCAGTAGAAAGACCCATAGAAGAACTGCCCTTGGTCCTGAAATCATGAGTGCAGCCCAGCTCCGTGTTTCTGTTTTCAGGTTGTATTACAAGTCAACAAAACAGGTGTCTGTGTTTCTGAGTACTCTGGAAATACCATAATGACGCAGCAAAATACCACAACAAAGTAATTCAGAAGCTTCATGGATTAAATGAGACAGAAGCAATGCAAAATATCAAACAATGACAATGTCATAACCAAATATACTATTTTAAGAATACTATGGTGCTTAATTTTGAATAATGATTTGACGCGGTCACTCTAAAATTGACATTGGTTTCAATTTACAAAGGAAAATCTCTTGTCTTGGAATAGGTATAAAATATGAGTTTTGAACATATGGGGCAACTTAGCAGAGGCAGCAGTATATATGTGTGAGATGTAGTCTCCACATTCTGCAAAAGTTGTACTGTGATAACAATGACAAGACTGAAAATGTTATATAACTGTACCAAAATCTGATAAAATGTGAAAACAGCTCTCAAGGGGGCAATGTAGTCCATCTCACCTTCTAAGAGTTCAGTTAAATGATGAAGGGGTTGAAAGTGTGGACCCAGTTTTGAAATAGCACAGGGAAAGACATTCTACAAATTGATGTGGTTCATAATTTGCCTGACATAAGAGCTACTCTTCATGCCTAGCAAAAATTTTCCATGCCAGAATCTGATTCTGTTTCTTCTTCTGGTTTTATCCTTAACCAAGACACATACAGCTGGCCATGTAATAGGTATCATACAATTGAAAATTGCCTGATCAACTTCAGGGCAGTATCTGTGTGGTTAGTAGATAACCCTGTACCACGAATGTAGTGGATAAGTTATGACATCTTTAAGAAACATTCAATAACTTGGTAATATGATACAGACTTGAGGCTGGACGGTCATGGTCACCTCTGCTCTCCTCTACCTCCCTCCGCTGTTCCTCCCCTCCTTCCCTCATGGAATTTCATAGGCATAGCACTTCACAACATTTATACATCCATTTCGAAAGTAAAAGTAAATGAATGTCAGAGGCAGCAACATAGGTGGTAGTCAAAGCTAGGGAAAATGAGAAGCAAAGAGAAGGAAGTGGCATAAGAGATGAAATTCAATTCCCTAGTTTTTAGACAGGAAGAATCTATGTCTCAAGAAGATGAAATGGCATGATAGGGGTTATGTAGCTGGTCATGCATATGGCCAAAAGCAGAATGAATCTTCTAGTTTTGATTTCTACGTCCTTTCTGCTGTATTATGTTACAAAATATGTTTATACACATTTTACAGTGTACATAATACATATATAAAAGAGTACCCACGGAAAAGACTAATGTAGACAAAATTTGTTTTTCTGCACTGCACTTGCCCTTTCTTTTTCTTTTGGCTGTCCCCATGACCATGATGAACACACTGTTATCCTTCCTGACTCAGGTCAAACATCAGCTGTTCTGACCCTCCATATTAGACCCAACCCAGGGAAGGAGACTGGGGCAAGAGCAACAGCAGCAACTTAGGTTTTAGATGTTCTTATCAAGTAGCAAACTGGGATTGAACTCAGGTGCGTTTTGATTCCAATATCTGCAACATTAACTGTGCCACATTCACAGTGGAAGTTTAACAAAGATGACCTTCAAAAAGTGCTTGATCCATGGTAGACAAGCAACCAATCTTATTTATGCTTTCTCTTGTTTCCAAGTTTTTTTTTTTTAAATTTTACCTCCCAAGCAAGTTATCACTGACTTACTACTCTCAGAGTAATTTTATTAATCAAAAGTTGTATACCTTTTTTTTTAAGTCAATGAACATATATGGAGTTCTGAATCATGTTTAGTGTAAGAGCTAGAAATCTAACAATGAAAAGACGAGATAAGAGCCAGATTGTGAAGAACTTTATATGCAATACCAAACACTTGAGCCTTTGTCTTATGGGCTCAAGGGAGATATGGAGAATATTAAGCAGTAGAGCAATAGAATCTGATCTTTATTTTAAGTGAATAAACCTGACTACCATGTGAAAAATGTATCCAAGGTGAACAAAAATCACCAGCAATACCTGTTTCAGTGGTTTAACCAGCAGATAAAGAAGTCTTAGTTTATACCATAGACTCTTAGAGGAAGGAAAACAAAAAGAACTGTACACCAACATTGTACTTTAGTTTTTTTTTCCTTATAGGATTAAGGATTACACAAGTATGAAACAACCTAACTTAATATTAGGGTTAAATAAAGAAAGAAATTATAGATAATCAATGCCAGATTTCTTACTTGGAGAAAGAGGATTCAAATAAGAAAAGGAGAGGTGACTAGAATAAACCCTGTGGAGCTGAGTAGAGTCAAAGCTATCAATATGGACTCATGGGATTTAAAAATATACTGCAGATATATGGAAAGGTAGAACAATAGATAGATACAGCTGTGTTTCTGTATGAGTTAGTCCACATCCGTACATTTCCCAGCCCCATTCACTCAGAGAAACTAGATGCAGTTAACCCACAGTAACAATGAGCACACCCAGCACCAAGATCTTGGTTTCTAAATACCATTCATCAGTACAAAAAAACAAATACCATTCATCAATACAGATAACAAGGCCTGGCAGAGTTCAGGATTAAGAATGGAAAAATGTGAGTCTGTAGCACATTTTGGTGCTGAAAAGTATAAAAGCAATCTTTAAAAAAGAGAGATGTGTAACATTAAAACACCAAAGAGCCAACTTCAAAGAGTTCACAATAACTAAAATTGGAGCAACTTGAAAAGTGAAAAAATAGCAAAGATTAAAATAACATCCATGAGTTCACATTGATATAAACGAATAAGTGAACACTTAAATAAATGGAGGAGTAGACCATTCTTCCTTGAAGGAGAATTCCAATTAACAAACATAGAAAGAATGGGAGAAACAGAAAAGCACCATTAGAAGTTTACAGTAATGATTGCTTCAGACAAGAACCACTGATGAATACTCAAAAAAATGGGCAGAAGTTTAAGCAGAAACAAGATACATTTCTCTCTACAAATATTTACAAAGGGAATAAAGTAACTGTGCAATGAAGAATTCTGGCAGATACTGCATTCACCAAGGGATCAGGGATAACATCACCAGTGAGGAACACATGTCAATCTCATATACCAGCTGCTGTCATGAACTGTGAAGGGCACAAGATCTCTTTCGTGTCCTTCCCAATAATTTATAATCTCATACTAATCATCATGAGAAAACATCAGTTAAATCCCAATTGTGGAATATTGTACAAAGCAATGAACCAGTACTCTGAAAGTGTCAAGGTCACAAAAGACAAGCAAAGACTAAAAACCTGTCACAGATTGGAGAATACTAAATGCAGAAGAAGACACGACAACTAAATGCAATGTGGGATCCTGGATTGAATCTTGTGACAGAAAACAGAACTGAACATGGCATTTATGGGAAAATGGTTAACATTCTAATATGTTCTGTAGATTAGTTAACAGGATTGTGCCAAGGTTAATTTCTTAGTTTTGATAATTATTCTATGGTTATATAGAATGTTGACATGAGGAGAAACTGGAGGAAAAGTGTATGGGACCTCTGAATGTTCTCCAGAATAAAGGTTAAGCAAACTTGTAGACAGTGGAACTGGAGATGGATAGAGGACAGGGGAGCAGAATCCATAAGACCAGTGATAGATGAGATGATGAGTGCTTACTGACCCAAGGATGAGTGATGTCTATTGGTGGGGAAGTCAGGTGGGAATGCAATGCTTGAAGGGCAATGAGGACTTCATTCTGGCACATGCTGACTTTGAGGTGCTTCTGGGACATCCAGATGGACATGCAAATGAGGCCGTTTGATAAATGTGTCTAGAGTACGAGAGAGATGTAAATTGGAAATATAAATTGTGAAGTAGTCAGCATCTAGAAATTTGTTAGAGACACGAAGATGGATAAAATCGTAGAGAAAGAACCTGAATGATGAAGAGAAAGGAGTCTGGAGGGTGAAACTGAAATTTAACTCTTGTTCGCACAAATCTGATTTCACAAACTTTTGTGGAAAAGGGGTATGGCTTACTCATTTTTGTAGTGATACAACTTAGTATTTGCCTGGAAAATGACATGGGCCCATAAATGTGTACTGAACATATGTTTGCATGCACAAATTAATGAAGAAATGAATCTCTCTCCTTGGACGTGGGGATTATATGGAAGTTTCAGTCTCTCTCTATGCATATTTCAGTCTGTCAGCTCAGCTCATGATGCTTGAATCTCAGATTTTATTTAAAAGGCATTTCCCTTAGTTTAAAAATCTAGGTAATTGGCAGAATGGATACCTCAAAGCAAGTTATACTTTATGGCATAAGGTCAGGTGATATATATTCCCCTCACCATTTCTTAGAGAATGGTAAAATCATCAACAGTCTTATTTTCTTTTTAATGTGGAAAATGCTTTTTTGGGCCCTGTACTTTCCCAGCAGGCCGTTTCCAGAACAAAGAGGGGCTCACTTCAGTCCCCTTTTATAATTATTGCTAAATGCCCAAGCACTATCCTTCCCTGGAAGGACTGTTCCCACCCAGGGTTCAGGTGGAATGAGTCAACCCACCTTAAGTGAGAATCCTCAGCCTGAAATCCTGGCTCAAATAGAAAACAGCATCTCACTCTCACCTACAAGTCCTCACACAATGTGGAGTTCCTGCCTTGTGCTACCCAGCACTTCCAGGTAACACTGCGTGCTATGCAAATATTCTGCTAACATACTTTGCTTTGTTCTGGAAAACAGTGAAATATAATGATATTTTAAAAGATGAGTGGCTGCTGAAATCCCCATAACATTGCACTATTTGAGAAAATAGAGCTTACCTGAATATTTTAGGCTTAACAATTGCCAACCAGATGGCAGGCAGCAATATAAAAGGTATTACAAAGCTCCAACTCCTTATGTGTGTCATTTAGTAGGATATTGTACTCAGAATCCTGTTTCATCACTGTTGTGTTAGTTACTCCCCTCACCACCTTTCAGCTTTCTTTTCTCATGCCAACACTTCAGGGAAAAACATCATTTTAAAGCATTGCTTTGGATTTCTAATTCATTATCTTCATGTTTATTGGCATTTTCCTTGAAGCTCTTCTAGGGGTAGAAATTAGGGAAGAGAGGTGGTTTACTAGGAGGGCAAAAGATGTGAGTTCAGAAGAAGAGATGCAGAACACACTTATTCTTCTTGTTATGCAACATAACAGCTTTTCCTCCAGTTTGTTGAAAGCACTGAGAATTTGGCCCAGACTTTCTAGTGATTTTAGGCATCAAAACTGCATCATTAGTGGTGAGGTCTTAGGATTCTAAAAGCAAAATGCTCAGCTGGTGTTCAAACAGAAGCTCAGGTACAATGGGATGGGGTGTTTGGGTCAAATCCAGCTGTAGGAGAAGAAATAAACTCTAAATAGGAAGACAGGACGTAGTGTTCTAAAAAATGTATGATTCAGAGGGATCAAGAAAGAGAAATTTCAAGCAATTTGGGAAGCTAAGATGGAATGGGGCAGGCTGGCCACCCACAGGAGTGAATGTGGCCTAGCAGCAGATAGAAGGGCCCACACTGTGGGCAGGAGTCCATTGTCTGAGAGCAAGTCAAAGTCAAGGCCCAGGTTTGGGGAAACTGGGGCATAGAGAAATTATTAAAGTAGACATTCAGGCGTGGACACAAGGAGACAAGCTATGAGGACAGTGTTACAGCTGGGCATTTCTGACAGAAGTGTCACAGTGCTTCTCCACCAAGAGCTGGGGCCACAGCCAGAGTAGGGGAGATATGGAACAGACTTGATGTTGAGGCCCATCATTCACTGCAGGGGCTTTATTCACTCTGCTGCAGAATGAGTCCCAGTGCTTATGTCAAGCTGAGCTGGCAAATCGACCTCTGTCCAGGAAAGCCAGGAAAAAATAGTCACAGTTTAAACATAAAATATATACATAATCAAATAGATATTAAAGATGACAGTCATTTGGAGGCTCATCTGCTGAATACTTTTCCTCTGTAGAGATTGAGAATTCATTTATATCCGAATTCTCTCCAAATATGTTATGACAAATGCATTCAAGTGATAAATGTACACAGCCAGTGAAGCTCCTCTAATCAACCAAAAGAAACAAATATGCTTCCCCCCAAAAGAAAGAATATCCACCATCACTACTATCACAAAGGACATCATCAACAGCAACAACAAAACACCGCATTGTGAGACTTGTTTCGCACGGATTCTCTGATCTTGCTCCTCTCCTTCGTTTCACCCAGCCTGTGTGTACTCAGCATCTGTACCTGAGCAGTGAGAATGAAATCAGAGAAGATGAGCCGTAGCCCTGAATAGGCTGTTTGAATTAGTTCCAAGGCAGGGGTAATTGTCTAACTCTTCCCTTTGCTCAGCCTGTGTAAACACAGATATAAATGATTGATCAAAGACAGAATAGCCCCATAATGATCAAAAGAAAATTAGTGGAGGCTCAAAGAAAGTGTATTGTCTCAAGATTGAATACTAAAGGGCTTGAAGCCCCAACCCAAGCTTTACTTTCCCTTCTACTACTTGCAAGGGGTTCACCACCTGCTTAGCTAAAAAATAGAGTTTTTTAAAAAGTTCAAGTTTAATGACATTCTAAAACTCTGTCATTTAATTGCCTGCCACATGATAAAAAGTAATATAAACAGTCATTTAACTTCTTTAAGCCTCAGTTTTCTTATCCTCAAAGTTGGAAAAAAAATCTCATAGATTTATACTGATGATTAAAGGATAGGCGGTATATTAAAATGCTTTCATAATGTCCTATTCACCATAAGTGTCCCAAAGACAAGTTTGATGGTAACATAAATGAATCAATAAATGAATGAGTGATTATACACATAGCTAGAGTGACATAGTGACTTCCGTGCATGGACAGCATAAGCCTGCACTACCGTTTATCTTTATGGTATTTATCACTATCTGATAGTACATGATATACTTCTTTATTTATATGCGGTCTGCATCCCCATCGCCATATAAATGCACGGAGCAGCAAATTTGTCTTATTCAATGTAATATTCCCGGTGATCAGAACAAAGCTTAGCACATAATAGGCATTCAGTCAATATGTATTTGATAAATGAATGAATGACATATTCAGGATTTGAACTGAAATCTGCCTGACTCCAAAGGTGTTATCTTTAAACACTAACTGTTCACAAATAAATAGACTGCAAATCATAGAGGCAGATTCCACTCAACATCACTTCGGTCTTACATAGTTTTGGTAGATGGAATAATGTCCCTCACTTCCAAGAACCTGTGAATGCATTACTTTACATGGCAAAAGGGATTTTTGCAGATGCAATTAAATGAAAGACCTTGTGATGGAAAGATTATGCTGGACTATTCCACGAGTCCCATTTATTCACAAGGGTTCTTAAGAGCATCCTGGAACATTTCCAGGCTGTGGTCAAGAAAGTGATGTGACACCTGAAGCGGGGCCCAAGAGATACTATAATATTGGCTTTGGATATGAGAGAAGAGGCCAGGAGCCAGGGAATGCAGGTGGCCTTTAGAAGCTGAAAAGACAAGGAAATGGATCTTCTCCTAGAGTCCCAGAAACACACACCATCCTACCGACACCCTGATTTTAGCCCATGGAGACCCGAGTTAGATTTCTGTGCTATAAAACTGTAAGAGAAAACATTTATGTTGTTTTAAACCACTCAGGTTGTGTTGATTTGTGACAGCGATGATAGAAAACTAATATAATGGTACAGAGAGAACTATCAGTTTGAAGAAGTCCATTATTTATTTGCTATAAGAATACGATTTCAGGCTGGGCGCAGTGGCTCACGCCTGTAATCCCAGCACTTTGGGAGGCCGAGGCGGGCGGATCACGAGGTCAGGAGATCGAGACCATCCCGGCTAACACGGTGAAACCTCGTCTCTACTAAAAATACAAAAAATTAGCCGGGCGTAGTGGCGGGCGCCTGTAGTCCCAGCTACTTGGGAGGCTGAGGCAGGAGAATGGCGTGAACCCAGGAGTCGGAGCTTGCAGTGAGCCGAGATCGCGCCACTGCACTCCAGCCTGGGCTACAGCGAGACTCCGTCTCAAAAAAAAAAAAAAAAAAAAAAAAAAAAAGATTTCAGACATTATAAGAAACTAGCTAAACTAGCTCACATTTTAAAAACTAATTAAATTCAATACACTACAGAACCTTCTAAACATCCTTCTAAACTTCATGTCAAAATTAGACAATTTGAAACTTGGAACCAATTGTAAACATTTCTCCCTTTCTACATGTGCTTATACGAAAATCTTGAAACTTCTGTGGATATTTTTTTGCCCCAGAACCATGGATTGGCTTCTGCACACTATTCATCTCTACAGCCAAAACCTTCCTCTGCTATGTTTTCCATGCTGCCTTCCATAATAAGAAAAAAAAAAAAAAGAAAGAAAAGAAAAACACAGTCCACGCTGCCATCATTTCCTACCATATTCATGTCTTTCCCACACACTTATTGCTGCAGCCTTTCTAGGAAGAGGCCCTGATGTTGACTTTATCAGCAGCCCTCGACTCAATGGTCTCCCCCACAGAACCATCAGGCACGCCTGGCCAGGACGCTAAGGCTCCATGTGCCCACGGCTCCCAAGCAATGGACATTGCCGCAAAAAATTAACGTGCATCTGTTCATCACTGCAGACGGCAGAGAGAGTGGGCTGTAATTTTAGCTTCTATCCCCCAAATAATGTTTGTTGTCGTGCTGTAATCTTGGCAATCAGCGTAACAGATGAACATATCGTTTCATCCGAAATATTTGCTAAACATGATAGGACCTTGAAAACCACACCTCAGTGTGTGTGCGTGTGTGTGTGTTAGAAGAGAAACCACGTGTATTGGGTAGAATTAAAAACTGAACCATGTAAAACCTAACTAAATAAGGTAAAATGAGGAGGTTTGCAAATTCATTGAATTAGATGCATGTCTCTTATTATACATTTCTCTGGAACTTAGTATTTTCTTAACCTTAAAAATGAGGCTTTCAGACAGGTCCAGAAAAGCCATGTATCTACTTTTCCTTTTGTAAAATATGAAAATTTAAAGCATGTGCACTTTTTAAAGTGGAATCTAATGACAATAAAATTTAATTGGACATATTATTCTTGTGATATTACATTAACTTGAGTGCCGCAAACTCATTTGCTTATAAAATCGCCTTGACCACTGAGAGGACTCTTTATTTCTGGGGTGGAAATGCTGGTCTATATGTTGAATTGACACTTAGGAAAACCACTACTAGCACTAAACTAGAAAATCTCTTTCTTTCCAAAGTCACCTCAAGATGAAATTCACATTTGAGGCCATTGCTAGAATAAGCACATTAAAACCATTTCAGGCTGGGTGTGGTGGCTCACGCCTATAATCCCAGCACTTTGGAAGGCCAAAGCGGGTGGATTACTTGAGGTCAAGAGTTTAAGACCAGCCTGGTCAACATGGTGAATCCCTGTCTCTACTAAAAATACAAAATTAGCCCGGCATAGTGGCACGTGCTTGTAGTTCCAGCTACTTGGGAGGCTGAGGCACAAGAATTGCTTGAACCCAGGAGGCAGAAGTTGCAGTGAGCCAAGATCATGCCACCACACTCCAGCCTGGGAGACAAGAGCAAAACTCCATCCCAGGGAAAAAAAAGAATTCATGTCCCTCTTCACCTTGCTCTATATTATATATAGCCACAAAATCAATACCTTCATCATCAGTGAACTAATTCGACAAATGTTGTGAGTTTCTGCTCTGTGGTGGGTACTACTCAAGGTTTTGGGGTGCAGCAGCAAGAACAACACATTTGAGATTTCTTGCCTCTGTTGAGCCCTCATTGAATAGGCAAGACAAATGAGCAAAGTCATCTCATCTCCAGATAGTAAGAAATGCTAAATGAGAAAAAATTAGTAGGAGAGTAAGGAGGCCTGGTAGGAATTATAGGCAGACAGTGAAAATGTGAGTATCTGGAGAGGAGCATTCCAGGAAGAGGAGACCAGAGTCAGGCTTGTAAGGCCAGGGCACATTCTGTATGCTCAGATAGGAACAAGACTGAGGTGGTTGAAGCAGAAGGGGAGGAGGATGGTAAGAGGTAAAGTCGGAGAAGCAACAAGAATATTCTCAACCATACAAAGAACCAAGCAGGAACAATCTAGATATTCACAGAAAGAATGTAGGCACCAGCCCCTTTTTATTCTGTTCCCAGGCTAATAAAATAGGAATTAGAACCAAATACCACATGTCCTCACTCATAAGTGGGAGTTGAAGAATGAGAACACATGGACACAGGGAGGGGAACATCACACAGTGGGGCGTGTCAGGGGAGGGAGAGCATTAGGACAAATACCTAATGCATGCGGGGCTTAAAACCCGGATGATGGGTTGATGGGTGCAGCAAACCACCATGGCACATGTATACCTATGTAACAAACCTGCACATTCTGCACATGTATTCCAGAACTTAAAGTAAAATAAAATAATAACATAAAATAGGAATTAGAAACTATGTTTATGACTCTTAACCCCTGGTCTTAAACATCTAGCTTTTTGGTTTTGTTTGTGTTAATATGTATGGATATAAGTATCTGCATGCATGTTATATATGCGGGGATATTCAGCACTAGTGAAATATGATGCATTAAAGAAATTATGACTTCATCGCTAAGCCCCACGTAAATATATTTTCAGTGTTTAATGGCTATTTTTCCCAAACTCAGTTTCATGATTACATTTCACTGAAGCTAACATGTAACTGTTAGGCTAGGCACAGTGGCTCACACCTGTAATCCCAGCACTTTGGGAGGCCAAGGTGGGCAGATCACCTAAAGTCAGGAGCTTGAGAGCAGCCTGGCCAACATGGTGAAACCCCATCTCTACTAAAAATACAAAAATTAGCTGGGCGTGGTGGCGAATGCCTGTAGTCCCAGCTACTCAAGAGGCTGAGGCCCAAGAATCACCTGAACCCAGAGGCGGAGGTTGCAGTGAGCCAAGATCACACTGCTGCACTCCAGCCTGGGTGACAGAGCGAGATGCTATGTCAAAAAATAAAAAATACATAAAGTAAAATAAAATGTAATTGTTTACAGACTATACCATCATTATTCTACGATCCTCTAAGAAAGAAAAAAATACTTCTGGTTAACCTGAAACATGCTATCAAACACATATTAGAATATCAGGAATGTTTCAAAATTTGAAAACTTATCTATCACAGAATAAATAAAATCCAGGGCATTTATCCCCTCTCCTGATGCATAAAATGCACAAACTTCGACTTATTTTGAAACACTGGTTTGTGCAAACTTACAAGTTAACTTTCATTCAAAGCAAAACATTGTCTTTTATTTCCTTTTCCTTGGGCCCACTTGCTGAGAGGCAAGATGCTTTTATTCCTGCTTTTATTAGCAGAAGTTGTTGTCGTAGTAGTCGCAACGGAGTTAGAAGTGAGTATCATAGTGATAGTATTTGTCATATGTTTATGGAGTATTTACTGTGTATGCTGTTGTATCTCTGCCTATTGGCTCTGCCTGACCTCGCTCCACCATGTAAACTTAAAACCAGATGAGATAATTCAGCAACAAACAGCATGTCAAGTAGCTTCTAGCTTATTAGCAGAACCTCCAGATTCAGTTTCTTAAATTTTTCTCATGTGGCCTATACCTAAGTGTACCACCAGTGGTAGCGTGTTAGCCTCAAATTGTAAGCTCATGGTGATAGACAGTTCTACAAAGCTTTTTGCTGTAACGGTAAATACTGTTCATTGCTTGCCTATTATTAGGCCCACATCGAAGCGCTTCATGAGCATTTATGCCTCAGAACTACACTAGGAGGTAGATCGAATGATTATGATTTCCAGATCACAGAGAGGAAACTAAAGCACAGAGAGGTTGGGTTACTTGCCAACGACAAAAACCCAGGGAAACAACCTGCCTCTGTGATGTCCCACTGGCATTGTGGCCAGCACTTCTGCACTCTCCATCACACGCTTTGTGCTGGCTCTTTTAGGACAATCAGGTTGTTGATCAGAACATACACACGTCTGGGTTAGCAAAGATTATTTGCTTGGCTAAATGTTATTTAGGCTCCTAGACCCTCTCCTTCATCAGTCTGTGCACTTCCTTGTAAAACACAGCTGCAGAAAAGAACCCTGCAAAGTCAGTTTACGAAGAACTCCTCACGCTCTATACCTCATCATCCTGGATATCTGATTAGGCTCCACCTCCTCCACCATCCCCCAGATGACGTTTGGTCCCCCTGGCCTGTCTTCAGCAAGAATCTCGTTTGGTCTGTTTAGTTAGAATCGCCATGACCCCTGCTGTTTCCTCTTAGTAACTTTCCATCCACTGACCCCCCACCCTGTTCCTGGGCTATAAATTCCCATTTGCCAGGATATATTTGGAATTGAGCCAGTTCTACCCTAGACCTTTTTCCCTATTGTGAGAGTCCTTCATAAAATCTGTTTTTACCCCATTAACTACTATCCAGCTATGGTTTTTCTTTGACGATATCTGCTAGTTCACCCTGTCGCATTTAGTGCAGTAATGAGCACGCTACAGCGGTTACTGGCTCCATTCTCTATGCCTAAAAATTCATGAGGGGCTGGGAGCAGTGGTTCACGCCTGTAATCTCAGCACTTTGGGAGACCAAGGTGGGCAGATTACTTGAGGTCAGGAGTTTGAGAGCAGCCTGGCCAACATGGTGAAACCCCATCTCTACTAAAAATACAAAAATTAGCCACGGGCACCTGTAATCCCAGCTACTCGGGAGGCTGAGGCAGGAACATTTCTTGAACCCAGGAGACAGAGGTTGCAGTGAGCCGAGATCACACCACTGCACTCCAGCCTGGGTGACAGAGGGTGACTCTGTCTCAAAAAATAAAAATAAAATAAAATAAATCATGAGGCCACGCAGCTAATATTGATGTCGATATTCACACTTGTTTTGCTTGCAACCTCAGTGATTTTACTGGTCTAAGATGATAAGATTTTTAAATTTCATTTTCACCTAGGATACCAATCAGAAAGAGTCTGTTCTTTTGGTGTCTTTTAAAAAATATTCATGACACATCATGTTGGCAAGTCAAGACATTGAAGCAGCCCAGTCAAGTTGTGCACCCAGGTGAGATGGAAAATGTGAATGAAAAATCAGAGCATCTTTTCTCCCCAGTACTGCCTCTGAACTGACCACACACAGCATAGTTCACAGGCCACCCAGCTGTCCCTTAAGTCTCCCTTATGAGACAGTAAGAGTCTTCTTCCGAGGTCCCGACAGGCTCAAATTCTTTGTTCAAATTCTTTTCTCAGAATGGTTTGGGATTTGTTGCGCTTAGTGGCAACGCTTCTGTGATCTTCCAGAAAGGAAGAATACCCATAAATTAAAACACCACCAGCATCAATTCCAACACTTCTGGATCCTCTAATCACCTAGGCAAAACATAAAAAATAAAAACCTTGTTTTGCTTTCTCTCCTCTCGGCCCTCGTCTGCCACATCTTCAATGGCTGTAAGTCCGAGCCTGTCTAAGCCTTAACTGGCTGAGTGTTAACTCATCCAGTGAGTTCAAAAGAGACGGACACAGCAAGGCACACAGAGATGCCAGTGTCACAGTGGAACCAGTCTAGGAGAGCTCAGGCTTACAGCTGGCAGCTCCTGAGGTCGCCCTGGAGGAAACACTGAAACAAAATGACCCTGTGGCTCCTGGCTACTGACAAGTCTTTGGCCTAATTTATTTGAGTAGTTCAGAAAAAACAGAATTTTTTGGAATTTCCAAGGCATATGCATCAGGTTGGTGTGGGACCACACTCTTAAACCTTCAAAGTTTTCCAGGAAATGCATTGTAGAAACTGGATCTGACTCTGCTTCGTCCTTGATGTTGATGGATGCCAGTGGTGAAGCAATGTCTGTCCTTGTCACTAAGCAATGCATTCCTCTCCAGTAGTGTTCTCATTTCACCCGTTATTTTAGATGTCTTTGAAACTATACAAATTTTATTTTCCCTAATATGTACTGAAACTCATTGACTGACACACTTAATTTTTCTAATCTGATCAATATTTGGTTAATTGAATGAATAGACAATCTGTTTAAAGACAGAATTTGTACTATTTCCTTCATTGTCTATTCTTCCTCCTTACCCATCGCCCCTCCTATTCAATAATAGTTATTTTTTCTGGATCCCATGGAACTCAAGTCAGGCTGATGAAACTGGTTTTGGGTCCTAAATTTGCCACTTATCCTGCGTGAGGCCTTTCAGAAGTTTTCTCCTCTAAGTATCTATTCCTCACACATAAAATAAGAGTAGTAACCTACCTAACTCAGAGGTTCTTGTTGTAATTAAATGAGAAAATTAAATGAAGCAAGTATCAGAGTGCTCAAAACAGCATAAACATCTAATAAGTGTTAGCTCTTATCACCACCTCCCCTTTCATAAATTTAAAAGAAAGCTAATGAATTTTTGCCAATCCTGGAAAGCTATCATCCTTTTAAAGTATGCATTTTATAATTTAAAATAAAAACTCTTAAAATTATGCTCTTCTCTGGAAACATCCCAATCAACCAACTTTGCCAATGTATAAATAAACAGTATGGGTCACCCCACAATTTAGAATTGGATGGTTTTCCTGGGTCTGTGCTGTCTCTCCTTTTTCCCATACCAACATCTCTGCTGGATGTAAAGTCCATGAAGGAAATTGTTTTATGGGCCCGCAAGTCTGCTCAATACGCAGAACACAATAACGGCAGCACCCAGCTGGCTGAGGGCTGAGGATGTGGTCTTATCAGCCGTGGAGTTTGGCTAAGGCAGAAAACAGAGAGCCATTCTCCTTCAATAAACAGGAGACAGCTGGAGTCCCCCAGCTCCTCTTCTTAAGGAGACTTTAACAACCCCTCAGCCATGTCTTCATGTACGGATAGGGCATGTATCTGAAGACTGGTGACCAGAACTTGGGGGAAGGTGGGGGGACAATAAAACATGCCGTATTTGGTAGAAATTAAGATAAGGAAATACTTTTTTTAAAAAAAACAAAACCCATAATGTATTCCTTTTCTACTCATTTCCTAGTTACTCTCCAGCTTCTGGAATGAAGGTGCAGTGCTGGACAGAGTAAGATTCTGCAAGCTCCTGCTGCCATCAGAAGCTCCGTAAGTACCGCATTTACTGAGAGAGGGCAGCTTCAAAGGTTTCATTTCCACTTAGAGTCTAAGCAGCTCTACAAAAGAGCATTGATTTTGGTTAAATTGATTTCATTCATAGTTGGTTTGGATGGTGTATTCAAAAGATAGATCGTATCAGACTGCCAGTGTACAGGAGTCTGGGGGGACAGACCTCCTCTTGTGTGTGCACATGTGGGCCTAAATATTTCCTCTTCTCACAGGTGGGTGGGATTTCGCCTTTGAGGGGCCTGAAAAGACATTTTCACAGGATGGGCCACTCTGGACAGGCATGTTACACTGCAATTTGGGTTATGTCAAAAGCATAAAATCAGGCTTTTCAATATTGCTTCTAACTGCCTGTGCAGCAAATACCCATTTGTCTTATTACTTCATATTAATGCACATTAGCTATTGACCCTACTTTAGTTGAAATATATAATAACAGACAGATGTGCCAAGTGCCAACCGGTTATTAGAAACTCGAGTTTGATTCCGTGGGTTCCAGGTGGTGGCTGCCATGGAAAATACCTGCGTGACTATTTCAAACATACGAGTAGGCATGAGTGTTCATGATCACTGTATTTGACTGCAAACCTCAAGCAGGATGGCATTTGAAAAGCATATAATATCCGAAACCATAGTATCGAACAGCAGAAGTCTTCTGCTGAAAAATATTCAAGATTACACATGTGGGAACACGCAACACATGCGGTTTCATATTAACAAATGCCATCAACTTTCAATTATTCATTCAAATGAAAGGCAGCTGCTAGTTTAAAAAAATAAAAAATACAGATACAAGATTTCAAACTCATTTAAAGATGGCTGATGGCCATAGGCTGCAACCTATGGTCTTTCTTACTCAGCATTTGAATCTACTTATCTATGCTCTGTTCTGATCAATATTAAAATTGGTTTCATTCTCTAAGCAGCCACTGACTGATGGTAATTGGGCAGAGATGAATTAAAGGTAGGTGTCTGGAGACCTCAGTGTGAGATTAAAAACATATCATGGTTGGATTATACAGATATACATGCACATCCCGCACACAAACACATAATACATATGTTTTAATGCCATTTTTCAGAAGTATTCTTTTCAACTGGGATATGCAAACAAATCGTCTGGCGATCTTTTTCAAACACAAATGCTTAGGTCCCACCATCCAAATAAGTTGAATTAACAAGACTGGGGTGGGCCCCAGCCAATGGATTTTTAATAAGTTAAACCCATGCCAGTTGATTCTGAGCACTGCTTCAACTACTGCATTAAAGATCAGAACAACCACAAAAAAAAAGACTGGGTTTTAGGCACTTGAGGAAGAGCCTTCAGCCTTCCCCAAGACATATAAATGCTACCACCAATGACCCAATTGTTAAAACTGACAATATAGGAGTATCCCTTGATTACACATTTTCGCATCCAATCCGCCACCCAAGGCCCTGGTTCTATCTCCAAAACCCTTCTCAATATGTCCAGTTTTTAGTTCAAGCTGTCATCTCCCCACCTACCCTGCTGCTTTTTTCCTGGAAATTAGCATGGTGCCAGACACATGATATCTGCCCGACAAATATTAGTTGAAAGAATGAACAAACAACTGAGCAATTAGGAATTGTGTATTTTTCAACATCTACTTGCACAAGACCTGGTATATACAAAATTGAGTTAATACTAACAGACATTAAATTGAAAAGAATGCTGTTAATATATCTAAGTGTAGGGTACAGGACACGAGTCAGACTGAATCTCAGGGAGAAGAAACAGCCCACCAGCACGTTGACCACCACTAGTACTCAGGGATCTGGATACCTGTGGTCCAAGCTCATGCCATCTCCTGTTTCACTCCTACCCACAGTGGACAAGCTGGGGGAAGGCATGTGCCAGAGCAAAACCAGCTTCACAGTCCACATGAGGGTATCTGGTGGCAAAACATCAATTATCACCTCCTCATCTGAGAAGCAGAAGATTGGATTTCTGGAGAGTCTCCACAGCCCACTTGTGTTCTGTTCAATTCTAATGCTTATGTAAAACACCCTCACATAGGACAAAGGTGATGAAATCACTGCTTGGAATGAAACAAATCTGAATGTAAATGGAAAAATAATATGGTTAGAACTGAAGAGTCAGACACTATATAAATAGGCTTTGCAAATTAACAAGCACCCGAAAGGCACCCAGAGAAAAGCAGCTGTCCTGACCACCAAGGAAGGAAATGCTTCAGCACTGAGGACAGTTCTTGTGGGTCATGCTATTGGTGGTGTTCAGTCCGTGCCCAGAGTTCAGAAGCTGGAGCTAAAGGCAACTGACAGAACTGACCCATCTCCAAGTGGGCTGAGGCATCCACTAGGCCACCAGGCAGGAGAAGTGAATATCACAGTCCAGGTATCGCAGAGTATTGTAGGCTTGAGATGCATAAAGAGATTCTGGGAGAAAACAAAGGAGGGGACAAAATAAAGAACGGAGTGGCCACTAAGGGGCCATCCTGGTAAGGTGGGGCATGCTCCCACATCCCAGTTTCCCCCAAACTTCATTTATGCCCTCTCCGTGCTCCCAACAGGGACACAAATTAAGGCAAGTTGGCTTGGTCTCTCCAATTCAGTTAAAATGTTTATTGTTTGTTGTCCAGGATTCTAAATCACTCAGAAGGGAGGTTATTTGTTCTCTCAAGTTCTCCATTACCCCTGTGGGGGCTTGGGAGAGAGCTTTGAACTGAGAAAAAGCCCTGGCAGTAATTAAATACAAAAGGCCTCCCTGTGCCTCCCCACATTCGGAGTTGGCAGCCGGCTCCAGCCAAGCAGAAGGGGGAAGATTTGATTTTAATCACACTGATTTCATATTTTATTTTGCTCATTAAAATTCCTGATAAGGATTTTCTTCAGCATTCTGTGGTTCTCCCTGAATATTTGAAGAGGGTCTTTTAGAATATTTTCTCTTTTCATGGCAAATGTTGTCTGATCCCTGCCTGCTCCATGGTCTGAAAAGATTGTCTCCACCTTGCTCAAATCCAAGATGTGAGAAGTTTCTGAGAGAAAGAGAAAAAAAAATTTTCGGGATGGCATGCCACCACTCTGTAATTACAGCCATGCTGCCTCTGCTCAGCCCAAGTGAAAAAATCAATTATCTAAGAATGCAGGCCTGGAATCAAGATGAAGAAAAACTTTGCTCTCTGAAGTTGTCTAGAACGTCTAGGAAAAAACGGAATTCTGGGTCTGTATAAAACCATACTGCTGGGGAGGGAAGAAAATCCTTTTTAGAAGCAACTGCTAAGACGCCTACGGGCCTCTGTGCCCCAGGTGGGCTGTCTCTCTGAGGGCAGTGGGACCTCCGGCCTCAGTTACAGGGCAGCGGGGGCAGGCCTTGTTCCTCTGCTATGGGCAGGGCTAAATTGTCACCAATCAGGCACAAATTTGAAAGAGGCTGAGAATGTTTTATTCTTCAAAAGGACATCAATGCCAATACTTTCTTGCCCACAGAGAATCTAATTTTAGTGTAGAGATGTATAAATATATATTCATATGTGTGTGTGTAGATATATGTTCTATATATAGAATTAGAGCTATAGTATTATAGCTATACAGAATAGTATATAGTATTATAGATATATTCTATATATGTATATTCTACATATAGTATCATTATATACTCTCCATCTGTACCTCTCTGCATCCTTGAATCTCTTTGACTGCATCTATGATGAGGATTTGCAAGTACCACGTTCTATATTCTGGGTTCTCTGGATGAAGCCTGTCCTCCTGGAGAGGGGAGGGGAGACGAAGGTCTTGGCCTCAGTCCTTGGCAGTGGTGAAGGGCCCCGTGGGCTGAGCCACGTCACTAGACTCCCTTCCTAATGGAAGCTCTGGTATGAAAAGCCCAGTACATTCTCACTGTGCACTGCTTCAGACGTGCTGTATTCTGATAGCGAATGCGAGAAGTTCTGATTTGGCATAAATATGTATCAAAGCATTCTTTTTTGGCCTCTTCGTTTACCCATAAAATATTAGATTGCCGGATGGCATTATTTGGGGTGCTCATTCCCAGCCTCCCTTATGTGCTCAAACACCTACAAAATTACTCCAATTGTTGCTAGCTTGTTAACTTCAACTAGCAAGTGGAAACAATTTACCTTTTGTCATTTTACTCCAACAAAACTCTATTCCCACTGAAGTAATTTTAACGCCTATCAAAATGCAGAAACAACCAAAAAACAGAGAGATTATATATATATGTTTGTGCATATATGTGCTTGTATATGTAGACATATATATCCCACTTTTAGTAGATTAGAATATATATAAATTGTAATTCTATTAATAGGCAATAAATGATGATGACGTTTTAAGATGTCCTAAGAACCCATTATCAGGAAATCTGATCAAGTTACTCTAGGCAGGAGGGATGACTACTTGCCAAGATGAGCAGCCTGTTTTCTATGTTCAAAGTGCTCATATGGGAGAAAACTAGGAATTAGAGAATGAGAAAGACATGTCCTTAATCGACCTCTACAGAGCTCATCTGGGAAGAAAGTGGGTCCCTTCTTTCCTGCAATGCGGCCCTCTGTTCTGGACTCCACCTCAAGCATTTTGTCCTCTTCAGTCTTTTGTGTGCTAATGCTGTTTCCTAAAGAACAAACTCTTGTCCATCACAATAGAACGGAAGGCCTTGCTCTTGTCTGAAGCTGTGCACTCCCACTTCCTGCAATCTCTTTACTTAGCAGCAAATTTTCCTTCATTAAAATTAAGCCTCATTTCTTGCTCATCTTTTCCTGTTTTTCTCAGCAAAACTGAGTGCAATCCTGAACCTGTTTTTCTTGCTGCTTTATTTTCTTGTCAGTTCATAACTGAGTCCTCTTTCCCTCCAAAAACAATTGAGAGCTTTATTCCACCCGATTTTGCCTCTCCTTTGTGTGGGAAACAAGAAGAAGAGAAGATGAGGAGTGTGGGTGTGTGTATGTGGGGTGTGTGTATGTGTGTGGGGGTGTGGGTGTGTGTGGGGGTGTGGGTATGTATAAGTGTGTGGGGGGAGTGGGTGTGTGTATGTGTGTGTGGGGGTGGGGGTGTATGTGTTTGGGGGTGTGGGTATGTATAAGTGTGTGGAAACAGTGGGTGTGGATATGCATGTGTGTGGGTGCGTGTATGTGTGTGTATGTGTGTGTGGGGTGTGTGTGTATGTGTATGAGGGGGTGTGGGTGTGTGTATGTGTGGGAGTGTGGGTATGTGTAAGTGTGTGGGGGGAGTGGGTGTGGGTATATGTGTGTGTGGGGTGTCGGTGTGTGTATGTGGGTGTTGGGTTGTGGGTATATGTGTGTACAGAGTGTGGGTGGGTGTATGTGGGTGTTGGGGAGTGTGGGTGTATGTGTGTGGGTGGGGGTGGGGGTGTGAGTATGGGTGTGTATATTGTGTAGTGGGGTGTGGGTGTAGGGGGTATATAAGTGGGGGAGGTGTAGGTGAGGGTGTGTGGGGCAGTGAGTGTGTGGATGTGGATGTGGGGTGTGGGTGTGTGTACATTTGTGGGTGGGGGTTGTGGGTGTATGATTGTGTGTATATTGTGTAGTGACGTGTGGGTGTGGGGGGTGTATAAGTGAGGGAGGTGTGGGTGAGGGTGTGTGGGGCGGCGAGTGTGTGTGTGGGGCGTGGGTGGGGTGTGTGTATGAGGTGGGGTATGTGGTGGTGTGTGTATGTGGGTGAGGGGGTGTGGGTGTATGGGGAGGGTGTGTGTATGTGGGTGTGGGTGCGTGTATGTGTGTGTGGGGTGTGGGTGGGATGTGTGCACGAGATGGGGTATGTGGTGGTGTGTGTATGTGGGGGGAGGGTGTGGGTGTGTGGGGAGGGTGAGTGTGTGTATGTGGGTGTGGGTGTGTGTAGTGTGTGTGGGATGTGGGTGGGGTGTGTGTATGAGGGGGTATGTGGGTATGTGTGTATGTGGGCGGGGGATATGTGGTGTGTGAGTTGTTAGCAGGTGAGGGGTTAGGAAGTGTTTTTCCTAAATGTCCAGGATGTACTAGAAGGATCCATTTGTATATTTTGGCACCAGGTTTTTGTGCAGACTCTAGGATTACTGCTTGTGTTTCAGTGTATTTACGCTCATTGCAGAGATAGTGTGGCCTTATATATCCATCTGGAGTGTCAACTGCTCGAGGTAATTCTCTAGGGTCAGATTCCTAGACAGGGAGGTAACAGAAAAAAATCGTGGAATTAGCATTGGATTCTCTGAAACAGCAGATCTCAAGCTTCGATAAATCTGCCCCTCCTTAAGGCTATCTGCCCATCTCTTTAGTTTATGCTCATTTTCCCTTCTTCTCTCAATCAGGTTATCTACCTAACTTCTGTTTAAGGACCAACATAGATACATGGAATTCTATAGACCTAAACTTTCATAATTGCCAGATTCTCTGAGCAGCACTGAAGCCTCCACTTCCTTTGATAGGCAGAGACATAGAATGACTGTTCAATGTTCCCTGGTATGTTGGGGTTGCAGCAGAGTTCGGGGACCCTGGGTACAGCTACTACTCGGAGGCCAAGTAAAGGGGAGTCCACCTAAGCCTGGAATCATGTGCACCAGGGTTCTGATCAAACTGACAAGGTGCTCGCACTGTAAATATGAGTTTTGAGAAGACACTTGGAGGTATTCAGAGACAAAGCTGCAGAGAACACTATACGGGTTTGGTGGCTATTTTAGATATTCTTCAGTTTCCGTTTGACTTTCTTAACTCCTATGCTTACTAAAAACCTAGGCACTCATTAAAAGACGGCTAAAAACTGAAAACTAGCTAGGTGACCTTGGGCAAATTACTTCTATGCCTCATCTATAAAACAGAATAATGATATTATAAACCTTGTGGGTGTGTTTTAATTTTTTTTTTTTTTTTTTGAGATGAAGTCTTGCTCTGTCACCCAGGCTGGAGTGCAGTGACATGATCTCGGCTCACTGCAACCTCCGCCTTCCAAGGTCAAGCGATTCTCCTGCCTCAGCCTCCCAAGTAGCTGGGATTACAGGTGCCTGCCATCATGCCCAGCTGATTTTTGCATTTTTAGTAGAGATGGGGTTTTGCCATGTTGGCCAGCGTGGTCTCGAACTCCTGACCTCAGGTGATCCACCTGCCTCGGCCTCCCAATGGGCTGGGATTACAGGCATGAGCCACTGTGCCCAGCCTTAAAGATTAATTGATATAATCAGAGTAAAATGCATAGCACAATTCCTGGCATATAGTAATGCAATACTCAAAACCTCAGTTTTCATCATTATCATTAGAAAAGCATACAGCAGTTACCAAGTGCTGGGCACTTTACTAAATATTGAGGACACAAAGGCAAATAAGAAACGGCCCCTATCCTCGACTAGCTCACAATCTAAAAAATGTTTTGATGGGACATATCTCAAAATAATAAGAGCTATCTATGACAAACCCACAGCCAATATCATACTGAATGGGCAAAAACTGGAAGCATTCCCTTTGAAAACTGGCACAAGACAGGGATGCCCTCTCTCACCTCTCCTATTCAACATAGTGTCGGAAGTTCTGGCCAGGGCAATCAGGCAGGAGAAGGAAATAAAGGGTATTCAATTAGGAAAAGAGGAAGTCAAATTGTCCCTGTTTGCAGACGACATGATTGTATATCTAGAAAACCCCATCGTCTCAGCCCAAAATCGCCTCAAGCTGATAAGCAACTTCAGCAAAGTCTCAGGATACAAAATCAATGTACAAAAATCACAAGCATTCTTATACACCAATAACAGACAAACAGAGAGCCAAATCATGAGTGAACTCCCATTCACAATTGCTTCAAAGAGAATAAAATATCTAGGAATCCAACTTACAAGGGATGTGAAGGACCTCTTCAAGGAGAACTACAAACCACTGCTCAAGGAAATAAAAGAGGATACAAACAAATGGAAGAACATTCCACGCTCATGGGTAGGGAGAATCAATATCGTGAGAATGGCCATACTGCCCAAGGTAATTTATAGATTCAATGCCATCCCCATCAAGCTACCAATGACTATCTTCACAGAATTGGAAAAAACTACTTTAAAGTTCATATGGCACCAAAAAAGAGCCCACATTGCCAAGTCAATCCTAAGCCAAAAGAACAAAGCTGGAGGCATCACGCTACCTGACTTCAAACTATACTATGAGGCTACAGTAACCAAAACAGCATGGTACTGTTACCAAAACAGAGATATAGACCAATGGAACAGAACAGAGTCCTCAGAAATAATGCCGCATATCTACAACCATCTGATCTTTGACAAACCTGACAAAAACAAGCAATGAATGGGGAAAGGATTACCTATTTAATAAATGGTTCTGAGAAAACTGGCTAGCCATATGTAGAAAGCTGAAACTGGATCCCTTCCTTACACCTTATACAAAAATTAATTCAAGATGGATTAAAGACTTAAATGTTAGACCTAAAACCATAAAAAACCTAGAAGAAAACCTAGGCAATACCATTCAGGACATAGGCATGGGCAAGGACTTCATGTCTAAAACACCAAAAGCAATGGCAACAAAAGCTAAAATTGACAAATGAGATCTAATTAAACTAAAGAGCTTCTGCACAGCAAAAGAAACTACCATCAGAGTGAACAGGCAACCTACAGAATGGGAGAAAATTTTTGCAACCTACTCATCTGACAAAGGGCTAATATCCAGAATCTACAATGAACTCAAGTTTACAAGAAAAAAACAAACAACCCCATCAAAAAGTGGGCAAAGGATATGAACAGACACTTCTCAAAAGAAGACATTTATGCAGCCAAAACAACACATGAAAAAATGCTCATCATCACTGGCCATCAGAGAAATGCAAGTCAAAACCACAATGAGATACCATCTCACACCACTTAGAATGGTGATCATTAAAAAGTCAGGAAACAACAGGTGCTGGAGAGGATGTGGAGAAATAGGAACACTTTTACACTGTTGGTGGGACTGTAAACTAGTTCAACCAATGTGGAAGTCAGTGTGGCGATTCCTCAGGGATCTAGAACTAGAAATACCATTTGACCCAGCCATCCTATTACTGGGTGTATACCCAAAGGATTATAAATCATGCTGCTATAAAGACACATGCACACGTATGTTTATTGCAGCACTATTCACAATAGCAAAGACTTGGAACCAACCCAAATGTCCAACAACGATAGACTGGATTAAGAAAATGTGGCACATATACACCATGGAATACTATGCAGCCATAAAAAATGATGAGTTCATGTCCTTTGTAGGGACATGGATGAAGCTGGAAACCATCATTCTCAGCAAACTATTGCAGGGACAAAAAACCAAACACCAGATGTTCTCACTCATAGGTGGGAATTGAACAATGAGAACACATGGACACAGGAAGGGGAACATCACACACCAGGGACTGTTGTGGGGTGGGGGGAGGGCGGAAGGATAGCATAGGAGATATACCTAATGCTAAATGACGAGTTAATGGGTGCAGCACACCAACATGGCACATGTATACATATGTAACAAACCTGCACGTTGTGCACATGTACCCTAAAACTTAAAGTATAATAATAATAAAATTTAAAAAAATGTTCTCATTTGCACAATTAAGAGGGGTAAACTTATTTATATTTTCCTCCTTTGTTGTATGAGACAACCGAAGTTCAAAGAAGTTAATAAAATTGTTTAATAGTTACACAGCTAATAGTGGGCAAAGTCATGATTTGAACCCAAGTCCAAGTTATTACAAAGGGTGTCCCTCTATCTGCTTTCCAATACAATTGGTGTAGATAAAGTGAGGATCCAGGAGTAAAACTGGAAGAGAAAGGGATTTGGTCACTCATGAGCCTTTGTGTTGCTCTATTATTATAGAAAGTTCAAGAACGAGCAGGTGAGATGAAAGCAGCAGACCCTGCAAGGAGTGGCCCCGTAGAGTCAGAACTGAAACCAAACCCCACTTGCCTGCTGGCCTGGTAAGCTGGTAAGTTGCAAAAGGAGGAAGAATTGGCTGTGGGCTGTGACTTGACCCATGTCTTAGATCCTTACCAGTATGGGTGACAAGGACAGCTGACATCAATCATGCAATGTAGGCTCCCACCCCAGTCCTCTCTACTCTGGAGGAGTGTCGCCATTTCCACAGAGACCACAGGGGGATCAGAGCCACCGTGGCTTTAGTTACAGCCTTTACTTCTAACTGGAGTTTTCTTATTTCTTTCTCATTATTTTTAATTTTCAAGTACTAACAAAACAAAAACAAAAAACACTCTTTTTTAAAAAGTATCACTATTGTTTCTAAATGTTTAGTTTATGCTGTGGGTTTAGCCTTGTCTCTTAATCATTGGCTTTAAGACTTGTCAATTACATACTATTTTCTAACTCTTGACCTTTTACCTTTATTATAACTCAACCTCTATTATTTCAAAATTCTACTTTATTTCTATTTGAAATTTTAGCATTTGTAAAACATTAATCACATCTTATCCTTCTACCTTTCCATTATTGCACATAGGCCATCTTTCCTTTACTTATTTTCTAAATTTTTCCTGTATTTGATTTACATTTATAAAAACCTACAGAAAGTATGGCCATGGTGGCTACTTTTTCCATTAAAAAAATTTCTTTTTGCTTAGGATTGCCTTGGCTATTTGGGCTCTTTTTTGGTTCCATATAAATTTTAAAATATTTTTTTCTAGTTTTTGTGAAGAGTGTCATTCGTAGTTTGATAGGAGTAGCATAGAATCTGTAAATTGCTTTGGAAAGTATAGTCATTTGAACGATAATGATTCTTCCTATCCATGAGCATGGGATGATTTCCATCTGTGTCTTCTCTGATTTCTTTGAGCAAGGTTTTGTAATTCTCATTGTAGAGACCTATCATCTCCCTAGTTAGCCATATTTCTAGTTATTTTATTTTATGTGTGTGGCAATTGTGAATGAGATTGCCTTTCTGATTTGGCTCTCAGTTTGGTTGTTGGTGGTGTACAGGAATGCCAGTAATTTTTGCACATTGATTTTGTATCCTGCAACTTTGCTGATGTTTTTAACCAGCTGAAGGAGCTTCAGCTGGCTATGGGGTTTTCTAGCTAGAGAATGATGTCATCTGGAACAGAGATAGTTTGAGTTTCTCTCTTCCTATTTGGATGCCCTTTATTTCTTTCTCTTGCCTGAATGATTTGGCTAGCACTTCCCATACTATGTTGAATAGAAGTGGTGAGAGAATAGAAGTGGTGAGAGAGGGCATTCTTGTCTTGTAATGGTTTTCAAGGGCAATGCTTCCAGCTTTTGCCCATTCAGTAAAATGTTGGCTGTGGGTATGTCATAGATGGCTCTTATTATTTTGAGGTCTGTTTCTTTAATACCTACTTTATTGAAAGTTTTTAACATGAAGTTAAAAACTTTATGTTAAAATAAATGGGAAAAAGCCTTTTATGTATCTACTGAAATAGTCATGTGGTTTTTGTTTTTAGTTCTGTTTATCTGATGAATCACATTGATTAGTTTTCATATGTTGAACCAACCTTGCCTGCGGGGATGAAGTCTACTTGATCATGGTGGATTTGCTTTTTAATGTGTTGCTGGATTTGGTTTGCAAGTATTTTATTGAGAACAAAACTAAGGAATCATGTTACCCGACTTCAAACGATACTACAAGACTACAGTGACGCAAACAGCATGCTACTGGTACAAAAACAGGCACACAGACCAATGGAACAGAATAGAAAGCCCAGAAGTAAAGCAGCATATCCACAACTATCTAATCTTTTAGTAGTAGTAGTAGTACTAGTAGTAGTAGTAGTAGTAGTAGTATCTTGAGACAGAGTCTCGTTTTGTTACCCGGGTTGGAGTGCAATGGTGTGATCTCAGCACACTGCAACCTCTGCCTCCCAGGTTCAAGCGACTCTTCTGCCTCAGCCTCCCAAGCAGCTGGGATTACAGGCACCCACCACCATGCCCAGTACATTTTTGTATTTTTAGTAGAGACTGGGTTTCACCATGTTGCCCAGGCTGGTCTCAAACTCCTAACCTCAGGTGATCCATCCACCTTGGCCTCCCATAGTGCTGGGATTACAGGCATAACACAACCATCTGATTTTTAACAAAGCTGACAAAAACAAGCAATGGGAAAAAAAAAACTCCCTATTCAGTAAATGGTGCTAAGATAACTAGCTAGCCATATGCAGAAGATTGAAGCTGGACCGCTTCCTTACACGCTACACAAAAATCAACTCAAGATGAATTAAAGGCTTACATGTAAACCCAAAACTATAAAAACTCTGGAAGATAACTTAGGCAATGCCATCCTAGACAGGAATGAGCAAAGATTTCATGATAAAGACATCAAAGTCAATTGCAACAAAGCAAAAATTGACAAATGGGATCTAATTAAACTTAAGAGCTGCTGTGCAGCGAAAGAAACTATCAACAGAGTAAACAGAAAACCTACAGAAAGGGAGAACATATTTGCAAACTATGCATCTGATAAAGGTCTAGTATCCAGCATCTATAAGGAACTTAAACAAATTTACAAGAGAAAAACAAAAAACCCCATTGAAAAGTGGGCAAAGGACATGAACAGACACTTCTCAAAAGAAGACATATATGTGTCCAACAAGCATTTAAAAAAAAAGTTCAATATCACTGATCATTAGAGAAATGCAAATCAAAACCACAGTGAGATACTATTTCACACCAGTCAGAATGGCTGTTTATAATAAGTTAAAAAATAACAGATGCTGGTGAGGTTGTGGAGAAAAGGGAACCCTTACACACTGTTAGTGGGAATATAAATTAGTTCAACTGTTGTGGAAAGCAGTACAGTGATTCTTCAAAGACCTAAAAGCAGAACTACCATTCAACCCAGCAATCCCATTACTGGGTATATACCCAGAGGAATATAAAGCATTCTACAATAAAGACACATGCACACAAATATTCATTGCAGCACTCTTCAAACAGCAAAGACGTGGAATCAACCTAAATGCCCATCAATGACAGATACGGATAAAGAAAATGTGGTACATATACACCATGGAATATTATGCAGCAGTGAAAAAAAAGAACAAGATCATGTCTTTTGCAGGAACATGGATAAAGCTGGAGGCTATCATCCTTAGCAAACTAACTCAGGAACAGAAAATCAAATACAGCATGTTCTCACTTATAGTGAGAGCTAAATGATGAGAACTCATGAACAAAAAGAAGGAAACAGCAGACACTGGGGTCTACTTGATGGGGAGGGTGGGAGGAAGGAGAGGAAAAGAAAAGATAACTATTGGGTACTGAGCTTAACACCTGGGTGATGTAATAATATGTACAACAACCCCCATGACATGTGTTTATCTTTGTAACAAACCTTCACATGGACTTCCAAACCTAAAATGAAAGTTTTTTTAAAAGGAAAAAACACTTTAACCCATTGGCCTCTTTTCAGATGTTAGGGTCCAGAACAAGCAGACCGAGCCCTGCTCCCATAGAGTGTACCAGTGAGTGAGAGCCAAGAGCCCCATAATCAATGGACTTTGGTGAGGATTAACTTGCAATCTTCTGGATCTCCATGGGAGAGGGTTTGTAGAGGCCATTGGCCAGTCTGGGGCGGCCTTTGGGTAGGGCATGAGAGGGGCAACAGGAATAAGCCCATTGATGATGTGCTGTCTCTGCTCTTACCTACTGGTGCGCTCCATGGAAGCAGAGCTCAGTCTGTGGCTGGACCCTAAATCTGAAACACATTAAATGGATGCATGTTTCAACTTGAACTGTTGACATGTTGGGCTGGCTACTTTGCCGGGGGCTGTCCCATGCCTGTGTTTAGCCACAGCCCTGAACTTTGCTCTCTACATGTCATTAGCAACTCCCTTTCAGACATTGTAAAATGTCCCCTTGGCAACAAAATCACCTCTGGTTGAGAACCTCAGCTTTAATCCTTACAACCATCTTTCATGATGGGCAAGGCTGCCGTTCTTACTCTTCATTTTATAATAAAGGAAGCTCAGGCTGAAAGGCTGTGATTTCCCCAAAGTCATACAGAATGGCAGAATGGTCCAGGTGACTAGATTTCCTAACTCCAAATCCAGTTCTCATTTCAACACATGTCAGCACTTCGTACCTGACAAGTGGCCGGCAGATTGTCTTCAGAACAAGACAAGGCGGACTTCAATTTACAGTGTGGGCCCTGGACTGCGTCACCCCTGGAGGCTGCATCCATGAAGTCAGCGCCTCTCCTGGTGAGGCTGCTGCTGGTGTAGGCAAACTCGGTGGGCTATGATATTACATAGATTAAAGGAGGGAAAGCATCCTCAGCCTCCCTAAAATTGTTTTCAATGATGGCCTCTGGACTAGAGGATAAGTTGACTTTCAATCAGAAAAACAGTTAATTCAACACTGGAATCGCCTCCTCCAAGTCTTTGACATCATCCTCACTCTCATTCCAAATCTCCTTAAGACAGTGTGTCTTGGACAATTAACCGGGCGAGGATGCAGCAAAACTGACCCAGCTGTATGGATTAAGAGAGGAGGTGCAGGCTACTGGCAAGTGTAGCTCCCAAGAATCAAACTGATAACCCGTTGAGGTCCAAGCAGGAAGCTGGTTGTAGGAGTTGTTCACTGCAGGCTCAGGGTGTCCTACCAACCACAGAGAACAACAGTGATGGGAGTCCTGAAAGAAAGGAGTCTCCATCTAGGGGCTCTGTTTGCAAGTAGCAGGACACAGCCACATGTAGAGTCCAATTCCTGAAAGGAGGAACCAATAAAGCATGCCAGGATGCCTATCCCAGGATGAAACTAGAGGGCCAGGTTAGGAAATGGAATCAATATCATTAAAGAAGTGGACTTCAGAACAAAGGTGAGGGCTGTCTCATGGCCAAGGTACCCAATCAAAGTTATGTAAAAAAGTGAAGGCCGCATGATACAGAGCTCACAGCGTGCAGGACAAGAACTGGTAATACTAATCCCTTCTGTCTCAGAGCAGCGTTGGTCTTGGGATCTGGGGGATAAATGAAGGAGATCCACTAGGTATGAGACTCAGAGGCCAGGAGCCAAACAGGTTTTAGGAAAACACTTTAGCCTCTTTGGGTCTCACAGAATTATAGATTCCACTAATGGGAAAAAAAAAAGACAAACTCAAGTAGTAGGATCTAGTGGCTAAGAATTTGGAATCTAGGACCAGACAAATCTAGGTTAAAGTTTGTATATTGAATAAGTGTATTGCCATTGATATATAATGTCTCTAAGACATAGTAGCATTGCTTTTAAGATGGAAGTCAATATAGAATCCCTTTTATAGGATTGAGAAATTTAAATGAGACAAGAAATAGAAATGTCCCAGTGCCTGAAATACAATAGAAATTCATTCAGTGTTAGTTTAAAAGAAATCAATTTCCCCCAGCCTCAACTGAGCATTTCACTTGGAGTGAGAGGAATAAAAAGGATGGGCAGATTGCTGTTGCTATCAGAGGTTCTACTTTTAGTGAATGTCCTTGCTCTTAGCATCTCTCTTTCCTTACTTCCTTACACCCCCATTTGTTATGAAAAGAATGAGGACTTCTTCCTCCCCATTTTTGTGATACCCAGGGATTTTCTACAGATGGAAATATTTAACATTCTCCAGAAGCTCAAGGGCAGGCTTCAAGTTAGCACAGCTATACCTGGATTCTGATGTGGAGACAAATTGCTACTTCATTATAGAACCAGTGAGAAGCATCCAATTTTGAAGGCTGTTAAATTTGCAAGGGCAGCAAAGAACCAAATGAATATAAAATGCAGAATGGCCTCACACAGGCACAGCATCTTATCTTAGAGGCAAAAGAGAAGCGCGCAACCCCTCATGCCCTGGAAAGATGTTTTATGACAGTAAAAATAGTTGGGGTAAGTCTATGCTATTTAGATATGATAAGCAAGACATGAAATGTCAGTAATTCTGTTTCTTTTCCTAAGGCAAGAGATGCCAAGGAGTCAGCCACCATTTTGAGAGAATCTCTGAACACCTGTCACCTGTGCAGACCTCTCTGTAAAGCTTAGAGACAGAGACTCCCTTAGTCTCTAAATACTACCACCCACTGGCCCACTCACCTACAGTGCTGCTATTGATCAATATGCAGTCAACAGATGTCTGGTCTTGCAAGGCAGGAGGAACAATCGCCCAGTTGCCTGGGGAACCACGGACTTCCATGGAAGTCTCGCAGGATCCGCTGCAGGGCCAGTAACAACAGAGACTGCAAGCTCAGGTGGCCTCAGCTCTTGCCCCTTTTTGTGGATTTCTGAGCTATCTGGGGAAGTCAGCAACCACTTTAGTGCCTTTACCTGCTGCTGTGGGAAGAAGCCTTACATACTGTACAGTCAGTTGACTTCTGAGGAAGAGACTCCTCATATCTATCAATTCTCACTCCTTACCTCACCAGGGCACTTTTACAGCAGACTTCATCAAAACTTCCATGTAAAAATGGCCTCCAAATAGAACTCAAAGTAAGAATACCTGGGCTAGGTTTCAACTCAGGGTGAAATCTGGTGCACAGAAACCCTTAAAATTGCTATAGAATTTTGCAAACGTTGAGCTTAAATAAAAAGGAGATGATGTTACAGCAGTACAAGATGATATGAATATTACAGCTGAATTCTGAAATTGGGGGCTCACACACTGATCCCCACCACTCATTTCCAAGTGGTTTCTGTCTCCTGCTTGGGAGGGCTTTCAGCTCCCGTGCCCAGCCCTGCTACCTGTGGAAGCCACAGGGCCGTCCTGTGTTGGGCACAACACAAGAAACCCTGTGGCTCACAAAGCCTCTGACTCATCCGTTATGGGGGAAGGGGGCTTTGTTACATTCTCTGTTTTCCATCAGCTTAGCTCCTGTTTCTACAGAATCAAAAGATGACTGCCAGAGGAAAAGGAGTTTGTTTTCTTCCATTGAATGCAATTGTTTCAATGACAGCCTGTGAGTGCTGCAATCTTGCAGGCCTCAGACACTTAATTCATCTCAGAGGTGATATCAAAAACAGCACAGCAGGCACTTACCCGCCACTGGCTCTCTTGCTACAAAAGCAAGCACCTGTTTCATCATCCTGGGCCCTGGTGACTGACCCAGGTGGGCGATGCCATATTGACTGGGGCGGGGTGAAGGGATGTGCCACAGCTGTCTGGGATACCATGCTGCAGACGAAAGGGAATTAAGGTGGAGGGGGTGTGCTGGCCAGCTCTGAGGCTCTGCTGCCTTGTTCCTGAGCTTTAGCTTTGCCTTCCTCTCCTATAAAGAGGGCCAACAGCGAAACTGCCCACCACTGGCCCTTCCGGCCAGCCAATGTGCTGCAGACTACTCTGCACTGGACTTACCACAAAAAGGCTCAGAAGGCAACATTTGCCACTCTGTTAGGGCTGAAGTCTCTAGGGCGGGTTGAAATGATGGAGAGAAAGCTCAAAAAGGTGCCTCATTCTAGCCTGCCAAAGAGAAAATTGGAATTTCCCCAACCATCCCTATAATCTTTGGTTTGATAGAGATAGCTCTGGAAAGGAGTGTGTCTGCTAGGGAAAAGCTTTGCCCACGCACCAGGAACTGGCCTGGCCAGCAGTGTGAGGAATCCTGTGTATCCTCCACATGTGAGACTTAAAGCTGGGAAGAGATGTTCAAAGAGCTGGCTTTTCTCAAGACAGGGGTTGCTAATTTCTTTCTCAAATAAATCTGAGATTCTTCCCATCATCCCTGTTCCTGTTGTCCCTGCCCAGGTGCAAGGACTGAGCGTGTCCAGCTGACAATGTTCCTATTGTCTCTCACCTGGTGAGACCCACCTGTCACACCAGCATCAGGATACATTTCAAAATACAACTTTTATCTCCTACTCCCGCATTAAGCTATTAATACAACTCTACTCGATTATCTGTTTATCTGTGATGTGCTTCCACTCTTATCAGCAAAATATGATTTTATTATTAATAAAAATGACTATTGAGTTCTTTAATATATGCTAGGCATTTCATTATAACTTTGCATTGTATTAATTCACACAATTCCCATAACAGCCTTCTGAATTAGGTGTTATTACCTTCTCCAATTTAAAGATGAAAAAGCTTGAGACTCAGAGGTTATGGAATTTGCCAAGGTCACACAGCTAGTGAGTGTGGGAGCCATGATTTGAAACCGGGGTTTGTTCCCATAGCCCATGCTCTTAGCCACTCACCTCTCCACGTGGCAGGGAGGGCTGCCCACTGTTTCCCCCAAACACAGTCTTTTCACTATAGCTTCCTCTGAGCCAAGGAAGCTTCCATTCTACCCAGGCCAGCCTCATCATGGTCTAGTAAAACAAACGATGCTCAGATTTACCCTTTCTTCCATCTGGCCTGCTCTGCCTTCCCCTTCTTTGAATCTTAGCCACTCCTCAAAAGCCGGCTGAAGTCCAGCCCGCTGCTCTGCAGTGGTCTCTAGAGGGCCAAGCCTACCCTTGTCTCCTGGACCTCATGGCACATAATCACACATCACTGTGTGCTGGGCTCCTGTTGTTCTAGGTCCATGACCTACCTTGTTATGAAAGACTATGAGTCATTTCAGAGAGACAAAAGTGTAATTTTATTTTGTAGCCCTCGTAGAATCTTGCCAATACTCAGAACATAACAAAAGCCCAATTGAATTAGATCAGCATAGTACATGGCTCCTGAGAACATCGCAACCCCCAAGTCTCACAAAAATCCTGTAAAAGAAAATGAACAAGTTGGCCATAGTCTCCTGTGCCTTTAGTGCCACACCACACTGACTCAAACCATGCATCTCTGCTTTCTGGAATCTTTGGTGCCCCATTTGTATCTAGAAAAAAAATGTTTCCTTTTCTAACTCTGAAGAATATGCAGCTGTGCCACTAAATGCTGCCTTTGTCTACATGGCAGTGAGAACTCTGTGGATTGCAGTAGGACATCACCTCTGACCCTGCTGCCCCTGGGCCTTGTCTGAAGGCACTGGTCTCTGAGTGTACAAGAAATAGAACCTTGGAATCAACTTCCAGGCTCCAAAGAGTGTCCTTTGACTCTCCGGGTAATCCGGCAGTATGCAGTGGAATGCTGACCAGTTGTGATTAGAAATGCACTTCCCAGTTTCAACACCAGCCTATTCATCTTAGAGTAGGTGTGGAATCGATGGCAAAGTGGTAGACTCAAAAGACTGTTCCACCTTGAATTCATCTACAGTCTTTCAAGCCTGTACTTTTCCCCACCTCCTCTTTTTATTAATAGCTGATCCCTATATAACTATTCTAGCCCACAAATTAACACCGTGTGTGTGTATAAAAGCTTGTATATTTCCCTCTACCTGTTCTTTATATTAATAGCTGATCTCTATATAACTACTCTAGCCCACAAATTAAGACTCTCTCTGTGTGTGTGTGTGTGTGTGTGTGTGTGTGTGTGTGTGTGTAAGAGCTTTTACATTTCCCTCTACCTCTTCTTTTTATTAATAGCCATTCTCGGTATAACTACTTTAGCCCGTGAATTAAGAATGTGTATGTGTGTGTGTGTGTGCTAGGTAGAGAGAGGCTTAAGTGTATGTATAAGAAAATGTATAATTCCTAAGCACCTGTTTCTGTGACGAAGGGGGAAAAATAATGAAATTAAAGGCTTTTGTAATTGCTGCTCCCTCTATCAAGAATAGTCTTCTCTGCAAGGGCCACATAGCTCCTGTTCTCCTTCTTGCCTGTCTCTGTTGAATACCAGTGTTAAAAAGATGCGACCCTGACACTTCCTGCAAATTAGCACTCCCATCACTGCCTATCCCCCTTCTTCTCTTCTTCTTCACAGCACAGATACCTGACACTAGGTGTGTATTTATTAACTCATAGCTCTGTCCTCATGCACACACCCAGCTGCGAGCTTCTTGTGGGACTCTGTCAATTCCATTCATTCCTGAATCCCCCATACCTAGAACCCTGCCTGCCTGTACATCATGGGTGCTCAATAAATAGTCAACCAAAAAATGTTAAGCATATGGGTGAATTCTAATGAACAAAAAATGAAAAAAGGTCTTGATCTAATTCCAGTTCAATATTAGCAAACTCTGGAACTTCAAAATAGGACTTAATTTCTGTGAGTCTCAGCCTTCTCATGTGTCAAATGAGGTGCCTCGACCAGATAGACAACTTATTCCTGGACATTTCTAAGTTTCCTTGAGTCGCCTTGACATGGACAAGTGATGCAGGAGCTCCTACCCTTTGACTGACTTTCAGGTGCCCTTGGGTGATGCTGTTTTCCCTCCACCCATGAAGTCAAGGTGAAAACACAATGCTCAGCTGAATACCCTACAGGAAGATTTGCCTGGGTGCATGCTTGTAGGCAATCCCAAAATGTTTCCTTTTGTTTTGCAGGAGGAAGAGAAATCAGTCTCCCTTAAAATGCTTTTGCAGCAGTTGGCCTGGCACAGTGGCTCACGCCTGTAATCCCAGCACTTTGGGAGGCCAAGGCAGGTGGATCACCTGAGGTCAGGAGTTCAAGACCACCCTGGCCAACATGGCAAAACCCCATCTCTACTAAAACTACAAAAATTAGCCGGGCTTAGTGGTGGCACCTGTAATCCCAGCTACTCGGGAGGCTGAGGCAGGAGAATAGCTTGAACTTGGGAGGTGGAGGTTGCAGTGAGCCGAGATCGCGCCATTGCACTCCAGCCTGGGCGAAAGAATAAGACTCCATTTTGGGGAAAAAAAAAAGCCTTTGCAGCATTACTCCTGTGAATCGGAACCAGGAATTAATAACATCGAGCCTGAAGGAACAGCACTCTTTCTTGAGTCCCACAGAGGAGGACTCGACAGAAGTTGTCTGAACTCTGTTTAGGGAGAAAGCAAAATGTGTTTCTAGGGGAGGCAGGAAGACAGCTTTGAGGCTTCCATGTGATATCTCCCGGCTAGGCATTAGCTTCCTCAGTCATCAGAACTAATCATGGCAGTTTTGCAGTGCTCCTTTCAACCATCCCTAGAGGCCTCCATCTTTCAGAGACTCCCAGGGGGAAGAGAACTAACACACTAGAAATAGCTGTGCTTTTGACGTAAAGCACACTAGCAAACAGGGCTAAGATGGATCACAATGCCAAGCATGACCATCACTCCATGAGCACAGGAAACACCGCGCCCCGCACTCATGGTTATGCAACGCAACAACTTGATAGAGTGCCGCTGTCTCTGTACTAGAAATCGAAGGCGATCTGCTCCTACCTGTACATAGAGCAGGGAAAATCACTTTCAACTCATTGAGAGGCTTCAACAGCAGAAAGATTGATCAAAGTGATGAGGAGCAAATCTCCCTGCCGCCTACTGATGCCAGACACATAAACAAGGCGGGCTGCAAGTCATCCCTCCAGAGGGACCCGTGCGGAGGTTGGGTGGAATATGTGTGACTAGTGAAGCGTGTGAAGAGGGAGGGCGAAGAGTGGCAGTCTACAGGCAGCGGACAGCTCCAGTCTCCTGCCCTGTGTTTGCAAAAACAGAAGACTCAGGTGGAGTCTCCTGCAGCTGAGCTGGCCCAGGCTCAGGACAATGCTGGCTTCCGAGAAGGCCGTTTGGGACATAGAGGGAGCAAGAACCTGGAGCTAAATTTGGTCTGGAGCAGACTCTCATGGTACCTTAGGCCTTCATGGAGACTTTGCTGAGAATTACTCATTTTGGAGACTCATGAGGAAGAGGTGATAGATTTCTTTTCTTTGGAAACAGGGTCTTGCTTTAACACCCACACTGCAGTGCAGTGGCACAATCATAGCTCGCTGCAACCTTTGAACATCTCCCTACATTTTTTAAATTTTTATAGAGATGGAGTTTCACCCAGGCTGGCCTTGACCTCCTAGCCTCAAACAATCCTCCCAGCTGGGCCTCCCAAATCACTGGGATTACAGGCATGAGCCACTGTGACACACCATGATGGATTTCTGAAAGCCACCATTACAAGAGAGTAACAAAGTCCAAGTTCTCTCCAGCAAGGTTCAGGATGGTCTTAAGAGAGAGAGAAGTGGCATGCTCATGGTGTAGTCACCCGCCCCTAATCACTCCGTGACTCGGGGGTTCTTTGTGTTGCCCATCCTCACAGGGCCTACGTCACTCTTTAACTATGGGGCTGACACTTGTCATCTTTCCATCTACCCATGTCACTCCCAAATCTCCCTCATTAGATAAAAAATTAATTTTGTTAATTAAAGCAATGGAAATCAATTAACCTTATCAGGCAACATGGCCTACTGAAACAGAGCCAAGCCTTATATTGCAATTTCCTTCTGCCTGAGATCAGAGATAGAACCACACAATTTGACTCTCAGAGGGGGCGTTTTCAACCCTGGGAGTGAGAGGGAACTTTTTTTCTCTAGGGTTAGAGAAGGTTCTAAACTATTCACAACCAGGTTATTTACTTCAACACAATGAGCATTAGAATTACATTTTACCAACATCTAAAGATTCCATTAATTTCTTTTCAGCTGTCTACCTAGCACTGTAATGGATTTAATACCAATCATGGATACTTAAAATAAAATTCAATCACTTTACAAATGGGAAAAAAGAGGCCTGACACAGGGTGGCTTGTGGGTTTCTCCCTTCTCTTCTCCTGTACCACATCTTCCCAAAATAGCCTAAAATTTTATCCCTTTTATAAATATCTCTGTACAATTTAAACACAGTCATTATTTTACTTTAAAAAAAGCGCTATAAATGCAAAGGCTGAAGTCTCCTCCGCAAAGTCCCTGCAGTTTTCTCAGTTTATTCTGAACTAATTGCCAGAGCAGCCTGTGATGAAATCCCTAATAGCCTTTATGATGAAAGATTAAACCCTGCGAGGAAACACATTGACAAGGTGCGCTGCAGACTCTCCACTCCCACCCACTTATGTGGTGTAGGGTGAGTGCCCTCTCCATTCGTCATAATCCATCGGGCAATCAGCGTGCTCCCTCCCTAACTTCCGGTTTAGTCACACTCACACAATAGCAGCCCTCACTCCTGCTAGAATAAGGGACACGATCTGGCCGCCCCAGGTGGTATTTCTCCAGCTGAGTCACTGTTGAATAAATGAACCCACTGACAGTCTCTCTGAGCTTAGCCCTGAGAGCCAATGCTGTCTTTGCGAAAAGGGTGCATTACCTACTGCTATAGTCCTGGCACGGCTTCCCTCCTTAACCTACTCTTGGCTACCTAATGTTCAGAATTACCTTTCTCTGACACACTGAACATTTTACCCCACTGCCCCTCTCCCAGCCAAATTGGACAAATCCTGTTGCGTTCTGACATTCAAGACACTCCTTCCCTCCCATCTTACGGCATCACACCCTTGCTTCCCCTGTGCATTACAAACTGCTGCTCACTCTTCTTCCTTCACATGTGGCATGCTGGCCATGGCTCCTGCACCAAAAACAACTCAAGGAGCCCCACCTCCTACTTCTCTCTTTTTGAGAACCCCCCACACTTCTATCTCTTGCTGTATCTAAATGTGACACTCTGCATTTCAAAAATTACAGAAAAATAGGGGTTTGCTTGTCATTTTCTTTAATGAAAGTATGAAAGAGAAGACCTAGCTAAAAGTAAAACCATAAAATGATGCCACCTCCATCATGACAACCCCTGCCTCAGCACCTGGAGACATGGTGTGTGTCCTCTTTCCCTGAAAATAATGTACCTTCCTGGGAATTGGGACACCTCTTAGGAGCTTGCAAAGAGACACAGTTAACAAGTGAGGAGGACTTGCTAGCCACGTCACATGCGGAGATTCCCTCAAACACATCAGTGATTACAGCCTTAGGCTCTTCCTTACCATCACCCTCTGCGTGACTTCCATTACCTCTCTTTAAAATCAATCCCGACCATCACATTGATCTCAAATCATATACACCAGCCCCCCTATATCAAGCACAGAGGCCTAAAGTAACACTCTCATTCCTGGAAACAGTAAAATATCAAGCAGTGCTGCCATCGCATCAAAGCCAGGTCTGTTTTAAAGAATTCAGGATTTCTTGATACAAAAAAATCTCAGGATAGGAAGAGATCTATGGGAAAGTATTCCCACTAGGTGTTCAAAGGGTAGAAACAAAAATTACTTTAAAAATGTGGCAGAGGCAGCAGCCAAATGTATTTAGAAAAACCTGGATTAAGCTAAATTAAATGAATTTACTTACTGCTTTTAATATGAATCATGCATCTCGAGGAATAAACACAATGTGTATATTTCCCAAACATATTTATCTTGCCACCCATCCTTTGTACTGAATAATCTTACGGCAGTAATGTTCCATGAAACACACTGCACTAGAATCATCTAGCCTAGTCTTTCATTAAATGCTAGATTCCTGTTCACAACATCACACTTGGGCTTCCCCTTGTTTGTCTTCACTGTCAGAGAACGTATTGCTTGTGCCATTTTCCTACCACAATGTTCTTTTTTTGCACTAAACCAAGATGTGCTGCTTTGTAACTTCCTTCTGGTACTTTTGGATTTGACTAGGGCCGTAGAGAGCAAATTTAATCGATCTTCAGATCCGTGAAGAAAGAGCTCTTCTGGTTCTTCTAGTGGTATCTTCTAGGCTCAAGCCCACCCAGGCCTTCATTAATTGCTCTGATGACATTTCACACTGTAACATTAGCCTGGTCCTTTCTGTCTGATACACTTCAATTCTCAATATTCCTCTTAAGGTGTGGTGGCTGCAATGAACACAGGCACTCTAGATTTCGTCTAATCAATAGAACCTAAAGCAGGACTATTACTTTCTTAGCTCTGGTCGCTAATACACCAATCAGAAGCCAGAAGATTTTACTAGAATAACCTAGAATTTTATCTGCATTAGTGTAGTTCTTCATCAAAGTTGAGGTTGTTTAGGTTTATCCAGATTGACAAGATTTTGTTATTTCTACAAAAATGATGACCTTAGTGTTAAGATCCTGATAATTTGGCATACACTCTTAATGAGAATTAGACTATGATTTAAATCCCCTTCACTATAATGGACTTTAGTTGTCAACGTTACCATTGTCCTGGGCAAGAGGTCGGAGTCCCTAATGGGAGTTAGCGAGTCTGGCTCAGATTCATTCCTCCTTCATCCCCAGGCAGTGCAGCATCCCTGAATGCCAAGCGGGATGCTCAAGTCAGCCAAATCCCTCCTGTCAAATAAGCTTCAGCATGTGAGAGGCAATTCCTGTTATTTTGCTGGGTAATTTTTGCTTTCAAAAGCAGAAGAGAGAACAGAGGCCAATATCGAGAGATGTGAATGCTACTAGGGGACTACAGAAGAATAGAAATGCAAATGCAAATTTTGAAATGTACCCTACTGAATAGTTCACTGAAAATATGAAGGCATATAGGAGGTAATGCAGTCACCAGGTGTCTGGTCTCTGCAGGACCACATCAGCTTTTAGAATAGCCAGCATAGATTAGACAGGCACTTGAAGCATATCCATTTTCAAGTAAGCTTTAAAGAAAATTCAAGACAAAATGGTGGCAGTGGAAAGAATGTGGAATTAGCCATCAGAAAACCTGGGTTCCAAGCCTCGTTTTACCACTTGTTTGATTAATTAATTTAACCTCTCTGAAAATTCATCTATATAATCAAACTTCTGGACTAGATGTTAGCTATGGGGTTTTCTGTGCATGTGTGTGTGTGTTTTGTTTTGTTTTGTTGTTTCTGTGTGAGTTTTTTGTTGTTTTGTTTTGATTTGATGCGGATCTTCTATAGTTCATTATAAAATTCCCTACTGAAGACTGACTTTCCTGACTCCCAATAGCCTTCAAAAAGGACAGTTTCACATTATCTTAAAAGGGTAATGAATGGTGTGCATAGTGTTTGAAATTGAGGGAGAGGATAAACAACTAAATTCCTGTATTATGTTAAGCACAAAGTTGCATTTTTATTTACTTTTTTGTTGGTGGTGCCAAAGAATGTATTGCTTATATCATTTTTCATTTGCTCTTCAAAACTTAGCCATAGGCTTGTGCCTTTGCTTCAGTTTTAAGCATCTTGTAAAGCACGTGTGGCCTGAGAGTGGCCTGTTGCTGCTACACCTCTCCAAGGTGTCTTCATGATGACTCTCCCTGGGAGCAGCCAGCACAAGTGCAGTTGTCCTCCCGGGAGCTGCAACTGGTTTGCCCTGACATGCGAGAATTAGAAAGATGGCCTTTTGGAGGTTATTAACATGATGGCATTGCCTTAGCCATCCCATAGAAAGATTGCAAGCCAGCAGGACTCCAAATTAAAATTATGTTCATTGGAAACCAACAGTAGGCTTGTAACAAAAGCAGCAAAACCATTAGAGATCACTCAAAGGCTCTTAGGGAAGTGTTTTTTTTCTCCTGTATCCAATATGGAATTTACTATCCACTGAGACAGGACAGAGTTTACAGATTTAGGTTGGCCTCTGAAATTAAGACTAAAGATGAAAACCAGGTGCTTCAAGAAGATGAAGATCCTGTCTGTATTTGGACATAGCAGCATGCTATTAATTTAATTTCTAAATAAGTGGAGGAATTTTCTTGACTCGGAAAGGAAAGCTCCTGCTGGCCAAATTCTCCTTCACCTGATGGAGCTAGAGTTGTGTATCATTCACTTCAGCAATAAATATACTTGGGGGTGAGATCAAGGATGAGACAAGAAAGAATGATCCTGAAATTGCCTGAATTTTATAATCCCAGTACATGCAGGCACCCATAAAAGATGATAGTGAGCTGAGAGGAAAGACAGAGGGGAATACTGAACAATAGTGTGGAGGATATGACAATCCATATCAAAAGCCAGATACATAAAGCTTGATGATATACCAAAAAATGCTACCCTGTTACATCTGACCCTTCAGCCAGTTGTATATGCATTCTATTAATCATTTGAAAAAAAGCTGTTCTTTCTCTGGGAGAGAGAAAGGGCTCAGGGCAGGAAAAGCAATAGAATTTGTCTTCTTTGATTACTCACTGTGACTAAAGTCTCTGTTATGAAATGTGTGTGCTCAATGACCATTCACTAAATGTTCCATGATTGTGATGAATAAGATCCACTGCAAACGAGAGCCATTGATTCACCAGAGCCCAGATGCCAATTGAATCTCATCTAGCATATCTCAGCTGTGAGCTGCTTGCGGGCAAGGACTGTGCCTAATTCATCTTTGAATCCCCCCAGCACCTAATGCAATGTCGTGCATCGAGCAGGTGCTGCGTAAATGTTTGATAGGGGAGATTGCTTTCCTGAATGAAGGGAGATGTTTGGTAACATAATCCATGTAGTAACTACAGGCAGACATTTAGAAAGGCTTACTCGGGTGCTGCCCAATCTGCAAGAGAGGAGCATACAGCCCCAGCCTCCCTCACTGATGCTGCTGAGAGAAGCCACTCACAAATAGAGGAGCAGGTAACTTCTGAAAGGCTGGGGGACTTTGGCACAAAGCTCTGAGACTTCGTGGCTTGCTGCAGCATTTAACAGGAATAACACTTCTTAGAAAATGCTATGCTAGAAGGTGATCTACGTGTACATCCAGATAAAGAAATTACAAATTCATTTAAGTTAGTATAAAGGCCGTGATACAAGAGAATGATAAGTCAAACCATGTCGAGGTGAGGTAGACCATGTGGGACAGACTTCATCGATATTTATACCGTAATTATGAAGCCCCTACCATGAGCAGTATGTAAAGATCAGGAAGACATGGCCTTGACATTTAAGGAATCTGCAGTCTGCTGGGAGAGGACCCTCACCACAGCTGAGACACAGGGGAGCAGAAGGATTCAGCGTGCAGGCCTGGGTGTGATCTAAGCTGTGTGTCATAGGGGTGCGGGGGCTTCGTCATGGGACCTGACTTTTCTGACTCCCTTTCTACAACCTAAAATCGCATTAATTGTATCTACTTCATACTGGCTGTATGTGGAGCCTTTAAGCAGTGCATGTGCATGGTAACCACTCAGTAACTCTGAGCTGTTATTTTTATGGGAGGATAACAGAACAAGGTCAAGACCAAGGGCATTCCCTGAGCCACACTTGGCTAAATATTTTACAGTTCTCTCTTGAGTATGGATTGGAAATGAAGACCATTCTCTCTGTACATTGTGCTATAAATATAATGATCTATACATTTATAGACTTAGCAATGCACAGTTTTGAGGGAGATGTTTAACTTTTTAAGTGCTAGTTGCTTAGATAGCATTGTGCTCATTCTCACCTCTTAATTTAATTCCTCAGGTATTGTGGGAAGTACCTGAACCAGGTAGTTCCATTTTAAAAACTGTAAATGGTATTGAGAAGTTTAGGTGAGCAGAAATCATCACAGGCTGCACTCAGCCGGGTCTATCCTGCATGGTGATACCCTATACTTCAAGTGGAGAGTGGGATCCGAGAAACAATAGGAATCCCTTCTTCTTCAGGGATATTGACCCATATCTCCATAATGTTTACAAAATCTGTTTAAGACACCTGAGCAACCATGAACACAGTGCCTTTCTTTCCTATAGACTTTGTTCTGTCTGTGGCCACATTCCCCACGGTGGATTTTCTTTCTGAAGATGAGGTGTGAGACAGGAAGAACACAGCTGTGCTTTCAGATCCCAGACGGAAATAGTGGGACATGCTAAACCATCAGAAAAAAAAATATTTTGACTTATGCACAGAGCATATTTTCTTTAGAAGCTATCAGGGAGAAAGAGCAATTTTTCTACATGAAATTCCATTTCTTCCCTGTACCCTGGCCTCCTTTTAAAAATCAACTTTTCATTGAAACACTAGTGGACTGGACACAGGTCAATGGTCTGTTCTGCTCAGCGTTGGAACAGATATGAAGCAGTGAATACCATCGCGGGCTGCAGAGGAGCCCACAGAGCCTTCCTGTCCTTTTAATTCCACGATGGTCTGGATAGAAAAGCCAACCTGCTGTTTTGATGACTTAATTTCTTTTTCTCAGTCACTGCAGCAATGATGCCTCTAAAAGGGACAGCCCCCTTTTCTGTGGAACCAACTGCATTGGAATTCTGCTAAATGGCACTAAATGTCTTCGAAATCAAAAGGAGAATATAATTTAAGTGCCACTGGGATCTTCCCACAGTTTCTCTGTACCCACACGCTAGAACACTGCCTGGTGACAGGTCTATAGTTTAGGGTAACACACAGTGGGGAAAAAATGATGGTTTTTCAACCATGTATTTCAAGAAATTGACAATTTTAATAGCACACTCTTAATGGAGAATCATCCAGACTTTCTTCCCTGCTTGAAGTTGAAAACATCAGTAAGATGTGAGAAAGCAAGGTATTTGTAAAGAAATTAGCATCTATCTTCCTCCCAGAAATGGAGATCCCAATGTGAAGACAGAATAATAGCATGGGAATGTCACCCCCACCAAAATATGAGCTGAGTTTAGAGATCCCAAATGGGAATGGGAAGAAAATCACACTTTTCTCTCTGAACTATTGTTTTTACATGAAATAGCACATACTCTCTATATAGTGTGTGGCCAAGAGTACCATTGTTTTACCTTAAGGAGAAGCAAGCAAATGAATGTAGATTAGACAAAAATTGCAAAACAAAAACATTTCTTTAATGACAATTGAATGAGTACCTCCTATGTACTAGGCATACACACTTGATGACAGGCAGCTTCTTCTCTCTGGGAACTCACATCTCAGTGAACATTTCCAACATATGATCAATGCACACAGCACTATCTGGAAACTGTGTGATGGCTCACACAGAGGTATAAGGCATAGAGAGTTGGACGGCAGGCCAATGCAGAAAGGTGGAAGGGCTGTGAATGCACATGAGGAAGGAGTGGGGTTTTAATGAAACTTCCTATGTCTCTATCTCCATAAAATTAAAATAGGAGTATACCTCTCAGGTCAATAGAAGGAATAACTTCTTGATAATGAAAGCTGTTAAGATGGACTGAGTTACAAAGCAGGACCACAAAATTGGCTTTCCCGCGATTTGCCACGGTTATTTTAGGAACAGCAAATGGCCTTTCAAAATCTTGTCAATATCTAGTTTTTGTGGTCTGGGGCTAAGTGTAATTAGGAGTGGATTGAGAAAAGTGTTTTCTATATTCTCCATCTCTCTCCTTTCTCATGTCCCATTCCCTTATCAAGTCACTACAATTGAGCTTTCAACTCCATCCATTCCAACACAACTGCAGTTATCAAGGTCATCAATGACTCAATCTTACCAAATTGCCAAAAGTCATTTCATCTTCCCACTGTATTTCTCTCTTCTCAGTAACAACAACAAGAAATAAACCCCAAAACATACTTGCCTCTCCACGCTTCTGTGACACCAAACTGCATTTACTTGCTTGTTAATTGTTAGGTCATTGCTACTTCTGGGTCACCTAAGCCTCTCCTTCTCTTTCTGACCTCTAAAAGAAGGGCTACCCCAGGATTCTAGCCTAGGTCTTCCAGTCTCCTGTTTGCACACTCTGTCCTAGGAGGGTCTCAAGAAATCCCATGGTTTTAAATGCCATTTGTAACCCGGTTATTTCCAAACCTATATCCTTAACCCAGTTCACTTTCCTGAACACAAAATTCATTCAAATGCACACTTGAATCCAACAGGCTTCTCATACTTCACACACACACACACACGTACACATGAATGGAATTTCATGCCATGCCATACCCCCCACACAAACAACTTTCAACCTTGAGATGCTTCAGTCTTAGCAAACGACACTACCATCCAGCCAGCTGATTGGGCCTAAAGCCAGCAAGCATCTTGACTTTTTCTGTTTTTCCCTCTTATCTTATATTCAATCCAAAGACCATCTCAACTCTTCATTTCCTGCTATTTTCATTGCTGCCCCCACAGGTTTTGCAACTGTTTCTCAATTGGGTTATTGCAATAGCCTTCTAACTTACTTTCCTATTTATGCTCCTTCTCCCCTGTAATCAATTCTTCAACTATCACCGAGGGGAATCTCAACACTTAAATCAGACCATTTCACTCTAATGGCTAAAGCCTTCAGGACTTACTATATACTTAGAATAAACTTCAGGCTTCTTACCATGCCTACAATGCCTTGGCTAATCTGGTTTATACCAATTTAGGTACCCCGTTTCCTGAAGCTTTCCCATTGTCACCAGGTTTCCACCTGACTGGCCTTATTTCTCACCCCCTGAAGCAAGCAGTGCTTGCTGCCATCCTTGCCTTTTGTACCTGACCTCTTCTTGGCCGGGAATGCTCTTTCCTGGATCATGAAGTAGTTGTTTTCTTCTCACACTAGCCCTCAGTGAGCCTTCTCTGAATGCCTGTGCTGAAGTACCTCAAACGCACCATCAGCAACTTTTTGTATCACTCCTCTATTTCACAGAAGAAATCTACGTATGTATTTTGCATTATTATGTCTTTCACTTCAATATAAATGGAGAATCAGTAAGGATGTAAATAGGGAATCTTTCTGAGGATAAGGACTTAACTCTTTTATTGCTATATCCTTGTACTTACTACAGCGTATGGTGTAGTAGATGCTTAAAAACTATTGAATGAATAAATGAACTAATGAACAAATGAATGAATGAGGTTTCTTTGAACACAAGGGGAATGAGAGCTAGACTAGTAAAAATCGCTGTTTTCATTTCTATTTCTAAAAATAATATTTTTCAAGGGCTGAGACTACTTAACACTGAAGCATTAGACTTGGAATCAGCAGGAATAGGTTCAAATCAAACTTCATGACCTTGGGACAATTACAAACTCTTTGTGCTTCTGTTTCCTCACCTGCTAAATAAGCCTAAGAATTCTTACCATTACCATGGAGATAATGATACATTAAATTAGGTAATTGCAAAGTCTCTAACATACGACAGGTGCCCAATAAATGTCGCAGTTATAGGCTGTATGTCTAAATATCTATTTCCATATTAAAATTTTTTCAAAGGTTAAAGGTTTCATTCTCTTCCTTAGAATTTGCCTCAGAATCACACCTATCCAAAGCATCCTTCCTTTGCCCTGTAAGCCCCTATTTTGTTGTTGTTGTTGTTGTTGTTTGAGATACAGTCTCACCCTATTGCCCAGCTTGGAGTGCAGTGGTGTGATCTCGGCTCACTACAGCCTCTGCCTCCCAGGTTCAAACAATTCTCTGGCCTCAGCCTCCCAAGTAGCTGGGACTACATGCACCACACCTGGCTAATTTTTGTATTTTTAGTAGAGATGGGGTTTCACTGTGTTGGCCAGGCTGGTCTTAAACTCCTGACCTCAGGTGATCCACCCTCCTTGGCCTCCTAATGTGCTTGGATTACAGGCATGAGCCACCGTGACCAGCCTGTAAGCCCCTGTTTTGGCCAGTCATCTTTAGGGATGAGGGGGAGCATCTGGCTTGACTGCATATTTTAAGTGCTTGGTCTCCATGTTGATGGGGGCCACAGAAACAGATGATGGGAAAGGAATCAGTCTGTTCAAAGCCTCTGGTCCCTTCTCTCTAAGGAAATCAGTAAGCTCACTGTCATCTGCTCTGCCACCACTGTCTAACTGGTAAGATCCTCACTTGGCAGGCAGGAGCCTGCTCTCTACTTCCAGCCACTCTGCCACCATGCCAGATTCTTCCTAGATTGACTTTATCCCAGAGCATCATGGGGATGTAAGCTTTTGGACGATGTAGATAAAACAAAATCAGAGGCTTTATGCCTGCTGTTCCATCAACTTTCCAGGAAGGAGCTCAGCTATATGAAGTTTACCCTTCCAGTGGGCACAGTGACTTAGATGACATCAAAAAAAGAAAAAATATATATCCCTTTTATCACATTTCTGTCCATTTATTTTAGGCTATGGAAGCAGATTGTCTTTCTCTTTTCCCACATTTTTTTTGCCTCTAGGGCTGCTATTCTATCAAAGTAAGGTGTGAGCAAATCCTCTCTATACTAAAGCCTAAAACCCATTTTTAAGTCTATCTGTGCTATGCTTTTCTAGTGTTCCAGATTTAAGTCTGCAGAATCAAAGGGCGTTTATAAAAAACCTAAGTAGCTATTTATGTCCTATTTTGTGCTGATGCCATTCACCAACCGGTTGATGGTGGTGGTGATGATGCTGGTGCTGGTGGTGATGGTGGTGATAATGGTGATAGTGGTGGTGGTAGTGGTGGTGATAGTGATGGTGGTGCTGGTGGTGGTGACGTGTTGGTAGTGGTGGTGGTGGTGATGATGGTGGTGGTAGTGATGGTGATGATGATTAAAGGAAGAAGAAAAATACGAATCAATGCATACTGAATGCTTACTATAAAATGTTATCTTTACAACAACCCTATAAAGGAGATATTATCCCCATTATACAGATTCAATACAGAGGCAGAGAGAAATTCTGTAACTTGCTTAACTAGCAGGTGGTAATATTTCAATCCAAGTGGTCTAAAGCCAGAATTTTGTTAACCAACAGATTATTTTAACTTTGGTCCACTTTTATAAGTACCTCTACTTTCGCATTTAGTAACTGGAAGTAATAACAGCTGTCATCTCTCATTTGCAGTATTTTCTGTGTACTCAATATTTTGAGTGTTATGAGAGAAAGATGCTTAGTAAATACTGAAAAGTTATTTGATTTCAACATATTCTTTTAAATCCAGGATCAGTTGTTGCAAAGTAACACAGCATGCATATTTACAGAAGGAAAGGTATTCAGTTCAAGAAATTGGCTTTTCAAATGCCTTAGCAATAAAAATGACATTACATGCCTACAGAATGTGAAATTGTAGAAAGATAAGTTCTCCTCAAATAAGTTGTAAAAAGTACATAAACTTTTAGGCATCTGTAAAGAAAACTGAAAACAATCCCAACTGAGGTTAGAGAGGACAAGGATGGAATAAAAAGAAAATGACTAGCTACTAGGTGCACAAACGTCTTACTAATCTCTTGATTCCATTTACCTACAAGAAAAAGGTCATAAGGTTTAGTCTGCCTAACAAAGGTAATATGTGTTTAATACAAGGTTAAGGGCTTTCAGTTAACTGACTAAGAGGAGAGTTCTACAAATTTGAAGTCGATGCCAATGACTTTTCAAATTAAATGTAATAGCAGCTGCCCACATGGAATAGATTTGGAAGCCTCAGTCCATTTTCTAATTGACTGAACAAAACGAGGTCTCTGTTGCAGCTCATCCTCCTAGCACTTCCTGTTTCTCAGTTCCAAGGTAACTGTTAATGGAATTAACCAATTTTCACAACATGTCCTGAGTCATAATACAAGTCTATAAGGCAGAAAGCTGAGAGCACTGGGTTGAGAATCAAAGATCCAGGATTGTTAATTTAAGTCATCCATGAACTAAATCTGTGACCACAAATGAGAGTTACAGAAAAAGAGATTTGGAAAAAAACTTCTAGGTCATTCAGAGCAAAACTAGCACTTAACAGATACAGGGCTGTGATCCTGGGGAAGTATTCAGCCTAAGAACTCCTACTATGTCGGTGGCACAGCTGGGCCCTGAAGGTGGGTTCTCTTCTCCCAACCCTCAGCCCAGTGCCCTTCCTACTGCACTGCATGATTTCAGTCATCGCTTCAGCTCTAGGAGTCCAAGAAATAATTCCAGTGGTTCAATCTGCCATCCTAAAACCAAGATGGTAGCTGATATAGGGGTCTTAAGTAGGTACCTCTCAGTCATTTAAAATAGATTTCAGTCAAATCCAGAATAGGTCCCTAAAGGTTATAGAACTATGCAGTTGCAGCGAGCAAGGTCTGCAGTTCACAGGGTCTCTGTCTGTGCAGAGGGAACCATGTTCCTAACAGCCGTGCTAATCAGCTCCTTTTTCTGGTAGCATTAGAAGGACAGAGGGATTTAAATAGAGTGGGCATTCAGAATAACCTAGGTGATTTTTCCAGCAAGTAGAGAAAAATCTCTAAAGGCTTCAAGACATTGGTGAGAGGACAGGTTGAATTGTAGAACCAGGCAAAAAATAAGTAATTAAGAATGACAGAAAATGATTTCCAGTAAGCTGGAATCTCTCTTCCCAATGCTATCTTAAAAATATTTTATAGCATGATTCTTTAGGCAGCTATCTCTCTCTCTCTCACCACCACTAAATTTACATTATTAAAAAATATAATCAGAGGGCTTTAAAGTGCCCAGGTTGGAACATAGAACTAACATCCGATTATAGGTGAAGGATGTTTTCTATTTTGTGATTATGTTCCGCAGTTTATGCTCTGAGCTGCTGAGATTCTGAATCTAACAAATAGTTTTGTTGCAACAAGTTTCTATTGCACATTTAAATAGAAGAAATGAGCTGGAGTTCCTTTTCACTATTGCCTCTCCACAATCGGGGTTAGACCTGCCTCTCTAGTTCTCTGACCGTGTGAGAAAGTAGGAGCCAGAGGGTTGTCAGGCGCCTTGTCACCATGTGGACAGAGGATCCCATCAGCTCTTCCTCTCCCTCTTTGCTTTTCCCTTGTTTAACTTGAGCCAATTAAGCCCTGTACTATCATTAATTGTTGAACTGGCACTTTTAGACTTGAGAAAACCCATCTAGCAATCACCTATAAATTAGCCTTCAGCCCCTCTAAATAGCTTTAATTAAAGTCATGGCTGGCATGGAACCTGTCCAGGTTTTGTCTGTGGTTACAAATTCACGGTGTCACAGGTGTGGCAGGAACAGGACATATATTAATTCTGGAACCTCAGAGTCTCATCCAGGTCAAGTTCAGATTTTTTAAAAGCGCGTGTCCATGCAAACCATTCACTGGACAGGCTTAGCTGACAGTTTATCTCCAAGGACTTTTCTGCAGAAGGAATCAAGACAAACTTCCTTGTCATCTTAGGAGCTGACTCTTTCAAAACTAGACAACTAGCTAATCCCACTCAAGACCAAGGGCACCCTATGTCCATACAGAGATGTACTGAGAAAGTAGGTTATATACTTGAATTGTCATTCAACCGTTTGCTCTAGGACACAGGTAGAAACTCATGGCCACTTCTCGCAGTGCTCCTAGAACCAGCTCAGACTGGAGACCCTAAAAAATAACTGTTATGTATTCTACACTACCCCAGGCATGGTCGTTGTTAGGAAACAACCATCTCAGGTGGATCACTTAAGAGAGTATAGCCTAATAAGTAAGAGGCATGGACATACACTTTGACCAGGGTTCAAACCTGATTCTCCTTCTTAGTAGCTGCCCAACTCTGGGAAAGACACTTAACTTTATGTAGTTAATAACCCATGTCTCCCTAGGGTTGTGCTGAGAATTAACAGAATATGTGGAACGTACATGGCACTATGTTTGACATAAACATGTGGATGATAAGCTACAGCTCTGTAAAAAGGGCATGTGTTGGGAAAACGTTTATCTGCAGCAGTTCTTGGCAACAGCTCACATGTGGGCTTGAAGACACTGCTGAATTTGCTACCAAATCTTCAGAGTACCATCTTATCACTCCTTTTTAATCTAGTCTTCTCAAATCTCATCTTTTTATTCTTTGACAAGAAAATCAAGAATGTCCAGTGAGGGCCCATAATTCTTCAAAAAATAATAAAAATGTGTCCACACCCTAAATTAGCTGCTGTGATGATTCTGAGGAAGAATTTTCCTCCTCCTTTTCAAAGGATAAAGATTCTGCTGTGAAGCCTACACTTCCCTGTCTTCTCTAGGATTGATCTTCTCATCAAATTTAGTGAGTGTTTAGCACCTTCTTTGTACTTCCTCCTTTCCTGCCAGGCTACTAGCACATTCAAATCCCTTCAAAACAACCATCACAATCGTAACTACATGAGAGCCTTGCCTTTATGTTCTCTCCACTCTCCACTGTCCCCAGCCAACCTCCCGGGGAAGTCATCTGCACCCATGACTTCCCTTCCTCAGGCCTACCCCACTGCACACCATAGACACTCCAGTGCGAGGGCCCCTCCAGTCTTCCCCCAGCCTTTCCAAAGGCATTCTGATCTCAGCTAACAGCAATATCGTCTTCATAGTTGGCCCATGTGGAAACATTCTACTTTCCCTTCTTCATTCTCCAATGGGTGAATTGAATGAGTGAGCAATGAATGAACTGATGAAAATGTTTATCATTTAATCTATCTCTGTACTCCACAACATGCTGTTTTCCAGATCTCTTTATTGCACTGTCTTGTCATCACTTGTATTGTTGGTTTTGTTTCCCCTAGTGAACTATAAGTTCCAGAAGGGCAGGGATTCTATTTTGTATTCACAGCACTTATGGTGGGCTCTGACTAGATACTTGATAACATAAATCTAACATCTCAGCAACCAAAGCATGCCATGATCTTCACCCCAACTATTGCCTTGACATAGGGCTTCATCATCATGCCTGTGCTATTGGACAAGCCAATTATTTCTTCGTCGTCATTTAGATGATTCATTTATTCAACAAATATCTATTGAGCCCCCTTTTGTGGTGGGCCTTTTTCAAGGTACTGGAAAAAAATAGAGAAACTTGCTGTTTTCATGTGGCTAGCAGTGTAGTTGACAGAGGTACAAGGATGCAAATAAACTCTTTGTTCTCATGTGGCTCACAGTGTAATTGAGAGAGGTACAAATTGGGCAGTGCTAGGGCTCTGAGGATGAGACAGTGGGGTAAGCACACACAGGCTGACGGGCAGTGCTATTTCCAAAAGATGCTCAGGAAAGCCCTGCCTGACTCGCTGGCATTTGAGCAGAGCCCTGAATGGGGGGAAGGCGTGTTCCTTCTAGAAACCTGCTGGAGGTGTTCCCCCCACCCCCGACCAGTGGAGGGAATAACAAGAACAACGGTGCTGAAGCAGGTGTCTGATGGGTTTACAGAGACCAGCGTGGCTGGGCTGCAGGGTATGAGTATGTGTGTAGGTGGGGGGACCAGGGGTGATAGGAGATGAGGGATGATTTGGGGGAGGGGGCCTACTGATTGTGGCAAAAACTTTGTTGTTTATTCTGAATTATAGGAGAAGCCATCAGAGGAATTTGAAAAGAGAACTTAACTTACGGTCCCCAGACACAGCTCTGATCACCTTCCTCCTATATTAAAGTGTTTGATTCGCTTGCTATTCCCTATAAAATAAACTCCAAATGCTTTTGCTTGACATATAAATTCCTCTGAGATCCAGGCTTTTGGGTTTCTCACCCCCACTTCCTCATCTTCGTTTATTCTCCAGCCGTACTCATCAATGTCTATGTCTGTGGCTGCTGAGCTGATGCAAAATATTCCCTCTGTCAGGGGTACCTTTCCATTCTTTTTTGTAATTGTTCACATTCATGAGGATGCCATATCCTAATGATGTTGTCTTGGAAGTGAAAAAGCCCTGCAGCATATCACTGATGACTATATATGACTAGTGCTGACATCAGTGAGCGTTTATTTAGCATCTACTATGTGTCAGGTACTCCGCAGAGCAATTTTTATTAAATACTTGAAAAAGTTCTTCGAGGCAGAGTCACCAAAGTCCCCACCCTTATTTGACCGATGAGAAAACAGAGGATCAGATACATTAAATCAGTTCCCAATTTAATACATTAAATAAGTACACTGCTATTTATCAAAGCAGCAAAATAGATAAGCTCTTGTCCCTCAGCTGCCCATGGTGTTCTATACATTTGTATTGTGGGTGGTCGTTTATGAATGTCTCCACATTTAACTGTAAGCTCATTCATGGAATGGAGCATATTTAACTTATCTTGTTATCCTCGGTATTTAGCGTATTAGTTGCTCAATTATTCGCCAATATAAATGAAAATCTGAGAATGATAACCAGCGGAAGATCTAAGAGGATTTATCCATTAAAAGGCTTTTATTTGCTCATTTTTATTCATTCATTCATTTCTGTATCTGTTCCACAAAGCTATGTGAACCCAGTGTGTAAAGGTGTGTACACCTGGCACTATTGAAATGTGAAGATAAACACAATGAACACGGATCCCAAGATGCTTAAAATCCCACTAGAAACAGAGAAATGAGAACTAAAGTTTATTGAACATTGACAATGTGCCAGGCACCGTGCTAGGAACTTAACATCAATTTTCTTGTATAATTGCCCATCAGGATGGGTTATCCACATCAGGAAACTGAATATCCAGGAAGGGAAATGTATTTTTTGAAAGCACATAATTAGAAGTTAGCAGAGCAGAGATTCTATTTTATCTATGGCCAACTCCATAACCTCTTTTCTTCCTACTACATCACACCAGGGCCTAAGAATTCTAATTATCCCTACATAATTCTGACATTGGAACCATGAAGTTCTCACGCGAGATTCCATGCCATTCCTTCACCTGCAAAGGATGCGAATGCAAGGGCCGACGATGCCCGCAGGGGAAGGAAGGAAGCCGGTCTCCTCTGGACTGAAGCCAGGGCAGGCTCAGACAGCTTTGGAGCCAAGAGACGGAGAGGCTCCGCTTCTGGGAGCACAGGATTTTGACAGGAATTGTGGAAAATACACAGGTAGGATGCTTTCAATAAAGGCTGATAGAAATGAAGGAAGGAAGCGGGGACGGAGGGGAGAAAGGGGAGGAGGGAAGAAGGGAGGAGGGAAGAAGGGGGAGACGGGCAACTTATGTTGCTTAATTCTGATTCATAAAATCTGTCTAAGCTGTGTGTCTTCTTTCTCGTTATTCATTGCGTTGACCTTCCCCACGGCCACGTGGGGAATATTTAGGAACACAGATGTTGGAGTCAGACTTGCCCGGGTTCAAATATCAGCTCCAGCTCTCAGGCAGCTTGGCTAAGCAACTAAACACCTCTCCACTCCCGTTTCCTTCTCTTGGAAGTGGAGGCCACAGTAGTCACACGCGGTAGATACTCTAAGGGCTGTGGCGAAGGGCAAATGGTTCTCCGCAGCATGTGTGACACGTGAAGTGCTCGAATGCCTGAGTCCTGGCAGTCCTACCCGCCCGGCTGCGGGGCTGCCCACGGCCTTGCGCTTCGTGCTCTGGTTGGGTGACTCCCTTCCGCACGGCTGCCCTGGGTCCCCAGCCCCAAGGGACACTTCCTATGACCCCCCGCTTGTTGTAAAGGCCGGGGCCTTCGGCCTCCCACCGCTTGACCACCAAGCCGGCGCTGTCCGTGAGATCTCCCAGGCATGCGGTCTCATCTCAGCCTGAAAGTGCGGGGAATTTCCAGATGCTGCCTGAGTGACGGTTATTCAGCAGACGAGCCCTCTGGGGTGAAGTCCCGCGTGGAGGGGGTTTCCGGGAGCGCAATGCTCGCTGGCTGCCTGGAACCAAGGGTGATGCGGCCCCCCTTCCACACAGAGCAGGAAGAAGAGGAAGGCTGGGGCCAGCCCAACGTCGGGGTCACTGTGCCAGGCACCCCCTCCAGGTCCTGGCGGTGTCGATCAGGACACCACCAATGCGTTCTTGCAGACAAAATGCACCTATGCTGTGGGAGGAAGAGCAAGCGGTTCGCCCGCCGCGCATCAGTGCACCCGTGTCCCGGCGCGCAGACAGGTCCGGGGCACCTGCAGCTACTCCGGGGCACCTGCAGCTATTCCGGGGCACCTGCAGCTACTCCGGGGCACCTGCAGCTATTCCGGGGCACCTGCAGCTATCCCGGGGCGCCTGCAGCTACTCCGGGGCACCGCCATTTCCCGCCCCCATAAGCGCCTAGAGAGCCACGCCGCGCCCCGCTCACCCCTGCAGGCCCGCAGCCGCTCCCAAGGGCTGGCAGTGTCGCTCACAGGTGCACTTTGTTCATGCTGTCTGCCTCCACAGTTGCCGAAGTGAGTTCTGCACTAATGAGCTCAGCATGCGGGACAGCAGCGCCGGCCCTCACTCTCCAGGGACGCATGGAGCTCTGTCAAATGACCCGACAAACCTTTGCAGCGCAGAGGCTTCTAGAGGGACAGAGCAACCACCATGCCGCCGTCCGAGGAGCTGGCAAAGGCACGCGGCACCTGCAAGCCGGAGAAAATGGTGTCCTTCCTCCTGTGCTGGACTGAGCAGGGAAGGAGGTCGGGGCTGCGGGCGTTGTCCCTGGAGCTGCACCCTGAGCTCAGCTTCTAATTACTGCTAAGTGCATTTTCCTTCCACCAGTCACAGGTACCTTCCTGATACGTAGAGCCCATCGAATAGAAGGTGGTGTGACTTGGGATTCTAAAAAGGAGACTCGGGGTTAGAAGGGGTGCGTGGTGTCAAGAATGAACAAGAAACATGCTGGACTCAGGAAGCCGGCTGGCCGCAGTGAAATGGAGACTCTGGAGCACAGGCCGCGGGGCTGCAAGGCGCAACCTGAAGGCTTGCTCCGCTCTGGAAAGGCCCTGCTCCTCCTGGACGGTGTCTCTTCCCTTCCCGCCTCCCCTCGGAGGCTGCCTCCCCTCGGACAGGACCAGGAGCCCATCCACCACCCAGGGAGCAGTGCGGCTTTGTGCTTAGGCCTCCGGGGAAGTGAGCTGTTTCCTTGATGTCCTACAAAGAGGATTATTCACTTGGAAAAACAGAAGCTTGTCAAGCTGCCACAATCGCCAGGGAAGATTCCATCTCTCTCTGATGGAGATAAATGGAACGGGAGACGTGGGGCTGAAGAGCGGGGGCTGGCTGAAGGGAATGAGGTGAGAAACATCTTGGGTGGAGATGATATTAGTCACACATGTTAACCCTGCCTTAGGCTGGGAATCCAGAATTGAGAAATGAACTCCACCAAGATGGAAGGATAAGAGGAGATCCGTTCCAAACTCCCACTGGCCCCGCGGTGGGAAATCAACACTGTCCCACGTCCTAATCCCACTACCTACCTTCTGCCCCGCTAGAGTTGTCCACAATCAAAGCCATTTCTCCTTTTAACATGGACAGAGGGTGGTGATGTCTGCAATAGCTCTGTGCCCTAAAGCTGCTCAGAAGGGAATGCAGAGAAACCAGCGTGCTCTCTTGTTTTCACATGGGACTACATTCCCATAGGGCAGCTTAGTTACTTAGGTAAGATTCCCAGGACACTGCGCGAGGCCAGCCAGGCATGACAAGAAAGGGCAATACCCTGCCCCATGGAAGGACCGTTCAAGGGAGGGATTGGGCTGTCGAGTGGCTGGTGTGGATATCTGCACGTCATGATTTATCCAGGACTGAGGGAGGACAGCAAAGGCCCCGCGGCTACTGGAAACCCCATCATGTCGCTGAGCACTGGGCTCCACTTTGCTACTCATGGATGGAGACAGCGCTTCCTACACGTGCCGTAGGAGCTTCCTGGGCAGAACAGAACATGATCGTGGAAACGAGTCTTCGCCAAGGCAGCGCAGAGGGCCGAGGGGTGGGGCGCACTAGATGGCATTGTGGTGAGTTCTCTCTCTTTCAGTAGTTCCAGACGTGACCAAGCCTACCTTGTTTAGGATAAATTCTCCTTATGTGAGAAAATGGGATCCCCCCAGCAAAAGGCACACGGATTATGGGCTGGTCTCCTCTCTGCTTCTTTAATACTACTTAAAAGCAGTGCCTTTGGCTATTGCTATAATAGAGATTTCCATTAGAGCCATTTTCTCCTTTCAAGATGCTGTCGGGTTGGGGAGGTGCAGAGGCACAGTCTTTCCTATGCACGTGTGTTCTCGCACCTGCATGGAAAGCAACACCTCAAGCAGGTGAGCTGTGAAAGGAGGTATGGCAGGGCCAAAGCGCAGAAAGAAAAGGAATCCCCCTCCCACTGTGCGTGACCACGACCCCCAAAGGTCAGTGGGGCTCTGGGAAGCTGTATCCCAAGCCGAGCAAAAGAGGAGGCTCTCTCTATTTCTTTGCAGGGAGTGAAGAATTTCAGGTCACTTGTCTCTGTTGGTTTAGCATGGTACCCAAGAACCTACTCAGGCTGACCTCAAAGGTATACTCCAATCTCACCTCCACCCCGCTTTCTGCTGGCCACATCAAGCTCGCAGTGACCTAGCCCTGACGCTGCACAGCACATCTGTTTTCATGCACAGGTGCCTCTGCTAAGAGGGCCTCCCACTCCTACTCCTCCCGCTTCTCAGACTAGTCAGTGGTTATCATGCGGTAAGTCCCAGCTCCAACGTCCCCTTTTCTAAAATGTTGTTATCGATTTCCCTCAGTTATTCAGTGGCTACCTCTGTTTGTAAACAGCAGTCCTTTGTAAAGAGCAAGTACGACTATCAAATTTTAGTTCAGTCACTTAAGGGTATATTCCTACACGCATGCACATGTGCATGTACAAACCACCTATACTACCAGCTATTGCAGAATGGACCTTTACTAAATTCTAGCTGATGAAGTAGATATTAATATTTTCATTTCCCAGATAAAAGAGCCCACATGAAACAGTGCTAATACACATTAACAGAGCAGTAGTAGAGGTGGGAGCCCTGGTCTGATCTCTCTGACTTCAAATATTTCCTATTGTTCTAATTAGACTGGGAGCCCTTAAAAGACAGAAATTAATAGTTCAGGTCAGTGGAAAGCAAACAGACTCTGGACTTAGATCTGGTTGCAAATTTCAGTTCTTACAGTGATTGCGTGATTATGGAGAAATTACTTAGCCTCAGACTGGGCCTCAGTTTTTCCATCCGTAAAAAGGTAAAACAAACCAAACTACTCAGTTCACAATATTATTTTAAGCATCAAATGGAAGTTTGTATGTCATGTACTGAAAAATAAACAGAATGTGAGCTCCAGCCCTTCTTTTTATCTTTATTCTCCCAATTCTTAGAATACTGCCTGGCACTTAGTGAGAACTCTGAATTTTTTCAAAATGAATATATTTTTTAAAAAGCGGATTGGACCCTCTGACAGGTGAACACAGGTGGCAGAGAGCTTGTGGGGGGTGTGTGGTGAGGGGCCTGCTTAACCTTATTTATAGCAGGTGGAATTTATCAAATTGAGACTGATGCTGTCACTCCAACTCTTTAGTCACAACTTTTTCAAATATTTGATTTGGAAGATTTTCACATGATCTGACTTTTTCCTTTTCATCAACATGACTCTCCCCACTGCTGCCTCTCTCTCTATCTCTCTCTCTTTCACACACACACACACACACACACACACACACACACTTATATACCCATTCTGCCCCTGGGAACCACTGCTGTGCAATGCCGACCACCTCCAGATGTGCAGTCAGCAGAGTTACACAGGCCTGCACAGTCTCTTGGAGACCACACTGAGTCACACCAGGCAGCTGCTAGAAGTGCTTCAGAAAGAAAGTCACAATTTGTTGTCTTCATTTGGAATGCTATTACAGAATACCATAGGCTCGGTGACTTAAACAGCGAACTTACATTTCTCACAATTCTGGAGGCTGGAAGTCCAAGATCAAGGCACTGGCAGATGTGGTGTCTGACGAAGGACTGTTTCTGGTTTGCAGATAGTGGTTTTCTCATTATTATCCTCGCATGGCTGAGAGAAAAACCATCTTTCTCACATATCTCCTTATATAAGGTGCTAATCCCATCCATGAGAGCCCCACTGTCATGATCTAATCACCTCCCAAAGGTCCCACCTCCAAATACCATCCTGTTGAAGGTCAGGAGTTCAACACGGGAATAGGGAGGGACAGACATGCAGTCCATACCTCATGTATGGTAGGGTAAATGAATAGAGATCGATTCTTCCCCCAGAACATGAAGTCTGGGGACATAAAGGCATTAGTGTTGAGATATTCAAGGATGCCATCTGCTGTCTAAAGTCTGCTTTCCAGCTTCCTACCCTCAGTGTGAAGGCATTTGTGTTCATGCTAGTCACCTCTTGGTCATAAGATGGCTGCTGACAAAAAGAGAAAAGTGTAATCCTAGCAGTAACTGAGTTTTTCATGGGTTATGAAAAAGCTCTCTTGGAATCCAACTTCCACTTACAACCCAATGGCAAAAAAATAGGCCACATGGCCATCCACAGCTGCAAAGGATGCTGGAAATTAGGGAACATGGTTGGTCCTTGGGATGGGGCACCTGCTGCCCCAAACAATGGCTCCTCTTAGCAAGGAAGGAAGGAAAGATATTGCAGGCTACTGGCAATGTCTTCCACACCCCACGTTTTCTCTTCCTTTCATTTTACCTTTTAGTTAGAGAAGGCTGTTCCCTAAAGCACACAGGCTAATGGCCAGAGAAATATGTTACCACCTCCTTCCTCTTTTCCTTCTCAACAAATGTTTCACCGTACAAATTACTGGCAGGAGGCAGGGAAAAGTGTAAATCAGGTCACGAATACAAATCCTGCTGTGAGAGTCTGATGATCCCGTGAGCCCCGCCTGCCAGGTTTATTGAAGGCATGGGAGGTGAGTGGGTCACCGACGTGAGGCTGCATGACTTAGTGCCTTCAGCTGCGAGTGTCAGCAATTCTTTTCAGGGGATCAGGAAAAAGAAGGGAAGTATGGCCCGAACTAAAGCTGAACTCTTCACCCCTTCCCTATGGGGAAGAACAGAGCTCAATGTGTCTGGGAACATGATAAAAAGTGTCAAAACAAAGGCTGGAATTATACTGAGCTGGGGCTTGAAATTGGGAAGGAAGACAGCAGTTTTCTTCCTCTTCCCTTGATCTCCAAAACCATCCCTTCATGATGGGGAGAAGAAGGCGGAAGCCAAAGGGGTGGAAGGATGCAGAAATGTCACACTGAGGAATTAATCTCAAAAAAAAAGAATACCCAGGTCTCTACTTCTTAGCATTAGCAGCAACACATTTTGCTCTCTTGTTTGTAATATTTGGCTTCCACAGCAACTTAGTATTGAGATTACTTAGTCCTCAGAGCATTCACATGTAAGAGCTACCTATTTAAGAGATGAGTGTAAAACTATGATTCTGTCCAAGATACCACCCAGCCACACTTTGATGCCTAACACTCAGGAGGCACCAATAGAAGGCACAGAGGAGCAGGGAGGTGGACACCCAGCGGGACAACCCGAGCGTTCCCCCTTCACTCACCCCTCATGTCTTCTCCCCATCCAATCATCGAATGCACTTTCTTTTTTTTTGGAGATGGAGTCTCACTTTGTCACCAGGCTGGAGTGCAGTGGTGCGGTGTCTCGGTTCAATGCAACCTCTGACTCCCTGGTTCAAGTGATTCTCCTGCCTAAGCTTCCCAAGTAGCTAGGATTACAGGCATGTACCACGACACCCAGCTAACTTTTTTATTTCTAATACAGAGAGGGTTTCACCATGTTGGCTAGGATGGTCTCCATCTCCTGACCTCATGATCCACCTGCCTCAGCCTCCCAAAGTGCTGGGATTACAGGCGTGAGCCACCACACCCAGCCGGAATGCAGGAGTCAGGCTCTTCAGGTCGCTAAAGACATGGCTGCATGTTACTCTTCCCCCTGCTCCAACCGCCATCTCCTACAACCATCCTCAGCTCATCAAGGGAGACTGAGGGCAGAAATGGTTCTTCAATGACTCCACTGTGTAAATGGAATGGAAAAATGGTCCCAGCATCGGATCTGCATGTACTTTTGGCTCTTTGAAGATGGCACCACTTTCAACAGCTAGTGTAAAGACAGACAATTAAAATTTGACATGTTTACTCATTCAGTTTACCTTTGCCAAAAGCCACAGAGGCATAATCAGGGCCTTTCGAGTAAAGCAGTGCTTTGGAGAAGGGTGGCACAGTTAAGAGTGGTTCCAATTTAGCATCTAATAATAGCTCAATTTAGTCACAAATCCCATCTGTTTCTACTTGAGGAGTTTTACAGAAGTCAAAGACTAGTTATTTTCTTTTCCTTTTCTTTTAGCTTGTACGTTCTGGCCCTTCTTCCACCACACTCACAAACATCCACAGATAACTTGCTTCAGGGGGAGCAACCTCTGATCCCATTTAGCACCCCATTAGCCACTTCTCCAGTAGCAGCCCAGCATCTGAACACAAAGCAGAATGTTGGGTGCAATGTGGGCCTGTTTCCTGACTCAGCATGAGTCTTGGCAGTGTCTGCAAACTGGTCTCCCTGGCCAGCTACAAAGATGGGAAATTACATTCCTTGTTTCTTATCTCCTCCCAAAGGCTAGGTAAAAATTGATGCAAAGAACTTAGGCAGTCCTTGGAGGAATATGCCCTGCCAGGGCTGGTTATTATAATTTCTGTGGTGTTGCTGCAGGTAGGGAAGCAATGTGAAAAATCCTCACACTTTCACTCCCTTTGGTTCTCGTTAGTCCAATGTGAAAGCGAAAGGGAGGGGGAGAGGGAAAGGTAGAAGGAGGAAGAGGGGAGGAATATAGAGAAGGAAAAGGTGAGGTGGGGGGGGGAAGGAGAAGAACAGGGAGGAGAAGGGAGAGGGAGAGGAGGGAAGGCAGATGAAGAGAAAGAGGTGAGGGAGAGGGAGAGGGAGTATTTGTTTGTTAGATAAGGGTGTTGGGGGACCACAGCAGAGGAGAAGATGAGGGTGAGGCATTAAGACCAACCATTAAGGTCACAGTGTACCTAGCATTATAATGGTGTGAAAGGATCTGTTGCCAGACTACTTTGGTCCAAGGTAAGTGTGTCCTTATCCTCCCAAGCCTATGAGAGAATAAAAAAAGAACAGGTCCTTGGAGAGTTTACCAACCATCTTAAACAGTTTGAGGCAGACTATGAAGGGAAAACACATTTACACTACTATGAGAGCACCACAGATCTTCTTGCTGGACTTTTTATCTTTTTTATCTACATGTTCCCATAAATATCCTATTTCTATCAAAGCTAGTTATTTTATTCCCCTCACTTTTAAAAATCTAGAACAAGCTGATATTCATTAAGGAAACTCATTCTGAAAATAAGAAGGCATTAGTGAGGCCTCCACTTAGGATAGGAGCCATCTTTCTGGGATGAGGCACTTCCTACCCAGCATGGTATTCAGCCGGGTGCAGTAAAGGTCTATATCCAAACACTCAGGATTTTGCCCTGGATATTTGATTCCTCACTTGACTTCTCTGTGTCTGATAAACATAGCTATACAATTAAATGAATTTAAAACCGTTATAAGAAGATATTTTAAATTTTCAAAAGAATAATACTAAAAATCCAAGGCATTCTTCATGATAGGCAGAATGCCAGGAAATCCCATCTAGAAACATTCAAACCAACCAGATTTGGTGCAACCAAGTGTCGAGTAATTGGAAAAGCTAAGTGAACTCCAAGGGCATTAGTCTGCCCTCTTATTTCCAAGAAAAGAGAAAAACATGGGCCCTGGCTTAGCTTGTAACAAATGTAATAATTTGTTAAGCAATAACTTAAATGAATTATCATGTTATGCATAGAAATTTCTTGTCCTTGGAAAAAATACTTAGGATTAAATACAAATGAGAAAAGTATTACTAAACACTTAATATTAAGCCAATCATTAAATTCTTAGTAGGCAGTACTGCAATGAATATCATCCTCAAACTTGACAATGTAGAAAAGCTCCCCAAAAGAAATTTCCAAAAGCAAGAAAGGCCAAGTTATTAGCTTTATTGAGACATGCTGTAGAGAAGGAAAGCTTTTAAACAGGGTAAGAGTGGTAGCAGTAAATAATCTAATCAAAACGCAGAGCCAGTTGGCATATCTCTACTTTCTAACTACACACATTGTATTTCATCATGACATAAGATATTGTCACAAAGTACAGGAGTCATGAGCTGTGTGGAACAATACCATACATCATTCCACAACTCCATGCTGCACTTTCCAAATGGGCTTGAAAAGAATTCCCAACTCTGTACCATTCACCATACACACACACATACACACACACTCACACACATACCCACACACACCATTATCAATTTCTTAAGCTTTCTAGTATAGTAAATAAAACAACAATACAAGGTAAAGAATGTGCATTCACACTGACATGGTTGTATGGTATAGGTTGGCTGTTCCTTACTGGAAATGCTTGGGACCAGAAATGGTTTTAATTTTGGATTTTGGGGGATTTTGGAATATTTGCATATACCTAATGTTATAACTTGGGGGATGGAATTGAAGTCTGAATACAAAATTCATTTATGTTCCATATATACCTTTTACGCATAGCCTGAAGATAAATTTATACAATATTATAAATGATTTTGCACATGAAACAAAGTTTTGACTGCATTTTGACTGAGACTCATTACATCAGGTCAGGTATTAAATTTTTGACTTGTGGCATCATGTCAATGCTCAATAAGCTTGGATTTTTGGATTAGGAATGCTCAGACTATGTTAGGTAAGGAGCATTAAAGTTATTGAGAAGACCATAGTTAAGCACTGCCTTCAGTATTCACTAGCACTATGATCTCAGGCATACTGCAGTTGTGGAATAAATTAAAGAACATTGGCTTTAAAGCCCAAGTCTGGAGCTTAAATTGTTTATCAAGCAGCCACCCAAAAACTCTTAGATCTGATAAATAAATTCAGTAAAGTTGCAGTCTGTAAAATCAATATACAAAAATCAGCAGCATTTCTATACATCAATAATGAATGAGCCTAGATAGAAAAAAGGAAGGAAATCCCGTTTACAATAGCTCAAACAGAAAAAAAAAAAAAGGAAAAAAACCTAGGAATAAATTTAACCAAGAAGGTGAAAGATTTCTACCAGGAAAACTGCAAAACATTGCTGAAAAAAAAATTGAAAAGGACACAAATAAATGGAAAGACATTTCATCCTCATGGATCAGAAGAATTAATGTCATTAAAATGGCCATGGAAAAAATCAACTCAAGATGGTATAAATAACATAAGTATTAAGACCCCAAACTGTAAAACTACTAGAAGAAAATATATAGAGCACACTTCAGAACATTGGCCTAGGTAAAGATTTTGAGACTAAAACCTCAAATCACAGACAATAAAAATGAAAATACACCAATGGGACTATATTAAACTAAAAAGTTCTTCACAGCAAAGCAAATAACCAAAAGAATCAAGAGACAACCTTTTGAATGGAAGAGAATATTTGCAAACTATTCATTTGGCAAGGGACTAATATTCAGAATATACAAGAAACTCAAATGATTCAGCGGCAAAACAAACAAAATCCTGTTAAAAAGTGGACAAAGGACATGAATAGATATTTCTCAAAAGAAGACATACGAATGACCAACAGGTATGTGAAAAAATGCTCAACATCATTTATCATGAGATACAAATCACAACCACAATAAGATATTACCATTAGAATGGTTGTTGCTGAAAAAGACAAAAAATAACAGGTGCTGGTGAAGATGCAGAGTAAAGGAGGCTTTTGTACACTGTGGTGGGAATGCAAATTAGTACAACTTCTATGAAAAATAGTGTGGAGATTTCTTGAAAAATTAAAAAATATAACTACCTGAAATGCAGCTGACCTACTACTGGGTATTTATCCAAAGGAAAAGAAATCTGTATATCAAAGGAATACCTGCACTTGCATGTTTATTGCAGCACTATTTACAATAGCAAAGATAAGTAACATGGTTTAGCTCTGTGTCCCCACTCAAATCTCATCTTGAATTGTAATCCAAATTGTAATCCCCACGTGTTGAGGGAGGGAACTGATGGGAGGTGGTTGGATCATGGGGGCAGTTTCCCTCATGCTGTTCTTGTGAGAGTGAGTCAGTTCTCACCAGATCTGATGGTTTCATAAGTGGTAGTTTACCCTGCTCTCCTCTATCCTCTCTCCTGCCGCCTTGTGAAGAAGCTGCCTGCTTCCCCTTTGTCTTCTGCAATGATTGTAAGTTTCCTGAGGCCTCCACAGCCATGTGGAACTGGGAGTCAATTAACCTCTTTTGTTTATAGATTACCCAGTATCAGGTATTCTTTATGGCAGTGTGAAATAGACTAATACAATAATACTAATACAATGCTAATTACAGAAGTAATTCTATACGTACTGGAATACTATTTGGCCATTAAAAAGAATGAAATCATGTCATTTGCAGCAATGTGGATGGAACTGAAGATCGGCATATGAAGTGAAAGAAGACAGGCACAGAAAGACAAATATTGCATGTTGTTACTTACACGTGGGAGCTAAAAATGTTGATCTCATGGAGACAGAGAGTGGAATGATAGATACCAGAGGCTGAGAAGGGTGTGGGGGGAGGGATGAAGAGAGGTTGATTGATGGGTACAAAGATACATTTAGATGGAAGGAACAAGTTCTAATATTAATATTTGACAGCACAGTAGAGTGACTATGGTTAGCAACAATGCATTGTATATTTCAAAGTAGCTAGAAAAGAGGACTTGAAATGTTCCCAAAACATAGAAATGATTAATACTCAAAGCGATGGTCACCCTACATACCCTGACTTGATCATTACATATTTATGCACATAACAAAAACTCACATATACCCAATAAATTTGTAAAATATGATGTATCAATGAAAAAGTCACCATGTGTGTTCTTTGTTCAAGTTACTTAGTCTAATTTAGCTCAATTTTTTCATCTGAAAAATTGGTAGGGAGAAATAAAATTATATCTGTTCCCTGTTTTCTGAGGTTGTTGTGAGGTTGTAGTGAGGATTAAATGAGAAATGCATATGAAAGCTCTTGGAAAATCTTTGAGTTATACCAATATTTGTTGTTAATTTATTTAACTTCAATGAAGCTTACTCTTCTCATTTATCAAATGGGGATTAAAATAAATCGTTCTCCTGTCTCCTTACAGGATTTTCACAGGACTAAGCAAGCTAATGTATGTGGATGTGTTTGAGAAACAATAAAGCACTTCACAGGTAATTATCATTATATTAGGTTAACCTTGAGATTCCCAATATCATCCTACCAAGACTCACTGAGTTCCCTAAAAGCTAAATGCCCTTCATTTCTCATTTTGGTGGCCTTGTAGCAAGGAGCCCTTCTGACATATTAGCAATCCAGCAAATATTGCCATTCTCAGGTATCTCTTGCTTCCTCTTCCAATTTAAATAATTGTTTGCATAGATCTGCATAAGTTATACATTAGTTGTTACTTTACATAGGCATTTGAGTTGAAAATAATCAAGCTATTATTAACACTCATTCCTGGTTGTTGTTTTTCTTTCTGTATACCAAAATACAAAATACTCTTTTCTTTGAGGGAAAAGTACATAGTTCATAATAAGAAGTTTCAAAAAAAGAAAAGACAAAGAAAAAAATTAATACAGTGCAATATAGTCATGCTTCATTTCCCATTCCACAAGCTCTTACGTTATAAAAACTGCCTCTGCTACCATTAGTTGAACCCTCAATCCAAACACTCATTTCAATTTCAAAAATTAGAATATCCTTAATCTTGGCAGGGGAGGGGGAGATTACAAAAAAACTTTAACAAAAGTTCCTGTTCCTTATGAAAATAAAGTAAGTGGCCAGCCGCAGGGGCTCACACCTGTAATAGCAACACTTTGGGAGGCTGAGGCGGGCAGGCCATTTGAGACCAGGAGTTTGAGACCAGCCTGGGCAATGCGGTGAAACCCTGTCTCTACTAAAAAAGTTAATTACTTAATTAAAATATATATATATATATATATATATACACACACACACACAAAAATACAAAATTTAGCCAGGCGTTGTGGTACACTCCTGTAGTCTCAACTACTGGGGATGCTGAGGTGGGAGGATCACCTGAGCCTGGGAGGTGGAGGTTGCAGTGAGCTGTGATCACGCCACTGTACTCCAGCCTCAGTGGCAAAGACAGGCCCTGTCTCAGAAACATAAAAAAAAAGAAAAGAAAAAGAAAAAAACAAAGAAAATAAATTAAGTGACATCTGAAAGTACACCCAAACATCTTACCAAAAAAATAAGTAAGTAAAACTAAATAAACACTATTAAATGTTCGGTGAATGTGTATGTAACATTCTATAAGCTGCCTTTTCTCTTATGTTATGGTCATCTTTCCATGTCATATATAAACTCACTGTCATTGTTTTTAAAAAGCTTCATAGTTTTCCATCATATGCATGTATCATAATATGTTTAACCACTTATTTAAATTATTGCTAATTTTTTAGTGATATAAAAATGATGTGCAGATTACTTAAAAATTTAAATGTGTGTGTATTGTATGATCTAATCATTCTACTGCTAGGTATTTACCCAAAAGAAATGAAAAAAATGTCTATTAAAAACTTGTACACAGATGTTCATAGCAACTTTATCTGTAATAGCCGAAACCTGTAAACAACCCAATAATACATCAATAGGTGAGTGGACAGATAAATGGAGGTAACGTTCATATAGTGGAATAGAAAGGAATGAACACAATAACATTAATGAATCTTGAAATAATTATGTTCAATGAAAAAAAGCCAGACAAGAATGCCTAGGCTATGAGTCCATGTACATAAAAGTCTAGAAAATGCACTCTAGTGTCTGGAAATAGAATGTAGATTAGCGGCTGCCTGGGTGTGAAGGAATGGAGAGGGCAGAAGGCAGGAATCCCCAAGAGGCATGAGGAAACGTTTGGGAATAATGGATATCTTCACTATATTGGTTGTGATGATCATATATAACTTATCCAATTGTACAGTTTAAATACGTGTAGTCTATCGTGTGTCCATTATATCTCATATAAAGCTTGTTTAGAAATGGGAGGAAAATGCTGTGGGGAGCATTCTTGTCAACTGGTGAAATTTTCTCCTTAGAATGATTTTGCCTTTGGCACTGACTATTGTAATAGCTTCTCATATTAGGTTAGCCTTCAGATTCCTAATATCGTCCTACCCTGCTACTAATTTGACCTTCTTTCTGACTATTCCTTCAGTTGAATGCATCTTTCCTAAGGCACAGTTCCAATCAAAAGTTTTTATTTGCTCATTACCTACTGCATTTTTATTCATCTAATTCCCCATATGAACTCCTTATCTTGGCCTCCAAGACAATTAGTATTTGGCCTCAGTTCCCCTCCCTGAGCTCTTTCTCCCACTGCCCACTTCCATGCAGCCAAGGTACCATATGCACATTGGGTCGGCGGCAGCTGAGAGTGTCGCTGAGGCGTCACTTTATGTGTAAGACTCAATTTCTTCATCTGGAAGGTGGTATACTAATTATAATCTGACTAAGGAGTTAGTATGAAAGTGAATGATTTTTCAGGAAGAAATTTAAGCTGTTGGTAGACATCATATTTGTCTGGGTATCTCCTGCTCTCTCACTCCTGCAAAGCACGTGCTCTCTCCTTCTCCATCTTTACATATTCCAGTTCTGCTCCCCACCGCATGATCCAGCTCAAAATTCTATTTTCCATAGAGTCTTCCTCTGAATTCTCATGACGTGCTAGATGTACTACCGTCTCACAACACACAACACTTAGCGAGCACGCATGTCGCGTATGTAAGTTTGTATGATTGTTACATACATAAGTATATACCACTCCACCACCTCCACGCTGGTCTGTAAACTGCCAAAGGACAGGATGGATTCATCTTTGCTTTCTCCACCATGCCTTGCAGACCACGTGCCACAAATGCTTGTTCACAGGTAAAGGGGAAGAATTCCAAGTATCCTATCCTCTGGCATGAGACATTATTTCTTACACCTCATTTCTCAGCTTCCAAGAAGAAAATAATTCTGGGGCTACTTCTAGTAATGACTTGAGAACTAAGCTAAGAAAATGTTAGATCCAAAAGATAGTGTCCAGGGTCTGGGATCATGCCCTGATGTGATCTCGTTGTATAGCCTGGCTAGGGGCACTGAACCTGGGATCTCCTGAGTGCCTACTATACTCTGCCTTCTCCTTGTACTTACACTTATCTGTCCTTATTTGAGCTGCTGCTATGGCCTTAGCTTCAATTAAACTTATTTTTCAAAAAATGTATAGTCTCTATTAACTAGTTCTCTGTCTATTCAAGCTGTCAGCTGTCTTAAGACAGACCGGTGTCTGTGCGTTCCCACAATGACTAGCAGGGTGGGCACACAGAAGTCATTGAATGAATATGTATTAAATTGCACTGGATTTCAATGAATTTGAAAAGTGCCTTAGGAATCTCAAGACAAAAGTGTCAGCTCCTCATTGTATCTTAATTCAAAGTTTGAAGATGATATTTTGGTTCAAGGAACAGAGCCAGGGAGCAGAAACTATACTGCCAGATGCATTCACTGAAACTTTGCCAGGTAGGAAGAGTTTGTTGAGGAAAGCAAGAAGGGGAAAGAGAATAATCTGGATTTAAGCTTGGCTATTAAAGAAGATCAGGAGAGAAAGAGATTGTACTGGAGGGCAGATAATGAGTCAGATTCAGTAAGAGATCATAAAGTTTACACAAGAGTAAAAAATTGCAATACTTTTTTTTAATGTGCCTTTTGTAATAAACAATACCTAAATATTTGGGCAATTAAAATGTTATAAATGTAATAACTAGAAGGAGGCAGTAAAAAAGTTATTCTATGAATATAATCATGAATTTACACAAACATGATAGCAACAAATTCTAAGCAAATACCCAATGACACAGGATTAGTTAGATAACTATGATACAGACATAAGCTGCAATATTGTGATGACATTAAACATCACTATGGATGATTTGTGGAAGGAAAGATGCCCATATACATTAAAAGTCCCCTCAAAATTACAAAAATATAATAAAGTTGTGGTAAATGATATAAATGTACATACTATGTAGACATGTGTATTATACATATACATTGTTTATAAATACATTTATGTGGTTTATGAGAATAGGAAAGTGACTAGGCTTTTTAAATATATGAACAGTGATGATTGCCTGCAAGCAAGATTATATATGAGCTATTTTTAGTCTGTTTATTTGTACTTTCTAAATTTTCTCCATTAAATATGAACTCTTGGATAAACAGAGTAATTTGGGAATAGTTGGACAGTTAGTAAGTCTAGTGGCCCAAATAAGCATGCAATGAAACTAGCTTATGCAAAATAGCAATAATAATAACAATCTGTTCATATTGAAAACTTTGGAAATTTTGCATTGAAGGAGAATATAGGACATGTCGGTGTAACCCAGTACAGGATTCCCTCTACAACCATCTTCATGCATGTTTTGCAGGCAAATGGGAAATGAAGAAAGGTCAAAAGAAGGAAGGGAGGGAGGGAGTAAAGGGAAGAAAAAGAAAAGAGATGAACGGCGACAAGCGGGCAGGGGGAAAGAGCGGGACTATGTAGTGTAGTGTTTCGACGTCCAGCAGTAAGCATTAGCCTTGAGGGCTCGTGGTTTAGGAGTGAAAGTTTGGGCCATCACAGCAGGGAGAGAATCCTAACAGGTTGACGTGCTGCCTGAGGGCACAGGGGGTGAGATTTGGGTAGAGAACAAAAGAATGAACATAGCTGAAGTCAAAGTTGCTATTGCGGCAGCCATTCGCTCTGCGTGGGAGGGTGTGTGTGGATTCTGAGCAGTCCAAGGGTTCACCTGGGCTGATGGTTGTCTCTCAGCTCAAGATGTTTCCAGCCATGCTTTGCCCTGCTGTTCTGAGGCTGGAATGCTAAGAACTACATTTTCCAAACATTTTGCCAGTCTGCTGTCGGTTGAGTTTTGCCGATTGAAGATACCAGGATGGCAGGCAAAGGCAAGATGTGGGAAGGATGCTTCCTTCTCTTTCCCTCTTCCTGTCTGTGTGGACCCAGAGGTGGCACAGGCCCCAGCAGCTGTGGGTGGCCCCAACCTCCACCTTCCCTTTGAACTCCCAGACCAAGTCTCGTTATGCTCTCTCTGACGTGCCAGTATTCAGAAAAAAAAAAAAAAAGAGCACCAAGTCCACAGGGTCTCCCATTAGAGCAGACATGTGCTAATAAGAGCTCTACCTCTTCCTTTGTTTGGGTCTCCATGAACGGTGGCTACTCCCCACAGTCACCTCAGGAACACATGGTTCATTTATTTCATTCTCCTCACTAAATTATCTCTGTTTGAAACACCTAGTGCGGGTCCTGTTTCCCCACTGAGCCCAGATGAATAGAGAGGGAGAGAGGGAAAATGGCCCTGGAGCATGGGCCTGTGCTGTGTCAGGGACCTGCAAGCACATTACTTCATTGGAATGACAGGCAGTTCCTGCAGGACCTTCAGGGTGAGTTAGTTTTTCTGCTGGACAGCACTAGCTGTTACAAAGTTTAATACGCCATATTGAGCTGAAATCGGTCTTCCTGTAATTCCTAGGTTTTACTCTTTATTCTGACACTGGAAGCCATATAGCTTATCCAATTTTTCTTTTTATGCGTCAGGCGTTTAGAAGAAGCTATGTCTCCCCAAAGCCTTTTCTTTTCCAAATTAAGTATCTCCAGTCCTTCCAGCCATTTTTCTTCAAATATGACTTTTATCTTTTCCTTCCCTCTCCTAGGGCGTCTTCATTCAATGAAATCTTTGTGTCGATATAACTCTCAAATTTTGCCTAAATGAGAACAAATACTCCACATTTTGTATGGCCTTTGAGGAAGCAGTGAAATTACCACCCTCTTTACTCAAACATTACGTTTGTATTAAATTTGATCATTTGACTTTGTGTAATATATATTTTTATTTGTTTAGTGATGGTGGGCAGCACAAATTCTACTTTTCTCTCATAGCATACTGTGAATATCCCTGTTATTTCCTCCCCTCCACATGCAATGAAGTCAGATCTTTCTCATCCCATACCCCGGCAAATTTTAAAGTAATTTAAAATATTTATTTTTACTTCTACTGACTTTCATCTTGTAATTGTTTCAATCAATTATTCTAAGCAGCTGACGTATTTTTAATCCTTTCTCTTCCCAGATTTTTGCTGCATGCGAATTTCTTTCTTTTCTTTCTTTCTTTTCTTTTCTTTCTTTCTTTCTTTTTTTCCTTCCTTCCTTCTTTCTTTCTTTTTTTGTCTTTTTTTGTTTTGTTTTCTGGAGATAAAGTCTCACTCTGTCACCTAGGCTGGACTGCAGTGATGCAATCAGAGGTCATTGCAGCCTTGAACTCCTGGGCTCCAGAGATCCTCCTGGAGCCTCAGCCTCCTGAATATGAGCAGCTAGGACAACGAGTGCACACCATCATGCCCATCTAAATTTTTATTTTATTTTTATTTTATTTTTGTAGAGACGGGGTTCTCACTATGTTGCCCAGGCTGGTCCCAAACTCCTGGCCTCAAGCAGTTCTCCCACCTGAGCCTCACAGATTGCTGGGATTAGAGGCATGAGCTACCACATTGGCCACTATATGCAAATTTGATAATCCTGCCTTGTATTTCACCATTTAAGTCTTTGAAAAGGGTAGAACCAAAAGCAGAGACCAATATCATAACCTATCAATAATAATTTTTCAAACTAGCCATTCACAACCGTCTGTTACATGTCCATTGAAGGAACCCATGTGCCTTCTAACTAGTCCACACACTAATGATTTGTTCTAAAATGTCCTCACTTCTCCCTGTGTTATCCCTTTCTTACCTATGGATGCTCTGGTCTTCTACACCCCTGTGCGTCTGATCATTTATTTCTGCCTCTGCATTCATCCTCTCAGCTGAGCTCTTTAGAGAGCTCCCTCTGCGGCCACACCCATTTCTTCAGCACTTCATTTATTTGTGTGCTCATCAGGAAATTTTGTGATTCTATATTCAGAGTGTCCCAAACTTTTGTAGCTATTGTCATCACTAACTTTTTTGTTTGCTTTTAAACGTGTGTTTCTTGAAGTCTAGAGTATGTGTCTTAGTATGTGGTACCTCCTTCTTCGCCTTGTGGGGTATTTTTCCAGCTTCTGGCCTCTTTCACTTTAATTTCTGGCATTTCTTGAAAAGGCTCTGTGCCGTTTCTCTAAAGTTAGGCTAAGTTCAGTATTTTGCAAGCTATGTTCCATGAAATGTGAAATGGTATTGCATAAAAGCCATGTTCTATGGTCAAATGATTTTGCTAGATCCTGCGTATAATGGCTATTGTTGGAAGATCCACAGTGTACAATAACATTAAAGGCTCCAAATATTCCTGTAGTAAAAAAGCCAGCTTAACTTTGTTTAACCCAACACCTCCCCAGCTTAACTGACCATAGAACTCTTTCTGGAATATGTATTTGTAGTTTGAGATCAGCCTCCACTTAAAACCTTCAGCTCACAGGTAGAATTCAGTTTGGTAGCATGAATTTTAAGGACAATTTTGTCTATGCATCTGCGTTTCCTCAACATTTACAAATCATGCCCCAGGTACCAGGAACTCTGCTAAGTTCTGAAATACAAAGATGAGTACAACATGGTTCTTGCCCTGATGTTGCTTACGATCTGCTGGCAGAGGATGAAAATATAAATGACTGGCCAGAATACAAGCAGGGGTTCAAGCAAAATGAAATGGTATCATCAGAGAGGATGCGGTGAATTCAGATAAAGGGTATCTGGAAGGGTTTAAAGAGGTGAAATTTTATTTAGACCCAAAAGAATAAAGACAATTTCAAAAGGCCTCAGAGCAGGACAAATAAAAGGCAATCACAGAATTTTAGTTTTGAAAGGAGTACTGGGGAAAATAATTTCTTCAATAATTCACATTTAAAAAAATTTTCCTAACTGATCTTCACTAAGCATGCTCTTTTGTCTATTTCTCCATTAAGTACGGTACTTTGAATGCAATATATTTCCAAGTAATATACCTAACGAGGAATACTTGAAAACTCTTCCCATGGATTGTAGATTATGTCAATATGGCCTAAAATTCTGTTTACGTTTTTGGTAACTACATATTGCATTATCTTAAATGATGCCATCAGTACAATTTTTTAATTGATATCTTAGCTAAACCATACCTCTTCTATCCCATATCTCTTTAAATATTTTTTAATCAAAAATAATACCTCACATTTATTCTAGAGAAATGTAACATTATTACATCCAGTTCCCAGCCTGCCAGTTTCGTTTTTTATTGTGATTTCATCATTCATATATTTAGTGTCTCCCCTGGTTCTTGCTATTCCTGATCTTGTAGGTGTGCTTTCTATATTGTTAAGTAAATGTTTGAATCATCTATAAAATCATTTCCAGGACAGGAGTGATGACAGAAACCTGAGGCCCTGCTAATTCACACCAAGACAACACCAAGAATAAGGACAGGGAGGTACGGACCTAAGCTGTCTCTTCCAGATAAAACAATTAGCCTTGTGCATGGAGGGAAGGCAAGGACAGGGCGAAGCGCAGGAAATAGGGTTAAATGTGTGCTACACCCAGAGTGTGGAGGTAAGGAATGTGTTCTGAGGCAGCCTGGCAGCAGGGAAGCCTGACAGGCTCCGCATGAAGAGCTGTCTTGCCTAGGAGTGGCTTAGAAATTGGACAGCTCAGGTGACATGGGCCCCTTAGTTGGATAAGGAGGTAGGCACTGGAAGACTTTGCAGTGATGCAAAAGAGAGGGTAGGAGCCTCACCTCAGTAAGTGGCAGAGGAAACTGGCAGGGACACTGAGAAGAGGGAAACAGCAGGGAAAAATGCCCTCAGCAGTGCAAGAAATGAGATGGGACAAACCAAGATTGAAAAGTATGTTTCTGTAGCACGGGATCAAATAAATGTGTGTCAGTAACAAATACAACGTAGAAAGAAAAATTCAGCTTGGAGCAGAGTGTGTTTGGGATATGATAGAACTTATACAGGGCAGTGTGAGTTGGTCATGCCCATGGTGGAGACCTGGAGCTCAGAGAAAGGCTATGCCTGGATGTGTAGCTTGAGGGACAGTTCTGATAACTGACATCACGGAAAGACACACACTCACACCCCTGGAGAAAGTGTGGAGTGTGATGAAAAGAGGATGGGAGAAAGAACTTCAGGGGATTGGGGGTCTGATGTAGAGACAGAAGGAGTGACCAGAGGGAGACCTCAGTGAGCGTAACGAGTCAGAAATGGGCAATGTCCTACCTGCCAAAGGATCTATGATTCCAGGGTGGCTGAGTCAGGATTTGTTCTTCCAAGTTCATTTTAATGTTTGGACATGAACACTTTATGTGGACACATTCATAGCAGGGCACTTTTACCATTTGTTAGCGTAAGTTCTAGGGTCTTTAAAAAAGACACTGTAGTCTGGGAAGTATCACTCCCTCAACCCTCAGCTGCTCCTGTCCCTCTGAGGCCAGCCTGGCATGGGAGCCCACCTTCCAGCTGGTTGCAGCTCCTCCTGGGAGGGAGGCCGGAGCATCTCAGCCCAGTTCTCTGCAGAAAGAACCAAGGCAAGTGCCAGGCTCTTGCAGGCTGTCTCATCAATATGCCTTTTCTCCATTTGCCTCCAGCTGCCAACTTGTTTGGGGAGGCGGAGGGATGGAAGGTGGTGTTATTGCTTTTGACTTGACTTACTGTTTTGGTCTTTTACACATAATCTGCCCCCTGACCCAACATTAGCATAATGCTCATTAATCAAGCTCTGGCCTCCAATTAATGGCCAGCTGTGTGGATGCCGTGCATTTAATAGCTTCTGAATCAGTCAGGCAAAAGGTTAGGCAAATGATTTTGGCAGGAGGGGTGGGGAATTCTGAAAGAGACTGGAGGCATGTATCCATGCAGTAAGCATGTTTGACCTCATTCGTGAGCGATTGGAGAAGGAGGCCAGGAGGGGCATTGGCCAATCATCTTCCTCTCGTTCCCCATCCCTGAGTCCCCACCCTACCCCAGATGGCCTGAAGACAACACTCTCTTCCATCCTCCTGGCCTGGGGTCACACACCCCCACATCACTGCCCAGGCAGCCGGCCAAAGAAGAAAGCCCCGATTTATTGCTCTTGGCAGCGTCTAGGCTGGGCATTTCTATAAACCCAGTGCCGGGCTGACTAATAAAACACACACCCAGATTCACCCCTCAATAAATGTCTTTCAACCTTTAATCCTGTTTGTTGCAGTCTTTAAGGGAACATTGATTCAGCAGGCAACGAGGGCTTTTCCTCCCATCTATCTCCCACCGATCGATGTTCTGTCACCCCACTCCACCCAGCCCGACAAAGGAGAGGCCTCTGAGGGGAGAGGAGGGCATCTCTCCAGATTTATTTCACTGCTTATGAAAGGAGTTTTTAAAACTGCCACATGTGTTAGCTCCTAGATAGCTTTTCTGATCCTCAGCTACTCTAGGTGACCTCCTTGAATTTGGAGCACAGGGCCCAGGTCACAGAGTAATGGCACAGACATGTGGAGGAGGAGTTCTTAATACAACTCAGCCAAAAAGGAGCTACATTTCCTCTCTTGGCCACCTTTTTTTCCCCAAGGTCTCCCACCTTAGTTAATAACACCAACATCCTCCTGGTCACCCTGGCGACACACCTGAGCTATCTCTACCCCTCCCTCCCTTTCCTGCCTATCCAAACAGGTCTCACGCCTCATCAATGCTGCCTCTTGGATCCATACCTCCTCTCCAGGCCATTGTCCTGCCCACAGCTCAGACTCCAGAGACCCCCATCCAGAGCCCTGTGAGAGCTCATTCCTCGATCCCCATTATTCCAGTTCCTTCCTATCAATCCCTTGCTGGAACTGCCGTATGGTGCTCTTTCTACGACAGGAATCTGATCACATCGTTGTCCTGATTATGAAAGGTTGGGTAACTTGCCCAAGGCCATACAGCTGGTGAGTGTCTGAGTGAAGACGGGAATCGGGTCATCCGATCTGTAATCTGCTGCTCTCCCACATGAGACACGAACTCCCCTCTTACTGTAAGGAATTTGATTTTACTTGTTTTTGGGACTGCCACATACTTCTCTGTATCATACACAGTGCCCATCCTATTATTGAAATTCAGTAAATATTTGCTCACAGAACATATCCATAAACAACATCCTGAGGTCATGTCAAGCATGAATAACGTGCGTCTTCAGAGAAATCTCTGGGGCATTTCTTTGGGAGCAAGCATCAGACAAATAAACATCATTTGAGGTTTTTAATAGGAGATCAGTAAACCTTAATAAGATTGGAATCAGCTATTTAGTGTTAAGCTATAAATAAACAGAAGGGGACCGTCTGTTCCTGAGACTGTGTAATGTTTCTAGTCTCATAGTTCATAGGCCAGTGAACAGACAGGATGTCTACACCTGCAGTGCATGCCCAGGGCCAATATGCTTCATGCTACAGTGCAGGGAGATAAGAGAAGGGTGCAGGCTTGTCACCAAGGTACACGGACTCCTCTCCCTACGCACAGAGGGACATCCCGGCAGTGCCCCAGGAGAGTGTCACTTCCATCCTGCTGATCTGTTTGAGAAGTCACCATTGCACCCACCTGGCCAATCCTCAGTCTCTTCAGTGGTAAAAACAGATACATACGCCTGTGTTGTCTGCCTCTGGAAATGCCAGCCCACTCCAGCTATATGACTGAATTAGCAACAATGTATCCAATTTCTGGGGACACCTTTGACCTAATTTTCCCAACGGCCACCCAGATTAATGCAGCTGCCAAAGCCAAAGGCCACTGTGCAAAAAAAAAAAAAAAAAAGAAAAGAAAAGAAAAGAAAAAGAAAAAAAGAAACCCAGGACTGATTTATCACCTCCCACCCTCCACTCTGGCCTGGTGTCAACCTCTCCCTTCCAAGCTACAGGTCAGAGGAAAAGCAAGAACTGTCAAGACTTAGCTTAGACTGTGGCCTAAGGTTGATAGTATTAACATCTCATTCAACCGTTGACAAGAAAGACCCTAATAAAAATAAAGGGCCAACCCAACCAGATGAGAAAGTCAGCTCCATGGTGCTGATTTACTCCTTCTCTCTGGCTCTGAAAATCAAATTGAGATGCAAGTTAATTCATTTTTATTATCATCTCAGTCTATCAATCCTAGCTCTTGTCGCTTGTCCCCAAAGAAAATCCCAGTGCCTTCTGTGCCTCATTCTAAATGCCTCTCCAAAGCATCCTGCCACTGACAGGCTGAGAGCCTGGCTGGAGACCAGCCTCAATAGAGACATGTCTTTCAGGAGGGGACTTCTCAGTCCACCCGCTCTTGCCATAGCCCTCGCCAAAGCCCCTCAGAAGTGGACATGTGACCTCCTGGATCTGTCCCAGAATGCCTAGGCTGGATGATAGGCAGATGGCTGGACATGAGTGGTAGCTGCAGGAAGGCCAGAGGTTCAGGCTTTGATCAGAAGACAGTGAGACAAAGCAAAGCACTGCGTTGGAGGGGAGGCCAACACAGAGGCCGGCCAGATCCCAGGGTGGCCCCGAGGTCTCCGCCTCTGGGTGCCACACCCTTGTGGAACCCCTCCTTGTGGCTGTGGGCAGGACCTAGTGACCTGTAATGGATAGAATAATGCAGAAGGGAGGGTGGGGGGCTCAGAGGCTTGTCCTAAGAGGCAGTGATGCCACACTCTATCCGTTGCAGCACTGGCTCTGGGGAAGCTGCTGCGCTGTGGAGGGGCCGTGTGCTGAGGGCTGGAGCTGTGGCTGATGGCCTGGGAGCAGGTTTGGATCCTCAGATGGCTGCAATCCCTGCTGGCACTGTGACTGCTGGGTCTCCTGAGAGACTCTGACCCGAAAACACTCAGCGAAGACCCTCTCAGATTCCCGACCCACAGAAACTGTGAGATAGTAAGTGTTTGCTGTTTGAGTTCACTGAGTTTGGGATAATTTGTTCTACAGCAAGGAATAACTAATGTATGTGGCTCTGCGTTTTGCCTGTATAGAAGGCAAAGGCTTGGTCGTCCGGCAGACAAGAGCTCAAGCCGAGAAAAACACTCCAGGGCCCCATTTTCCAGCCTGGTGCTGCAACCACAAAATTAGGGGTGGGGAGGACGGGAACACTTAGGTTGCCACGCTGTTCCAGTCTCCAGCCTAGCTGTTTTCAAAGCTCAGGTGCCTCTAATACTCAAGACAATGCCATCTGACTGATGAGGAAGCTGAAACTTCGATGATTAGGCCCTGGTAATGAATGTCTGCGGTGGTCCCCATGGTCCTGGTTTCCCTTTGTCTTATCCCAGATGCTCAAAATGCCAGATTCTAACTTGGCAAGAAGACTCATCCTCTTTCTTGTAACATATTATAATCTCTGTCTTCTATAAAATACTCAGGCTTCTAGAGAGGATGGAGAAGAAGCTGGAGTAACAGCAAGTTGGCTCCAGAAATTGGTTTACAAAGCAGAAATCCAGATGTTTTCTCTTTTTTTCTCTCTAAACATCAAATCAAGCAGCAGCTTGCAACACTCTGTGTGGCCCAGCTGAAGAAATTCTAAACATTGCTTCAAGGATCTAACTCACAACTCATCTTAAACCATCACAAGAAAACTCCCATTAGAGCGGGAGAGGGGAAGTGTGTGTTAATGAGCTGAAGTGTGAGAATGGGATGAATAAGCAGAAGCTTGAATGCAGCACGGAGGCGAATGAAATAATTACCCAGCTTACCATTGTTACAACGCAATAAATTTAATGTAATTCCTAAAGGCCAACCCAGTTTTTTCTTTCTTTTTATTTTTAACTCCTTTTTACATTTTCAGAATTATACTTTAATTAGCATAACATTTAAATTAGTGAATGGAATCTTAATTAGCAGAAGAAATAGACTTTTGTTGGAGTGGTAACTAAAACAAATAAATCCACTTCCTCTTTCAAGAGCCGTTTGCTTATGGCGCATTTAATAGCCTAGTGTACCATAAACAATTTGAGGGAAAGATAAGTAATTAAATTAGAAGACATACTGGCCAGCTCCCAGCTCCCAACAACGGCACTTCCTTTTTCTGTCTCACAAGCGCTCCCCTCCTACTCTCTTATCTTAGTGGGTCTCTGCAGTCTGAGAACAAAGACATGGGTCCCTCTGGACCTCTTGGGTGTTTCCCATAATTACACTCTCTTGATAATTGGCAGGTTCAAAAAGCATTACTTTAAGTCTCCCTGTTTGTTTTCCCTCTGCGATGTCCTCTTTTAATTCACTAGGTCAGGAAAAGCGCTAAGCAAATCACATCTAAATAATGACCTGTTAGTACGCACCCCACCTTTCCTTTTTGTCTTTCCTGGTCCCTTCACAGAAGGGCCATGCTTCACTCCACACTGGGGCCACTGGGAGCGAAAACTGGCAGTCCAGCCCCACACGGCAGCAGGGACAGAGCACGGTGACACTTAGGGGTGTCCGTGAGGGCAGACAGAATGCTCAGGGTATCTGTGAGGGCTGAGTGAATGCTTGGAGGCTGCAGAGGGTCCTGCCCACCCTCCATCTCAAATGAGAAAACAGGCACTAAGGACGATGACAGCACATTGTATAGGTCAGTCAGGGAGACAGCTGCCCCCAACTCCGGTATTTTGGCCCTCAGCCTGGGCTCTCTGTATCATAGCCTGTACAAATGTTCCTCAAACACATGGCCAGGAACTTGGAGACTATTCCTAACAAAGGACTATTTTTGACTTAAATATGAGGCAGGATCCAGGCTCAGGGCTTAATGTGGCCCTGCTTGGGGGATGCCTATCTCACATTTTGTACTCTCCTCTGCCCAAGAACCACCAATTAACCGGTAAGTGGTCCAGCCACAAGGAAGAGGCAAGACATCACTTGACATGACAGGACCAGTATTTATTTGGCCACTTCACAAAAGGTCCTTAAGGAAAAGGAGGAAGCAGCCACCGGCGGGGTGTTACATGGCCTGCATTCTGGTCCTGACTTCTTGAGTACTTCTGTGCACACAAAGATCTCCCTGGACCTGACTGCTTTCACCTAAGATTAGACAGCCTTTCAGTGCCCCAACAGGCAAAGCTGCATCCCTTGCTACCAGAGTTCTTCTATGAGAAGTTACCTGACAAACTCACCGGTTGTGTAAACTTGAGAAGTTAATTCACTCCTCTAAACCATCTGCTTAATTTATTAATTCCTTCACTCAGTGTTTGTATTTTTCAATAAATATGTATTCAGTGATCGCTGTATTCCAAGCATTTCTTTAGATAAAAATGCAGGATGAATAAAACAGGCAAAATCTCTGTCCACATGGCTTGCGATTCGACTGAAGAAGTCAGACTACAAAACAAACACCTGACAAGAGAAGACACAGTGATAGATGTTGTGAATAAAACTAAAGATGCAGAGGAGGGATTAATTCAGAACATATGGAGGGGCAGACCTGCCTCTCAAGGTTACTTCGGCAGAGAACTGAATCTCTTAAGGAGGTACAACATTTGACAGTCAGAACCTTTTCCAGGGAGAGGGATACCAAGTGCAAAGACACTTAGGCAGGAACCAGCACCATGTTAGAGTGGGTGAGTGAGGTTAGAGAGCTTTGGAGGGGCAGATCGTATGGGGCCCTTGAGTCTGCCCATGGGTTTTATTCGGAGTCTTAAGGGAAGCTCTAAAGCAGATGTTCCTCCCTTAGAGGGCCGCTGCCAGACTCCGCACCATGAAGCCACCTGCCTAGGACCATGGCTGGCCCATAGAAAATGTCTAATAATAATAACCATCATTATCATATTAATAACTATAATCATGATATGCTAACAATGGCTAAAAAGAGCTGGGTTTGGTAAGCACACAGAGACACACATGGTGTAACTATTGGGTACTTTGAATGTCTCCCACTTGCTTCATTTTGGTCTCATAAGTAAACCTGGAAAATGTAAAAGTGAATGGACCCTTGAGGAATGAGCTGGGCCTCTACTCTTGTTTCTAACCTTTGGGATGTGTCAGGGGAAGGAGGGCCTATGGCAATCTACAAGAGCTCTGGATGACTTACTTTGTGGGAACAGTATGGGGACAATTGGGTGACCAAGAAAAGCAAGCACTTCTCTCAAGGGTATGGGTGTCATAACCAGGTGTAACACTTCAGCTTAATCTCAACGTCAAAAAGGGTGTTCAGCCAGGAATGTTGAACGTACTGCAACTATAGGAACCAGGAGGTAGGTTTCTTCTAGAGAGAGTATAATGAGTTGTCTGAAATGCTCTGCTCTGCATGGGTTCATTTCAGTGAATTCCATTGCCCCAGAACATGTGTCATTCTTACTCTCTGACTGAGAATATCACCTTAATTGAGTTATCATATAAGGATAGCTTTTAACCCAGGTTATGAGGCTGAATGTGATGGTATGTGTGAATGACTTTGGATACTTGAAAAAAGATATTACAAATTAAATTTTCTTGAAGATGTGTGCAAGCCATGGTCATTAGTGTTTCAGATGTATTGGTTTTCATTTGGCCCTCATATTAAGCATATATATGAGGTTCTTTCCCATCCCCATGTTGCAGATGAGGAAACTGAGGCACACAGGTTAAAGTCACTCAGCTAATTTTGAGTGTCAGAGGCAAGAATTGAGCCCTCAAGCTCTAACCTCAGTACTTGGCTCTCAACCACTTTGTAATCTTACCAACAATCCCCAGTAAAGCCAGAGTGTGTTAGAGACAACAGCTTACTAAGGAGGCCCTTTAGGGGGTGACCTCATACAAGATGTCCATGCCTGCCAAAATGTCTACACCTGATCATAAAATCTTGTAACCCATCTAAATCTTTCGTTCTTAAAATGCAAATATGTATGCAAGACGAAACAGCAACTCAGAATTACACTGAGAGATAGATGATTGTTGAAACCTTCTCAAGGCTGACAAGTTTGCAGAGAAACAGGAGGGAGAATACACAGTCCTACCTGTAGGGCCTTAGTGTGGCTTTCAGGCTGACTCAGCCACTTGCTGATTGGATGACCTCGCCGGTTAAGGCATCCTCTTTGAGCTCTTGTTTCCTTATAGAAAACATGCAACTAAAAACCTATCGTGTGAGATTTTTATTAAAATAAAAATGAAATAATCTATGTATTTAGTGCAGTACTTGAATAAAATAGATGTTCACAGGTGGTAATTATTATTATTGTCATTGTTATTACTATTATTATTACTATACTTTGTATCTTATTGCACTGAAGATAGATTTTGCTTGAGGCTTGGACCTCAAGTTGAATAAACAATCACAAAGCCAGTCCATCTTCTCATTCCAGATACTGTTCAGGGGACATTCTTTGAAATGGTCTTCTGTGCTAGACTTCAGGCTCCATACATAGATGCAGGGCCCATCTCTCTGTTGTCTCAGGGACTTTCATGGTGCATAGCACATGGGTAAATATACAATAATAACTACTACTAATTGACAATGAAGAAGGATGTCTTTTTCCAAGGGAAACCAACCTATGTCTACCTATTTCAGCTAAAGCCCCCATGAAAGAAAGCTGAGGCCATCCCTGGAGCATGTTTCTGTTTTAAAATCTGGCATGAGAGCATCTCCTGTGAAGACTCCTCCTTTAAGACAGTCATAAAAATACCTCAATCACTATGTGAACGTGGATAATGTAAGTCACTGCTTACATTGAGAATTTCTAATACTTCTCCCAGATTTAGGATTCTAGAACTTTATAATTTATGACTGGAACATCTGTACGTTTACCTAACGTTAAGAGGTAGCTACAGGCCGAACGCGGTGGCTCACGCCTGTAATCCCGGCACTTTTGGGAGGCCGAGGCGGACGGATCACGAGGTCAGGAGATCGAGACCATCCTGGCTAATACGCTGAAACCCCGTCTCTACTAAAAATACAAAAAAAAAATTAGCCGGGTGTGGTGGCGGGCGCCTGTAGTCCCAGCTACTCGGGAGGCTGAGGCAGGAAAATGGCGTGAACCCGGGAGGTGGAGCTTGCAGCGAGCCGAGATCGCGCCACTGCACTCCAGCCCGGGTGACAGAACAAGACTCCATCTCAACAAAAACAACAACAACGACAACAACAAAAAAGGTAGCTGCAAGTCTGAAGAAAAATAGGTGTCAAAATCTGGGACAAAGACCACTGAAATGAGAAAGGTCTTGGGGTCCAGCCAAGAGAGGTAAGGGGAGTACCAGGGAAACAGTCTTAATTTGATCAACCCAAGAAGACTTCCTGGAAGAGGTGGGGCCTTAGGGAGGTCTTGGTACAGTGGGAAGGCTTAGCATGCAATGTGAATTATATGGAGGAAGTCACTCTAACAACTCAATGCAGTTTGGAAAAGGGTTGGGATCAAAATGAGGAGACTGAACAAAAGAAGCATCACTTCTATTCCTTCTCTCCAGTACTTCCTGTGAGTAAGTCAATGGAAGAAAAAGCTTTTCCAACTATAGGCCCCTCCATTCCACTCTGGCCAGGCAACTGCAAGGAGCAATAAAACTTCAATGGCTCCCAGTGGGTCGATTCGGCAAGAAGGAAGGTGTTATAAATCTTGCCCGATGCTTATGTGCAGCTTAAAAACAAACGGCTCCAATCACACTTAGCAGAGGTAGCCAATTTCCCCAGCATGCGGATGCAGCAGAGGAAGATTTACCCACCTGCACGACTCAGCGGAAGAAGAAGTTTGCGAGAGAGAAAGGGAAAGAAAGGTCAAGCTGCGGAATGAATGTCGACGATGTTGCAATGGATGGTTTAATGCGAAGACACGGCATACACGTGGCCCTGCTGAGCATCCATGGACAGGCAGCAGAGATAAACCATCCCTCCTAGTGAGATGTGCCCTTGAAGACACATTTCTAGCTGCAGAATGACCTACTGGCATTGCTCCTCCAAGCCCATGGGGAGGGCCGCCTGTCCCTTTGGGGACTCCTGTCATTGTGGTTTGTCTTTCAGCAGCTCTGGGCATCTTACTAACCCGTGCAGACCGATGATATATAAACACAGGTTTTTGTCAGTAGCTGTCCTCCATGAGCTCCAGAAACATTAGAAGTGGAAGTATTAGGAAGCAAAAAGCCTTTATTCAGCAGAGCTCCCCAACCCCCAGTTCCAACCATCCTTTAGCTGCTGAGTCTTAGCTCTCATCCGCTGAGCGCTCTGCTGAGCCACCATATCCCTCCATCAAAAAGCAGGACGCGTTCCAAGCATGCACTTTGTTGAAAGAAAGTTTGTTAATGAAGGTCAGAAAAATAAGCCTAGAAGCTACAGAATGCATTACAAGGCACTCTCAGAAAAGCAATGTTACCATATGATTATTAATAATATTAAAAATTACAATAACAGCAAGAACTTATCAATGCTTATCACGTGTCAGACCTAGCGCTAAAGCTCCGTTAAGTGCATTATCCCATTTAACATTCCAATCAATCTGAGAGTTAGGCTTTATTTTTCTCTCATTACCAGATTAAGAAGCTAAGATTCAAAGTTCAGTAATTCAGTAATTCAAAATTCAGTAATTTGCCCAAAGTTACCCAGATAGAAAAAGAAGCTAAGAGCAGAATTAAGATAACCCAGTGCCAAAGTCCATAATCAATCACTGATGTATATAGGAAAAAAAATTAAAGACTATTTTTTTCAAATTACATATAATTGTAATATGCATGTGATATGCAAACTAATTAAATATTAAGATATAAAATTGTTAAAGTTAATGCTTACTGAGTGTTTACCATATGGCAGGCACTGTACTAGGCACTTAACATGAATTAACGAATTTAATCTTCACAATAATTCTAAGAAGTAAATATAAGTATGACCCTCATTTTACAGCTAAGGAATCTGAGGATTGACTAGGTTAAGGTATTTATATAAGATCACACAGTGAGAGAAGCATCCGAGCCACTAATGAACTTGCATCTTTCTGATCCTGGAAACTTCACCTTAATCTGCCATATCTTGCAACATGCCAAAAATCACAAACTGCCGTATTAGCAAGAATCTTGGCACTAAGAAAACTGTTCTAACCCTCACTGCATTAAGCCCAAAGGAGAGGCTAGGAAAGGGTGAAAAAGGGCCAGAATCCTAAGAAGAAGGCTGGATCCTGTCGGAGGTGACTGGTCCTCTGGCACATGGGGTCACCTGTCCTCCACACGTGTGCTTCAGGGGGACCTGAGCCCCAGCCTGATGCTTCTGCTGAGGGCTGTGTGCACTTGTTCTGCAGCTCATTCTGAGGCTTGTGACTTAGCTCCAAGGAGTTGCCCTTTAAACTGGGAAGTCAGGAAAGACTGACTCCAAGATTAAGGGGAGAAAACCAAGAGGAAGTAAGATGTATCATTCGTTACAGGTTTCTCTTAGCAGTCCATACATTGCAAAATGTGCCCATGGCTCCTGAAGTACAGTTGATTCTTATTTTTCACAAATTCTGTGTCTATGAATTTGCCTGCTCACCAAAATTTATTTGTAACCCCAAAACCAATATTCATGGTATGTCACCTTAGAGGTAATTCAAGGATATGTGCAGACTGGTGAAAAATTTGAGTCATCCCAATCTCATTGTCCCAGTGAGGTTGAAGGTGGCAATGCCCTGCCTTCTTGTTTCAGCTCTTATATTATAAACACTTCCTTCTCACTGTCTGTTTAGTGACTTTTTTTTTTTTGCATTTTTGTGGATGATTTCACGGTTTAAAACAGCCCCTACATATAGATCTAAGTCCTCTCTAGTGTTCAAAAGCACAAGAAGGGTGTGATGTGCCTTATGGAGAAAACATGTGTGTTAGAGAAGCTACATTCAGGCACAAGTTACAGTGCCACTGCGTGTGAGTTCAATTTAATCAATCAACAACATATATTAAATGAGGTGTCTTTAAATGGAAATACACATAAAACAAGGTTATGTATTGATTGGTAGACAAAAATGTTGTGATCAGAAGCTCACAGGAACCTAACTGTGTATTTGCCTTAGGAACAATGCTTCAGTGTTCACTAACTTGGTGTTTGAGGTGACCTTATAGACCACAGATTATGAGAATCAACTGTACTGTCGGCTTTCACCCCAGAGAATGCCTGGCTACAGCTTACCATCTTTGGTAGCTGTATGGCCTTGAGGCATCCATGTAAGCCTCATTACTCTCCTTTATAGAATGATGTTGACCACAGTATCTACCTCATCAATTTGTAACTGTCCAGAGATAAAGTGTGTAGCATGGCACTTGGCACCCAGTGGGTGAGAAGCTCCGTGGATCCTAGCTGCTGTGATGGCTGTCTCCAGTATCCCTCATCCAGGAGAAGGGGCAGGCAGTCTCATGAAAGCTGTTTCTCCAATTTCCTTCATCATCTTCAGGGTATTTTTACTTCTGAACATAACTGGCTAATCCCAAGAACAACCCAGGTTCTAGAAGATTTTCTCCTGTGCTGGATAATACAGAAGATTCCAATGACTACAGCTTTGGCAAGTCCTCTTGCCTGACACCTGGCTCAGGAGTCTTGAAGGACTTGGATCACCTGCTTAAGAAGCAATCCCCTCTCTTCCACTTTACTCCTATCCAAGTGGCCCAGGCCTGAGGAGTAGGAAGTCCTCTCTTCACCATTCCCCCACCTTTCCTACACTTTAGTGTGCCCTCCACTGTACCCCCATCTTAGTACAACTCACCAGCCCCTCATATGCAACATGTCCTGTTGACTTTCCTCTGCCCCATGCTTAATCCTTCTTAACACACCCTGTTCCTGGTCCACCCCACATCATGCCTCAGATGGCATCACTGGGCTTCTGGTCTCGCAGGCTCATAAACTCAGAGCCAACATATTATAGTTGCCAAATTATGTTAACAAAAATACTCTCCCACATCAGCGTCTCTCATTCTTTTTTTAATTTTTAATTTTTAACTTTTACTGTAGTAGGGGTATATATGTATGGGTTACATGAGATATTTTGGTACAGGCAATGTATAATTATCACATCAGGGTAAATGAAGTATCCATTCCCTCAAGCATTTATCCTTTGTGTTACAAATAATCCAATTATACTCTTTTGGTTATTTGAAAATGTATAATTAAATTATTTTTGACTATAGTCACCTTGTTGTACTGTCAAATAATAGGTCTTATTCATTCTTTCCAACTATTTTGTAACAACTAAACATCCCCACTTCCCTTCCATCTCCCCACTACCCTTCCCATGCTATAGTAACCATCCTTCTGCTCTCCGCTCCATTAGTTCAATTGTTTTAATTTTTATCCTACAAATAAATGAGAACATGAGAAGTCTGTCTTTCTGCGCCTGGCTTGTTCCACTTAATATAATGACCTCCAGTTCCATCCATGCTATTGCAAATGACAGCTTCATTGTGTATATGTACTACATTTTCTTCATTCATCTGTTGATGGACACTTAGGTTGCTTCCAAATCTTGACTATTGTGAACAGTGCTGCAACAAACATGAGAGTGCAGACATCTCTTTGATGTACCGATTTCCTTTCTTTGGAGTATATACCCATAAATGGGATTGCTAGATCACATGGTAGCTCTACTTTTAGTTTTCTGAGGAACTTCCAAACTGTTCTCCACAGTGGTTGTACTAATTTACATTCCCACTGACAGTGTACAAGGGTTCCCTTTTTTCCACATCCTGCCAGCATTTGTTATTGCCTGACTATTGTGTAAAAGCCATTTTAACTGGGGTGAGATGATATATCATTGTAGTTTTGATTTGCATTTCTCTGATGATCATTAAGGTTGAGCACCTTTTCATATGCCTGTTTGCCATTTGTATGTCTTCTTTTGAGAAATGTCTATGCAGATCTTTTGCTCACTTTTTAATCAGATTATTAGAATTTTTCCTATAGAGTTGTTTGAGCTCCTTATATACTGGGTTACTAATCCCTTGTCAGAGAGTAGTTTGCAAATATTTTCTCCCGTCCTGTGAGTTATCTCTACTTTTTTTGATTGCTTTTGTTTTGCTGTTGCTGTTGTTGTTGTTTTGCTTTGCAGAAACTTTTTAACTTCATGTGATCCCATTTGTCCATTTTTGCTTTGGTTGCCTGTACTTGTGGGGTATTACTGAAGAAATCTTTGCCCAGTCCAATGTCCTGGAAAGTTTCCCTAATGTTTTCCTGTAGTGGTTTCATAGTTTGAGGTCTTAGATTTAAGTCTTTAATCTATTTTGATTCTTGTATATGGCAAGAGATAGTTTCACTCTTCTGCATATGGATATCCAGTTTTCCCAGTACAATTTATTGAAGAGACTATCTTTTCCCCAATGTATATTCTTGTCACCTTTGTCAAAAATGAGTTCATTGTAGGTAGATGAATCTGTTTCTGGGTTCTTTATTCTGTTCCATTGGTCTATGTATCTGTTTTTGTGCCAGTACCACATTGTTTCAGTGACTATAGCTCTGTAGTACAATTTGAAGTTAGGTGTGTGATCCCTCCAGTTTTGTTCCTTTTGCTCAAGATAGCTTTGGCTATTCTGGGTCTTTTGTGGTTCCATATAAATTTTAGGATTGTTTTTGCTATTTCTGTGGAGAACGTCGTTGGTATGTTGATAGAGATTGCATTGAATCTATAGATTGCTTCAGGTAGTAAGGACATTTTAACAATATTGATTCTTCCAGCCTATGAACATGGAATATGCTTCCATTTTCTGTGTGTCCTTTTCAATGTCTTTCGCCAGCTTTTATACTTTTCATAGTAGAGAGCTTTCACTTCTTTGGTTAATTCCTAGGTATTTAATTTTATTTGTGGCTACTATAAATAGGATTACTTTTTTTTTTCTTTTTCAGATTGTTCATTGTTGGCATAGAGAAATGCTACTGATTTGGGGATACTGATTTTGTATCCTGCAAATAAATTATTTATACAAATAAATTATTTGTAAATTTACTTATTAGTTCTAATAGTTTTTTGGCAGAGTCTTTAGCTTTTACCAAATATAAGACAAGATCAATTTGACTTTTTCCTTTCCAATTTGAATGCCCTTTATTTTTTTTCTCTTGTCTAATTGCTCTAGCTAGGACTTCCTGTCACTCACTCTTATTTTTCCACATTCCTATGAGCAAATCCTGGCTAAGGGACACGATTTGTCCACTTTGCTATTATCATGTTTACACAGGCTCTCAATCTCTTAGGATTATTTACCCCAAGGCTCAACTCAGTTTTTCTGAATCACTAGTCTAGTGATCACTCTTCTGCTCAAAAACCTTTAATAGTCCTCCTTTGATTACAACATTAAGTAGTGCAAGCCTTTCAAGGGATGCGGTGATAATACTGGCTTAACTTTCACTTATCTTTCTCTGCTCTTTTGCATGTAAACTACATACAAGACAAATGGCACATTCACCATCCTTGAGCACACCCACCATTTTCTCTTCTTTGTATCTTTGTGTGCTCAACCTAGATTGCCCCTCTGCCCAATATCACCTCCTTTATAAAACCTTTTCTGATTTCCCATCCAAAAAGTGATCCCTTACCCTTCTGGGCCACTATCAAATATTTATTCCTACTTCTACTGAGGCATTTACTTTCAGCTGTAGTATAGAAATATGTAGGATTGGTTTGGCCCCTATTCAGACTACCAGGTCTTGAAGGCAGAAAATGAGTGTGACCCATGTTCATCACTCCTCAACAACGTGCACATAGTAGCACTCCATGTCTATTTTTTGAGAAAAGCATTGATTCTGGATGATTTTCCTGGCAACTGAAGAGTTGCAATTACTTGTGCTTATTTTCAAACAGCTGGTTAATATTTATGGGTCATTTCCAAGTGAATGTGAGTGGAGAGGGGATAAAAATGTAGGCAGTCTTCCCCAGTTGGGCTGGATCTTCCAAGAGAATGGTCTATGTCTCTTCCTTTTTCTATGTTTCCCTTCAATACCTAGGGATATAGAGTCACTGGTACTCAAAAATGTTTCATTTATCCATAATTTTTTATTCTCAAGCACCAATAAGATGCCACTCTATACTTCAATCATCCGAGAAGGATTTGTTTCACTTTATTACATTGGATAGAGAGACGAACAGATAGATGTACAGGAAAAAATCATCCCTGTTGTATTTGTAGCTTATGTACTGAGCGGACTTCAGATAGTCCTGCTTTGTAAAGTCTTTAAGCATAAGTCAAAGCAGAGATCACCTGGAGAAAGCAGAGAGAGGGAATGTCCCAGGTACCTGAGTTGAGCAGATAACATTTGGGCGATGCATTTGGATCTGAGTTAGTGCCAGCTAAGGCAAATGGAAAGGACATTGGCTTATGCCATTTGTTCTCTGAAAACAGAAAGCACACAAATTCATCAGCCGAGACAGCATTTTCCTTGGAACCAAACTTAAGCAGAAACTTACTGTGAGAGATAGTGTGGGGTTGCAATTGACAGAATTTATAAAAAGGGCTTTGAGTCATATAGTAGAAAAATACCTTCAACCCCATTTTTATAAAGGATACAGAAATGCTGTTCAATTGCCAGGTCTCATATTGATCCTTTGAAAAGGTAGAGGCATTACATTAAATCCTGATTTGGTGAAGGCATTTCTTCACAGAAGATGATGCCATTTACCCATCATTAATATGGCATGTTTTCTGAAATGTTTTCTAGTGACAATGATGGATTTAAGTTTATCCAAACCTATGCTCTCACCTAGTCCCTCTTGTCGCCAAGGGCAAGCTCCAGCAGAAACCTGTCTGCAAGGAGACACCCCATCAGCTGCCACTGGAACAAAGGGAGGCTCACCTGCTGACCTGGGGGATCGAACCTTGCAAACATAGACATCTCATGAATTATATTGGCCACCACAAAATTCAGACCTCCCTCATGGCAATTAAGATTTATTTCAGTGATGTTTTCAAGCCTCGTCTCTGATCTTCAGCTTTGATGGAGTCTCTCAGCTGTCCTGGGACTGCCCAATGTGGTCCTTTTGGAAATCAGCTCCTTTGTTATGTCCCAGCGTAGCCATTTCCTGTCTGCTCAGGACAGAGCCATCTCTCAAGGCATCACTACACTGTACACTCCTCCCAGGCAGTCAGGATATCTGTCTTCTTTATACTCTGGGCCTACTACAAAAGTCTGGCTCACAGCAGGGACCCAGTTAATATTTGCTGAATGAATGAGATGCGTCTTCTCTGTTCCTCCAGGAGAAAATGTAAAGACTTTTCGCTAATATTGCACCTCCATAAATTCCTTCTCTCTATTCAAGGCGAAGGATAAGACTACAAATATCTTTTTTTAAAAAAAAAAATCTAAAGAGATGCAAACAAGAAATATGCAATTTTCAAAATAAGTTTAAAATGACCTAAATATCTTTGTTATTGCATTCTTAAGTCTATAGGGACCATGAAGGGTAAGAAACTCAAGTCCTCCCCTAATATTTCTCAACCAGGCCTCCTTCACCCAATTCCAATAACAAAAAATGCAAACACCAACCAATGCTTTTTCATCTCCCGGCCAGGGTCCCATGCCTCACCAAACCTAATTTTCTATTAGCCCTATTTCTCTCATGTGAGTTGGGAATCACTGTTCTAAAAATCCCAAAGAACATAGATTTACATCCATTCTGCAAGATATCTGCAGAAACAAAACAAAACAAAAACATGCCAGATCCCTGGGGACAGGGATATACCTGGTACTACAACTGTTGAAATAGTTCTTAACACAAAATTGGGAATCTTGGTATTCATCACATAATTATTTGTTACTTGCTTCCCTTTCTTATCTGAAATAAATGTTAGGTATGATTTTTTAAATTCCCCCTCCCCCAGCAAAGAAAGAATCAGGAAAGTAACTATGATATAAAGGAAAAAAGGACAAAAGGAAAAATATCCTCTATTTTTAACTTGTGAATTTTTTTGGCAGGGACTAGCTCAGGCCTGCCATCTCTATTGATGACGCGTGGTGGCTTTTGGGCTTAGGAATAAGATGGGCCTGGGTTTGAGCTCAGCACTGCTCTTTACTAAGTGTATGACCTTGGGCAGTTTGCTTAACCTCTTTAAGCATCAGTGAACTTAATCACTGGATGGCAAAAAAACAGCTAACATGTCTAACACAGTGCTGGATCTACAGCAAGCTCTTGATGAATGCCAGCCGCCAGCCTCCTCATCACCATCATCAGTGCCTTTTCCTGCCACCCTCTCACAGTGCAGTTGCAGACCAACCTCATTGCCATGGCACAGCCTGTCTGTGAATCCTCAGGACAGTGGGCATTCAGCGAACAACACAAACACACATACCCCCTCTATCCACTCCTCTGGCTGAAGAAAGGATGCAAGCAGCTGGATACAAATGGCCATTAGTCCTATTCTCCCTACAAATTTAATTTCTCAAGAGAACAGCAGTTCCCAAAATAACCCATGCAGAGCATTCCCAGACACAGCCTCATGCTACCAGATTTCTACTTCCTTAAGCAGCATGTCATTTCTAGATGTGTCTTCCCTTTAATCCAGTTTTCCTAAATTTAACAGATTAAGGAAGCATATATATATATATTATATATATATAAAATATATATGAATGAATTGCTTTTATGCATCTATCTACTAATGCATGCACACGTCTGTTGCATATTGTATTCGGCAAGCTAGACTAACCTTCCAGTGAACTTAGGGTGGAAAACTTGGTTTGGTTAAAGTAAGAGGGCCACCTGTCTTCCATAAGAACATCACAACTCTGCACTTTAGAATTCATTCTCTCAACTATTTTTAGACCTATTCATTAGGCAGCTTGGGCTCCTGCCCATTACTGCTTCAGCTTTTCCGACCCAGAAGTTCCAAATGCCCAGCAGGAGGGAAATAATGTCTTCTAATTTAGCCTCAAGTGAGGAAGTTATTGATGCAAATTTGTAGAATGTTCAAGTTGGACACAACTTCAAATGTTACAGGTAATCCACAACTTTCCCTTAGCAATAAATCGTGTCCACTTGATCCTGACCAACGGGCATCCCCACTAATTTGAATTATTTCAGGGAGATAGTTTACTCAGCCTCCTCAAAGCACTTATAAGTTAAGCAACCCTTTTAAGGTGCTCTTTGCTCCTTCCGCTAAATTATTGGGCAATAAGAGTCAGGACAATATTTTGCATTCCTATGGTGTGTTATGCTCTTCTAAGAGCTTTCCCAGAAATGATTTCATTTGTACTCTAAAAACAACGCTTTGCAGTTCTGGAGGTAGATGGTGATAATGGTTGTACAATGAGAATTTTCTTAATGCCACTGAGCTAAAATGGCAAACTTTATGTTATGTTACCACAATAATAAATTTAAAATTAAAAAATGTAAATGTAGATAGGCAATATTCTAAAGGGAAGTGATATTCTCAAGCCAAACAATCCAGCTAGGAGCAGTCTCCAATTCTCTGTTCAATGCTCTTCCTCTTAAGTGATATGGCCTCTGGATCATGATACAGCCTAGCTCAGGGTACCTGGTTTCAGATGCCATGACTCAAGTTGGGATCCTAAGGTAGTAGGTTCCTGAGAAAGCTGCTGGACCTGTATGCTAGCTAGTCCTATGCTCCAAAAATGCCATGCAATCAAAGAAAAAATAAACCAGTGCCCTTGTGGGACACTGCAACCCTTTTCCTGCTACCACCCAATGGCTTTCCTGTTAACAAGCGTCAGAATATGGAGAAAAGGTTATCTCATAAGTTTAGTTTTCTCCAAGTAATAATCCGAGTCTACATAGCAGCAATTTCCCCAAGTTTAGAGCAGAAAAGTCACTGAAAAATAAATACCAAGAGGACCAAAAGTTGGAGTCCAACTTATTTTAAATATTAGACAACTCAATCACACTCTGCTCTTTGTAGGTAAGACAGACGTAGTGTGAGAGTAAAATGAAATAATTGATGTGAAATATACAGAGTTCCAAGAAAGTAAGATAAGAATCAAATATCCAATTATTCAGACCACTATAAAGAGATAGAAAATGAATAATTCAAAAGGGCAGAAAATCCATATGTATTTTCTGTAAAAATAACAAAGCTTTGTACAATATTTTACAATTTGCAAAACACTCTTGCATGCATTATCTCATTTGACTTTTCTAAAAGGCCTGTGAAATGAACTAATATTATTATTATAATTTTCCTTTTATAATGGAGGAAACTGAGGCATTGAGGGTTTGCATTTTTCCTAGAGCTGCAGTCTGAAAGTGGCAGAGCTGGGTCTCATACCACATCTTCTATTTCTAAATGCTATGTTGATATTGATATTATTATTAATAATATTCTTTACATAAGTTGCAAATGGGATATTGATGGGATTGGTTTTAATATGACAGAGGTTTGGGAAATTCACTCCAAACAAAACAAAACAAGACAAAAAAGGACTCAAGAATAGCTGAGAAGATGTCTAGTTTCTCTGAGGCTGACTCTCCCACTCAAAATCTCACAACTAACTTCCTACTAAAAATAACCATTCTCTTTTAGACTTGTTCTCTTTTAAGCTTTCAGTGAGTGGGGAAATGGTTGAGTGTAAAATTTTCAAAGGCAACCTCTGGGAAGTCCACTGAAGCTGGAGACAATACTCACAGCAGTGAGTTCTCAGTGCAGCAGCCAGGCAAATTCTATAATAGAGTTAGTGCTGATTGTCAATCTTGAAAATCAACTGGGCCGCGAGCAAGTCAAACTGCATAGTCTCCATGAAGATATAAAAAGATTTCTTAGACAGTGTATCTTAGTCCATTTTGTGCTGCTGCAACAGAATATCTGGGGCTGGGTAATTTATAAAGAACAGATATTTATTTCTAACTATCCTGGAGGCTGGAAGTCCAAGGTTGGGGGCATGCATTTGGTGAGGGTCTTCTGTCTGCATTGTCCCATGCTGGAAGGCATCACAGGGTGGGGGATAGTGAAAGCAAGAGTTTCCTGAACCTGATTTTATAAAAAAAAACCCTTCTGGCAATAACAAGCCCACCCAAGATAACAATATGAGTTCATTCATGAAGGCAGGGCCATCATGACCAAGTCAACTCTTAAAGGTCCTACCTCTCAACATTGTTGCATCGGGGATTTAGTTTCCAAAACATAAACTTTGGGGAAGACATTCAAGCCATAGCACAGTGCATTACAAGGATTTTAACAACCTAGATTTCTAGAGAAATCTAGAGAAGCAAGGCAGCTAGCTGTACCATATAGATGATCAGGATGATCAGTCTCTCATAATCACACAGTTTCTCACCTTGGATCAGCATCTCTTTGAAAGGACCAAGAAATATTTTCCCATTTATCATAAACATGTACCTTTCCTGGAGTTATAAAAGTACCCAATCTCCTGGGTCGAACAATATGGCCAGACCAAGACAGAAAGCAGCCAGAACCTAGGATGAGCTGGAAGAGGTTGTCCCCACACAGCTCAGGCTTCTGCTCCTTCTTTGACTCATAACTGAAAACTGCTGACTAGACTGACCGTATGGTTTCTGCCCTGCCCGCATCTGCAGAAACTCTAAGCCATGAAAGCACCTCTAAGCCACTGGACCCAAGTCGCCAAGGCCAAACCAAGGTAGGAGATGTAATGATAAATCAGCCCAAGTGCTGATTTTCTCCTCTAACTTCTGCCCAAACTGGTCTGGAATATGAATCCAGGAAAATCTTAAATTAGGATTCCTACTGGAAGTCTTCTTAACCATGTTCTTTCTGTGACTATATGGCAATTGCTGGCTTGCCTTCTTTACCACTACACTCTAGGCTCTATGAGGATAAGAGATGCCAAATTTTTGTGCAGTGATTAAAGAGCTCTGGAATTAGATTACTTAAGTACAAATCTGGGTCTCTACCACTTACTGTGTGACCTTAGGCAATGTGTAAATCTCACTAAGCCTGTCTTATCATTAGTGACATGGACTTACCTAACTCAATTATTGTAAGGGTCAAATAAAATAGTATACTTAATATATTGACTGGCACATAACAAAGACTTCATAAAATGTTACTCATTGATCTTACTCATTGTCTTATTTACCATTGCATCCCCTTCCTAGTATAGTACTTGGTACACAACAGGCCATTTGATAAATGTTTATGAGTAAACGTCTGTTCAAGACCAACACAATCCTATATAAATATATACATACCATACCTTGATTTGTTTGCTTAGTTTAATTTTTTTCTACTTTGAGTTATCAAATATTATTTAAGGAACTCCAGGGTCTTGGGAAGGGATCAGCTGAGGGAGTAGGCTAAATTGGACAGAATGAACCAAAGGCAGGTTACTCTGTCTCATGGTAACCTCTTAGGAGATTACCCTTTTATGGCGACCTCCTTTCCATTTACTGCATTGTTCAGGGTAATTTGATATACAATGTTATCGTACCAATTACATGTTATATCAAAATTGAAAGGAAATTGGCAAGTTGAATTGGATAAATATGTCCTTTTATTTAATTTCAAATAGGTGGTACATAGAACAGACAAATTCTACTTCCATGAAAACTATTTTATAATTGTGTATTCACATTAATGATCTCATGGCTGAATCCATCCAATTCAACAAGTGTATGTTGGCCAAGATCTACTACCTTCCAAGCACTCTCCTAGGTGTTGTGTTAGATGTATACACAAAAGATAAAACTTAGTCTGCAAATTACCATAAGTAGTGTTGCTTTGAACCATAGACATTTATTCTCTCACAGTTCTGGAGGCTGGAAGTTCGAAGCCCAGTTGTTTGCAGAGTTGGCTCCCCCTAGAGGCCCGGAGGGAGAACCTGTGCTCTGCGGCTCTGCTCTGTGCTTCTGGTGGCTTGCAGACACATGGCTCCAATCCGGCCTCAGTCTTCACACGACGCCCTCCCTGTATTGGCTGTGTCTTCACATCCTCTCCTCTAAGTGTACCTTTGTGTCCACATTTCCCTCTTCATGTAAGAAAACTGGCCACTGGATAAGGGTCCTCCCTAATAAGGTATGGTCTCATCTTAACTTGATTACCTCTCCCAAGATTTTATTTCCAAATAAGGTCACATTCGCAGGCGCGAGGAGTAGAACTTGTACCTATCTTTTTGTGTGACACAATTCAACCTATGCTAGAACTCTTCAGGATGGTGATAATGGGAAAAGGTGCCCTTTACATAACACCGTGTGCCAGGCATGCCTCCACCTCATGTGTTATCCGTCTAATCCTCATGACAATCCCAAAAAGTAAGCAAATTATCCTCCTACTCATTCCACAGACAGGGAAGGCTAAAGAGATAAAGCAACTTTCCCAAGGTTACATAGCCAGCCTCTTAACCACTACGCCACACTGCCTCTTAGAGCTTGTAGAGAAGAGGTCGATTGAGTAGTAACGATAAGAGAAGCATAAACCAAGTATCACGGGAGACCAGAGGAGGCTGATGCAGCTTTAGCTAGGGACATTAGAATTAGGCTTTTATTTTATTCAATTCAAAGGTAAACAAATATTGCCAGATACCAGAGGCAGTACTAATTTTTGAAGATACACAATTTAAAAAATAAAAACAAAGGCACAGGCCCTGCTTTGATGAAGTTTAGTCTAGAGCAGAATAATAAAATACAAACAGATAATATCAATGCAATGTCTTAAAACGTATCATAAACATATGTAGAAATTATGGGAATCATAGCAGGAAAATGGAACTTGACATTTTAGAGTTTCATTATGTCTGTGTATTTTCCACCCTCCAAATTAGATTATAAATACCTTGAGATCTTCCGTTTCTTTTGTATTCATTCAAAACAGGCTTTTACAGTTCTCCCTATACATAGGACACTCAGTAAAAGGGATTATTAAGGACGCTTGCTCAAGCAAGGATGTAAAAATGATAGAGCAAACCTTGTTGTCCCCCAAATCCTTGGCTCCCCTGGCTGGTCACCACCCCCAGGAGAACCTAGGGAGACCTGTGGGCGTTGAGCAGAAGCTCACAGTGTCCCCTCTGCCAGAGTTCTCCAGCAAACTCATTTTGACAGGGCGTCTGGGCTGAATCTGGGGGCACATAAAATGCCAGGCAGACTGTGTCTTGCGGCCACAGATTTGGAATTGCAGCTCCTTCTCGAATGCCCACACTTCTTTCTCCTGCTTTGCTTTTCCCTGCTGAATGGGTTACAAGTAGATTTGGGAGTTTTTGTGATCTGTATGTTTAATTTCTGTTGCCATCTGCATTTGGGTCTTCCTTTTCAACAAGGGACACAAATCCAGCCACCATCAGAAAAAGGATACCCTCGGATAGAAGACCCAGGGATTCCCTGTCTTCATGCAAATCTGCTGAGCTCTTCCTTCAGCCTCTCTCCTGAACTGTGTTGTTTCTTTTGCGTGATCTGGCTCTAGCGCTGGGGGAAGCAGAGCTTTGAGGCTTCCCATATTCCTGCCTTGGGCCACTGACAGGGACAACAGCATCTGATATGTACCCTTCTACAAAAAATCTTCTGAGCCTTCCTGATCAGATTATGCCCATCCCTGAAGCAGTGATTGTTTCCTGCCTCTGAACCTAATGCTCTTCTTCTTACAAGCCCTCCAAATCTAGGCCCAATCTGCCACTTAGTTAAAGAGTTTCATACTCAAAACAAAACTTGGCAGAAAGTGCAGTCCAGGCAAGGTAGAGGCATGACCTCCGCTGGCCACTTATCAAAAAAGAAATTGTTTTCTCCCTTCCCAGCTCTCCCTTCAGTTTGTTTCTATTGCTCCTTTTGTCTGGGTCTTGCCTTGCTTCCACTTGTGTAATCAGTCGGTCCACTGGGTACGGACTGTGTCTAATTGCATGCTGTTTGCACTGCCTAGCACATTACAGTCCTCAATAAACATACTATTATTATGATTATTGTTATGATCTATCATAACAATAATCGCAATTCAGTGCACATTTCTCTAAACTTCGGGCAGCTTGGAGAGTCAAGAACATACACACAGTCCCCTGGATAGCCCTAAGAGCTTTGGATAAGGATCTAAATTTAAGGGGTGCATATCTGAGCTGCACCTCCAAACCTGCAGAGATTGGAGGGTAATTATCTTCCATCCTCAGTGGGAACAGACCATGAGACCATTCTCCTTCCATGCAGAAAGGGAGAATAAGAACCAGGCAGAGACCAGAAAAGATAGAGAAAAGAGAAACTGTGTTAAGCTGTAGTTTTTTTCAGAGACAGCAAAGACCACAGCTAGGGCTGACCCAGTGGCAAAAAGTCTGTTCAAGCAATGATAAGAAAAATCATTTACTGGGCACATTAACTTAAGTTGTAGGAGCCGAGCTTTCCCTGGGTTGCCCATTGGATAAATGCTGTCAGGATATGCTGTGAGCTGCTCCAATGAGATGTAATAATTGAATTTGTTTTCATTTAATTTGAGGGCCTTTAATTAAAAGCCAGGCCTGTGTGTGCAGAGAGATAAAGCCAGGCACATGGAGACTGGGGGTAATTTGGGTGCTGAATGCAATAATTGTAAATTCAGAGGTCAGGGGACTGGCACTATCTTTGTGAAATCAGCACAGTGAGCAGGCCATCCGGCTGGAATGGACTCAGGAGTGGTGGAAACACACGCTTAAGTGATTTTTTGAAACCTTAATCGCAATTACAGAGTAGTGTGGAGGTTAATTTGCAAAGTTCATTAATCAGAGAAATAAATACATCAGTGATCACTTGATGGAAGACAACCTGGAAAGTCTGGTTTTCCAGCCACAATTTCCCAAACCTCCTATTCAGTTTTGAAATAGTACAGAATCCACACTGTGATTAATCTTGCCAACCTTTATTCGCCTTTGAACTGCTAAGCAGTATATTTCTCCCCTCTAGGTCTGAGGTTAAACCCATCCACATGACCACTTCAAAATAATCCAAACATGTCTTGGAATGATGGGGCTAAAACTGAGAATAATCCATAGAATAAATTCTGGCATTTCCTATTAGCACTCAAGGAATCAACAGCTAGAATTAGTATCAGAAGACAGAGTTAGAATTAATGCCCAATATTAATCCCTGGAGTTAGGATTAGAGGGTTAACTAGAGTCTTCAATCTTTAGATATAGTTGTAATTCATGATATAAAGCAATAAAGTAAAGGTTTTGTGCGTACATGTGAATTGCTGCCCTGATAAATGGCATTCCATTAGATGCACATTTTGTGCTTGAGAGAGCTTCATTATGGAAACTTATCCCGGCATGCAGTGGTGGAGTTTCTAGAAGGCTGCTCCCTTCCAGTCTCCCCAGCAGGGTGGAGAGATGGGATCCACATCCACTCCACTACCATCAAGCAGAAGAATTCACAGCTGGTGAGCTCCCTGCTGCAAAAGATGGGTTGCCACCCAATGCAAACCCACACGTGGGTGGCACCTGTGCCCAGACATGTTTCTGGAAGTCTCCTGCTTTCAGCTTATTTTTCTCTGGGTTATAATTGCTCCCTAGAGAAAGGAGGCTGACAGGTCAGAGACTGTGGTCAGAGAGGAGGAGAGTGGACTAGGTCAGAAAGTATCTGACAGAATTGCCTGATGCATTTTTAAAAATACCCATGCTTTATCCTTTCCCCAGACCTCCTGCACCAGGATTCTCAAGGGAGTCAGGTCCCTGGTAATTCTAAATCACCCTCAGCTAAGAACCACTGGACTAGATAAACTCCAAGCTCTCCCCTACATCTGAAGTCATGTTATTCTGGGCCGCACTTCTGGGAGCTGTACATCCACTGTTTGCTTAGCAATTTGCCGTCCTAGAATGTGCAGTAAGCCCTCTCTTAACATCATCAATAGGTTCTTGAAAGCCGTGACTTTAAGTGAAACGATGTATAACAAAACCAATTTTACCATAGGCTAAATGATATAAATAAGAGGTAAATTTCAACCGCATGTTGCTGGTCACAAAAAAAAAATCACCAAACTTCCAAATAAAGATCCAAAACAGTTCTACTATTAAACTTTGAGATGCGTGTGAGCATATACATTTAAGAAAGATTAATAAAAACAGTAAGATAATATTTACCCAGTCTTTGGTGAATCAGTGAGTGACAGTGGTCACAATGGTGGTGAATTAAATCAAGGAATAAACGTTTCTGCAGTGAAAATTGTTAGGGCATCTCCTACTACCACCAAGTTCTAAAACAAACTATTAGAAAGATGGCGGGCTTGCTGAGCACTTTCATACCTCATGGTTTATTGTCATGCATTTGGATGATTACTTTAGACTTTACAACATTTTATTTGACAGTAATTTGTATACATTCATTCATTTTCCAACCCAGTTATTCTAGTTCAGGGTCACAGGTGGCTGGAGCATCTCCCAGCAGCTCAGGGCGCCAGGTGGGAGTCAGTCCTGGACACGACACCACCCAGAGGCAGGGCTGCTCACACTCACCCCCACACTCACTCAGACTGGGGCCTTGTACACATGCCTATCCACCTAATATGCACAGCTGTAGGATGTGGGAGGAAACCAAAAGACCCTGAGAAAACCCCACCAACACCAGGAGAATGTGCAAACACCACACAGACAGTGGCCCTTCCAGGAAGCAATCTTTTTCTCATCATTGTTATAATGAAAAGACATGGAATGAGACAATGCGATTCAAAGACCTGCTGTAATAATAGAGTCTGGGGATTAGACACTTTAGTTCAATCGTCTCTCTTACAATTGAATAAGCTCTGTTATATCTCTGCCAGCCATTGTCCATCCTCTGCTGATGCCTTGGTTTTCACTAAACTTAGATGCCAGACTTCCTGGGTGTCTCTGGACACCTGGAAGACAGAAGCAGTCCCTCGTGCATTCCTGAGCAAAGAACAGGCAGCTGTGAGGGGGACGAGCGTGGGCTGTGGAAGGAAGGAGGTGGTAACCCTCTAGAGCAGGCATCTCTCCCCAGAGGAACCAACCAACGCGTCATGATACCCACTTCGCAGATGAGGAAACTGGGGCACAGAGAAAGATGACAGCTTGCCAGAACTCATCTTCAGACAGCGCGACTCCAGAGCCTGAGCTGTGAACTTACGTCACCAAAGTACTGTTCCCAATTCTCACTCCAGGGCTCTCTGGCAGCTAAGTGGTGAGTTTAGAAAACTTGACAGAGGAAGTAATAATGTGGTTAGAGGAAAATTTAGAAAAAGCTTTAAGGTGAGGTGTAAAAAGGCTAGTATTGCCAATGAGAATATTTACTCCATAAATGGAAGCTAAAAGCATCTAGTCTCCCAGTGGGAATTTAAGCATCATCGACAAATGTTCTTTTACACTAGCTCTAATCACTACCGCTGAGCTCCTGCTCTGTTCCAGATGCCAGGGGTCTTATATACATTTTATCCAGAGAGTTTTCTACCAACCGTAACAGCTGTGACTATTCCCAATTCATAGCTGATGAAACTGAGATTTGGACCAAAGTCTCATAGATACTAGTAGGTCTGATGTCTCCATAACCTATTCAGAATAAGAAATTTCATTTCTGGAGTTAACTTCTTAATCAAACAGTAATCAAGTGATAATCACCTCCTAAGCACTATGCACCATGCTAGGTACCACAGAACACAGGTAAAGAAATGAAGAACATCTTTGTTCTTATGGATCCTGCAGTCCAGTCGGGGAGAGAGACAAACAGAATACTCCATATTGTGTGATGCAGTCTCTTCATAAGGAGAAGCACTGCTGCTCTGAGAACACACAGGCGGGTCACATAGCTATCTGCAGAGGTGGGTCAGGGAACAAGCAGAGGAAGGACGTGCTAGAAGGTGAAGAAGGCAGTCAGGAAGAAGCTGATTGACAGGACAACATATGCAAAGCCTGAAGGATCAAATGAGGGCAATTGAGCTCTGAAAGCTGGAGGAGCCTCATGTGACTAGGGCATAGCTACGGCATATAAGTGAGTGGTGACAGCTGACACTGGAGCACTGGTTATATTTCCAGCTACCCCACCAGCGCCCAGCACAGTGCTTGCAGCATAGACTGTCAGTGCTTTATAGGGTGAATGTTAGAAAAATAGGTGTTGGTTGGCATCAAGATTCCACTCCTATCTCCAAGTGGCCTGGGCTGATGGTTGTCCAAATTCATCTGACGACCCTAATACTCCCATCTCCATAAGGTCTTGGTACACTTATTTTTGGGTGAACCCAGCTCTGGCTATGACTACATCTGTGGTTGTTGGGAGGCAGGAGGGGAAGATGCCTTTGCACTCAGCCCCGTTTCCAGGAGCCATGCACTAGCTGAGTCTTTTTCTCTAGGTTATAATTGCTCCCTCGAGAAAGGCTGCATAGCATGCTATGGTTTCCTTTTCTCTCTGGGTCTATTTCAGGAACTGGTTTAGAAGTTGTGGGGTTTTTGTTGCTTTTTTTTTTCTTTGAGTGAAAGCACACGTTAAGAAAAAAAGTAAAAAAAAAAAAAAAAAAAAAAAAAAAAAAAAAAAAAAAGACCTCTCTTTCCCATCAGCTCTTTTGACGTTGCTGGGAGACAAAGCAAGCAGTAGCAAGTCTCCAAAATGGGCTTTAAAGAAATATATTTAAAATAAACCTCTAAAGCAGAACGGCATCACTTGACGACATGTTGTACATTCTGATTCTTCTCCTTCTGCTGCAAGAGAAAGGCTTTCTTGGGCCTGTGAAAAGGTAACTGAGAAGAGCCTCATTTAACTCTTAGAGACCATGGGACCACCCATTCCAATGACCTAGACTGAAAAATCAGGCATGGTGCCCAAAAGTTACCCAATACCTCCCATTGCTTCCTCAAGCATCTTCGCATTTTGATCTCCCTTGGTTAGACCTGTGGCTGGCATGTGTCCCCTCACAGGACCCTGAGGAATTAGACAGATATTAGAGGAACAACAAATGAAGACCAGGGAGGTCAAGGTGATGCTGGGACCTAGACAAAGACTTCAGTTCCCCCAGTTCACATGGAACCAATAGGGTCCCTCAACTTCAAGGACTAAAGAGGGCATGAATAATGGGTGCCTCGGTGGTACCCACTGGGAAGTACACATGAGAGAGCTCAGGGGGGTACAGGCTTAAACTTGGATTTAATACGATTTAATTTTTCTTAAGTGGATGTCACACTTTTTCCACATCTGAGTTTTTGGAGCAATATTCACACCCACTCCTCCTTTCCTTTGAAAACATGATCAAGCATGCCAGCGTGGCTCTGAAATGCCTTCCCCTAACAGAAGAGGGCCAGGCCCAGGGAGGAAGGTCAGGCCAGAGGTCATGGGAAAGGAACCCTTGGGAAGAAATGCAGTCCCAGGCCTGGCCAGCCCTAACTCTGGGGCAAGCTCATTTACAGTGGCCCTCACACAGTTCCTCAATTCTGGGTCCTGTCACCTCACAGTCTTAGAAGCAGTCTTCATGGCTTTCTCAGCTGCAGCTTCAAGTGCTCCCAGGCATTATTCCATGTTCCTCTCACAACACACATGAGAGGAGGGGTGGCCAAATATCCTCATCCCATTTATCAATGAGCAAGTGCCAGGCTCAGCCAGTGAAGCCCAGGGTGTAGCTCGAAACCTCCGAGTCCCAGGTTTTTCTATGCAGCTAAGCTGCTTGTGGTGGAAGATCACCTAAGAGCCTTCCTCCACTTCATGAGAAAGTTTTTCTGTTTATTGTCTTTGACTGAACATCATGGATTTGCATGTAAGATAAAAATTAGGGAAGGGAAGTGGCTTCCCCCCACACGTTGACAATCAGGAAACATTTATCACCTCTTGCCCTGAATGTCATGGAGGCAGCTACTTATTTGCCACCCCCTCCAGATCTGTCTATCCATTTACCATGGTGGTAATCAGAGTTCCAAGAGGAAACACGTGGCACATTCAAACGGTCTAATTTGAGGAGAATGCAACACTCTGCAAAAGCAAGGGCAGAATACAAGCAAATCCCAAGGTGTGATGAATGCAGTCTCTGGAACTAGTAACTCCAAAGCACTTTCATCATACTAGGCCTGAAGTAGGAATAATCATGAGAACAGTGACCTGAAAAGAACAATTGGAGAGGCCCACCTAGGAGGGGCTGTGATCTTTAATTGAGGAGCACAGCTGTCCCACAGTGAGGCCAGACTAGGGGAACAAGAGAATCAATACCCAGACCTCACCTTCTCCCTCTAAATGTCTGTCACTGATGTCTATGGGTCAAACCAACTGGAAACCAGAGGGTCAGAGAGCATGTGGCATGGGCACGGTTCACAAAGGTCAGTTTCCTGGGTGCAGAGCACTTTAGAGGTGGATGCAGATGGATATCCAACAGCACCTTAGTCCTCATCATCAACCTCATGATAGCTATTCATCAGAGAGTAGAACCCTACCATCTGAGGGGTTTTTTGAGATGTATTTTCTATGAATGAGAACTTGTCGCATTACCACCAACTCAGCTGATACAGATGAAAAATAGTACACGTATGCCCCTATCCTCTCTTCATACACGCCAATAAACTTTTCCACTGTAGTCTGTTGTTTGTAGTTTGTCACTGCTTTAGCCCTGATTTTGAAAAGGAAAGTGGTAAATGAGATTGGAATCAAGTAGCCAAGAAAGTGTGCCTGGAAGGGGAAGAGAGAGTCTGAGAAGTCTCTTTTTTGAGTGACTGTTATGTACAGGACACACTATTCTAAAATTAGCAAATTTGACCAAATTGAAGATTGTGAAAAGACTGTTTTTCACAGAAAATATCTCCCTTAGATGCTTAAAATATCTTCCTTCACCCTGAAGAATCCACAAGTCTTCTTTGGGAGGACTTACATTTCTGTGAAATCAAGGCCCAAATGAGAAGCACCATCACACAGGTTGATGAGTGCAGCTGACCCATAGAACTTCTGCAGGAAGCCAGAGCCTGCAAGACCAGGACACGGGACTGTAAGTTTTAAGGGGATGGTGGGGATGTGGAGGGCAGTGATCACAGGGGAAATGAGAGAGCATGGAGCATTCTGCAGAACTGATCAGATGTTGTAGGGGCTCTGGAGACTTTGGAGAAGCCGGGAGACCGAGGGGTAGGAGTTGTTAAAATTAGCATATTCTCACTCATAGGTGGGAATTGAACAATGAGATCACATGGACACAGGAAGGGGAATATCACACTCTGGGGCCTGTTGTGGGGTAGGGGGGAGGGGGAGGGATAGCATTGGGAGATGTACCTAATGCTAGATGACGAGTTAGTGGGTGCAGCACACCAGCATGGCACATGTATACATATGTAACTAACCTGCACATTGTGCACATGTACCCTAAAACTTAAAGTATAATAATAAAAAATAAATAAATAAATAAATATATAAAAACAAACAAAAAAAAGAAATAGAACAGGATTTAAGTCACAATTTACTCCTTCCTGGTTTGGCCTAAAGCAAGTCTCAAGTGAAGGACAACTGAATGGCTCTTCTCCCTTCATCATGAGGTTCGCTTCAGCTGATAGAAAACTGGGAAGTTTTAGCCTGCATGTCTTTCCCTCTCTTTGTCCTCCTTAACTCCAAGCCTGGGGTCTTATCCAGGATGAAAGCTAACTTTATGCTCCTAGAACTGTGCTTAATTAAACATTTTAATTAAAACCGACAAGAGTGATTGTGGCTGTCAGGATGTGAAAGGAAAGCTGATAAAGTTCCTTGCACCCAGTCCAATTGGCTGCCAGAGGACATGCTGCTGGAGAGAAGGCGGAGAGCCCTGGAGCTGTGGGACCCAGCACAGGAGCACTGCAGTCCCTGGAGGAGCTGCCTCTCCAGCCAAAGAGCAAAAAGCAAGAGGGAATGTTCCCTCTCCTCTTACTCCCTGAGGCTACTTCCATATGTGTGTGTGCTTAGAGCCAGGCAGGTTTAAGACAGAAGAAATACAAGCGTTTACAGTCATTCCTGCATTTTTCCTTTCAACAGTTACTTACCTACAGCCTACTCTATATAAAGCACTCTGGTCCTTGCTCTGGGCATGGGCGCTGGAACGAGCACGTCAGAATGTGAGTATGCTGAATCATGGGGCGAGAGACCCTAAAAAAGCCTCCATGGTTTACCATGGAACTTCTTACCCTAAAACATGTATATACGTGGTTTTCATCCTTGGCCAGCATGACCCTTTCTGAGATTTACCAAAATCACCTTACTGGCTTTTTTGAATTATGCCCCAGGTTGTCAAAAATTCCAATACGCTATTCTGAGATTTGCAGAAGTGTGTTAGGGGATTCCTAGGGGAAAATAACCCACGCCACAGCCTCGCCTTGCTTTCAGTCATTCTCCCATCATGTATCAGACCGAGACCTAGTGGGCTGTTGTCAGCTATAGACATAAATCCTGGTTTTCAGGTAGAGAGTTGACAAAAATAAACTGAAAATCACTGTCCTAAAGCAAAGTTTGCTTTACACACAAACCTCCCACAAGTCAATCTGGCCCTGTGCATTTAGGAATCCATCTAATCCCGCAGGCTTTGAGACGAAGCCAGTTCTCAGGCTTTGACAACTCCCCATGAAACCCAGTTAACAGCTTGGATTCACAAATCCCCCGTTCCCAGCTCTTCCCTGCCACATCAGCACAGTGACGCGAACAGACTGTGCCATTTGAAAGCACTTCCCTGGTGTCTCTCAACCCCAGTATTCTCTGCACCGTCTACCCCTTGCTGGCTGTGACATCCTGACCTTGGAGAATTTGTCACCCTAGAAATACAGACATAGACATAGGCCCAAGGAGTGACATCTGTTGCTAGGAGTGATCAGAAGACAAAAAGAAAATGTGGTGCCCAGCACAGGGGAATTACTTGATCAAAACCCGCCTCAACAACTCAATTCAACAAGACAACAAGAATTGGCATGTTCTAAGTACTGAGAGAGATGTGAATTTGCGAGTTATTTAGAGCAGTACTTCTCAAGCTCTTTCATAGAAATAACCTGAAAACCTTATAAAAAGCAGATTTTTGGCCAGGCACGGTGGCTCAAGCCTGTAATCCCAGCACTTTGGGAGGCCGAGGCGGGCGGATCACGAGGTCAGGAGATTGAGACCATCCAGACTAACATGGTGAAACCCAGTCTCTACAAAAAAATACAAAAAATTAGCCCGGCGTGGTGGCGGGCGCCTGTAGTCCCAGCTACTCGGGAGGCTGAGGCAGGAGAATGGCATGAACCCAGGAGGCAGAACTTGCAGTGAGCCGAGATAGTGCCACCGCACTCCAGCCTGGGTGACACAGTGAGACTTCGTCTAAAAAAAAAAAAAAGCAGATTTTTATTCTCCAGATCTGGTGTGGAGTCCACATTTGTAATCACTCTTTTCATGTCAGGGATTTAGAGAGCAATACAAGGCATAGGCAGTAAGAGACAGAATGGAGTTACAGTCAGGGAGGGTCAACCAGGAGGAGGAAGAAGAAGGCCCCCATCCATGATCAGCAGAACAATGGCCTCTCAGAGGCATCTGTGCCCTGATCCCCGGAACCTGTGCATGTGGTACCTCACCTGGCAAAACAGACTTTGCAGCTGTGATTAGGAGTATGGACCTTGGAATGGGGAGATTATCCTAGATCATTTAGGTAGTCCCAATGTAATCGCATGAATCCTCAAAATCACAGAGGCTTTCCTGAGTCAGAGAGAGGTCATGATGAGAAGGAGTCCATGCTCTTTACTGCCCCGTGATACGGAAGTCCATAGCACGGACAGGACAGGAGAGAGGCCTGCAGCTGATGCTGGGCCCAGCTGCCAACTGGCAAATGAAACAGAAGCCTCAGTCTTGAAACAGCAAGGAACTGAATCCTGGCAACACTTGAACAAGCAACAAAGGTGATTCTCCCCTAAAACCTCCGAAAAGAAACACAGGCCTATCAATATTTTAGTTATACTCCAGCCAGACCCATACGAGACTTCTGACCAATGGAAATATAAGATAGTAAGTGTCTGCTGTTTTAAGCCATTAAATTTGGAGTATTTTGCTATAGCAGCAACACAAAATAACATACTGCCTATCTGACTGCCCTGCAAACATCTTCAAGATAAAAAAAAAACTGATCTTCCCACTTCTAGTCTCTTTCTATAATTGATGGACCATACACAGCAGCTAGGGAGAGGTCTCTAAAATTTTGTTCTGATCATAATCCTCCCCAACCCCTCTCTAAAATTCTTTAATGGCTCAAACTTCTTGCAGAAATAAAGATGTCTGTATAACTTCCCTTTTCTCAGTTATCCAGTCCACCTCTGCCTGTAGGACCTTCCTTCCAGTCAAATAAGCTGGACTAACTCTGCCTCATGGCTCAATACCATCCTATTCAGACCTCACCTCCTCTGGGAAGCCACCTCTAACACCTTGCCAGTGTGCCAGGTGCCTGATAAACTGCTCCTAATCCTGTTGTTTTAGCATCTGTCAGGTGACTGTCCTTGTTCATCTGACATCTGACCATGAGCTCCTTGAGAACAAGGATAGCTGTCTCTCTCTCTCTTCTACCTACACCTCTTATAACAAGTTTCCAGCAAATGCAGGTTGAATGATCACCCACTGTAGTAGAACATGAAATATCTTTGATTTTTTTCCTGGCTCCTGTCACGGAACTCCTAAAACCCTTGGATTATCCTGAAGGATCAGAGAGTGCCTTTTGTTATTCATAATGAGCCCCTGTGATAACACCTGATTTTATGCTAAAGAAGTGACAGGATGGGGCCCTAAGATAGCCTTAAAATGGGGCCAGTCTCTAGGAAGAACAAGTGGATTAGAGGGTTGAAACTTTCAGCCCCACCCACCAAGCTCCAGGAAAAGGTGGGTGGGGGCTGTGGATTAAGCTCTATAAAAACTCTTGAACCACAAGATTTAATGAGCTTCTGGGTTGCTGAACACATGGCAGTGCCTGGAGAGTAAGGTGCCCAGAGAGAGCAGGGAGGCTGTGTAACCCCCACCCCACATCTTGCTCTATCAATCTGGTCTGTTCATCTACATCCTCTGTAATGTCCTTTATAATAAATAAGTAAACATTAAGAGAGTGTTTCCCTGAGTTCTGTGAGCCACCCTAGCAAATTAATTGAGCCGTAGGAGGGGGTTGTGGGAATCCCTGATTCATAGAAGTGCAGGTCAAAACCTGGTGCTGCAATTGGCATGTGTGAACACACTGGGCACCTAAAAGGGACATGATGCTTTACCAACAATGTCTGGTCTTCCCAGCAACTCTAAAAGGCAGGCATCATTATCTGCATTTTTTCAGATGAAGAAACTAAAATGTAAAGAGAATGCATAATTTGCCCAAGATCACAGAGCAAGCAAGTCACTAGCACCTGGATTCTTTTATTTATTTATTTATTTATTTATTTATTATTATTATACTTTAAGTTCTAGGGTACATATGCACAACATGCAGGTTTGTTACATATGTATACATGTGCCATGTTGGTGTGCTGCACCCATTAACTGGTCATTTAGCATTAGGTATATCTCCTAATGCTATCCCTCCCCACTCCCCCGACCCCACAGTAGTCCCCAGTATGTGATGTTCCCCTTCCTGTGTCCATGTGTTCTCATTGTTCAATTCCCACCTCTGAGTGAGAACGTCTATACCCTTGTTACTAGGAAATTCGGGAGGAGACCACCAATTGAATATTTACTAAATTCTATGCCTTGTGTAAGGGGCATTGTATATGTTATTTAATTTAAGAAAAATGTGAAAAAGTGGTAATTGAGGTCCAGAGAAAGAAATATGTAACTCTTTTTCAGAAAAGCAGGTAAATGCATGCTGATAACAATGGAGTAAAAATAAAAATATAGGAAAAAAAAACAGAAAAGCAGGTAAAAGTTTACACAAGCTTTGTTCCTTGCGAGACGTAGGCAATTTCCTCTGATGGAGAAGAATGGGGAGAAGATACAGGGCAGAGAGAACTGCTTGAACACAGTGCTACTTACAAAGTATGCCATCTGTGGTTCGGAGGACTGGTAAGAATATGGCGTGAAGTCGAAGACAGCAGGAAACAATCAAGAAAGACTGGAAAATACTCTCGCCTGTCTGCCATGGCAGGGTCTTCGGGTTTCCACCTGATAGGTGTGGTGATCTGTATCTAGTTTTTAAGAAGGCCAAGTACAAGGTCAACACCATTCTAGAGTGACATGGGAGGTTTATGAAGGAAGGGTTCATCCAGTCATAATGCAGACTAGATTTGATGATGTCTGCATTCAATAGGGGTAAAAAAATTCAAGAACTATTTCAGAAGCCACCTAAATAGATTGGTGATTGATTGGTGGTTTTTAGAACTGAGGAAGAGGGAGTCTTAAATGACTTTGGTGTTTCTAGTATCTGTGGTTGGGTAAAAGATAAAATAATAGTCATAAAACAGCCTTTGCAAAATTATGACAGTAGGAGAAACCTGACATAGTTGACTCTATCTTGCTTCTAACCTCCAAACTGTCCTTGGTCATTCCTGGGTGTGGGCCAAGCTTACTCTGGGAGAAATTTAATTTATAGTTTAATCTTAAACTCCTTAAAGTAAGGTTGATAATAGCCCTTCCCCAAACTAAACTGCCTTTGTAAAATTAATGAAAGGCCACCAGTTTAGAGTTATGAGAGGGGCATGAATTTTGCTAAGATGTAGGCGTGGTTAAACGATAACCAGCCATTGTTCTGTAGGTCATAAGATTTGTAACTTTCCCAATTACTTTTATAGATAACATCACTATTTTAGAACCCAAGATTGACCTTTTGAGATGTCTTTTCAGACTTTGCATTTCTGATGACCAGCTGACTCCACCTGGACCTGCAATTTGTGACTCAACAGGTCCTGTGGCCCCACAGGCACCCAGAGACTGACTCAGTGCACAAGAACCATTTTCCACACACCTATGATTTCATTCCCAATAACACTCCTGTTCCCTAGCCCCCTGCCCACCAAACTATCCTTGAGAAATCCTAACCTTCACCTTTGGCGAAACTGATTTGAGTAATAACTCTACCTGCCATGTGGCTAGACTTATGCTAATAAAACTCCTTCTCTACTGCAATAGCACAGTCTCAGTAAGTTGGCTTTTTCTGTGCAACGGGCCAGGAGACCCTGTGAGGTAATTACAGTCATAGTTGGGAGAGAGTATATGAGTTTGGTTTTGAACATGTGGAATTTGTGAAACCTCGAGATGTCTGGTGTAAACTGGAAAATAGGCATGAATCTCAGGTTAAGTCACTGATAGTGATGTGCTGGAGTCAGCTTCTACCCACTCGTCAGAGCTTATTGCTAAATTTTCAGAAATTATATGAGCCAATTACTAAATACAACCACTAATAAAAGTTGAGTTATATAAACTTTTGATTAAATAAGTTATAGCTTAAAAGGCAATGAATACTCAAAAGCCATTACTTTCAAATTATTTTACTATTATCTGAGCTCTTAAGGTAATTTCTGTTCATTTTCTCTATATGGTGAAAACACTGTACAATGGTTTGCTACTGTGCCCCCTTCTGAACTCTGTGTTTGTAGCCTAAAATTGACCATGGCGAGCATATTTACACCATGAAAATCAGCAAATGCTGCAAATCAAGGCTTGACTGTTTTTTTTATTGTCTAGGCTTAAGAAAGACATAGAGAAAATGTTAATAATAATAGAGATTAAACTTAACATTCTATCATGTCTGTAACCATTACATTGTGAATAGCACAAAAAATTCAGGAAATATTGTTTGACTATTCAAAACCTATTATCTAATTCAGCAAAGAAGTTACTCAGTCATTGACAACAAAAGAAGTTCTAACATGTGTTTTTGTTGTTTTACTTTAGCATATTCAATGTAAATAAAAATATCAACCAACACCCATGTCGGAACTACACTTGTTCATCATAAATTGGCTATGGATACAAGAATTTTGCAAAAATCAGGGAAAATATTCTATGAGAATCAATTAAGCTTTACCGAATTTCCAGTAAAGAATATTGTGGATTCCTTATTTGAAAATACCGTGCTAGAGATCCTTTATGTCAGTAAATGTTATAGTAATTAAATATATACACACATACACAGACAAACACACACACAAGTACTTTTTTTTTTTCCTCAGAGATCTGATAGTTAAAACTTTACCAGCACAATGCTGCAATACTGATCACAGATCCAAAGATACTCCTGAACGTCTTTGGCACGAAGTGCAAATTAATCCTAGCCATGGAGAAGATCCTTTTTAGATATCCTTTGCTGTTGCTTTCTTTCTTTAGGTCTCTAGGACAGTAGTTGGTTCTTTTTAATTAACTCTTTGTTCAATGCAGTATATCAGTTGAATTTCAGTTTGTTTTCAATTTTTGTTTTCCTCTCGTATGCTTCTTCTTCTTTAGGACTTTTATTTTTTTTCTGGCCTCATTGGTGTTAACAACTTATTCTAATTTAGATCCATCTGCAAACATCATTAACATGCTATTTACTCCCTCATTAACACTGAAACATTATTATTTATCACTATCTGTGGTAATGATCATGGGATTAAGGGTATGGAGGCTTTAAGAAGTTTTGATTCTAATCAGGAAGTTGAAAAGGATGCATCTAGGCCTACCCTAAATTGTCCAGTGGCATGTCAAGGGCTTGGGGACTAGGTTTAAAAAGTAACTAGAATTCAGCCTTCAAGTTGAAATTCAATTTTTCCCAATATGGTATTATTTGAAAACTAGAAGGAACATCGGGAGATTTCATGCCAAAATATTATTGGTCCTGGCAGTTACAAGTTCCATTTATATGAGCGTCTCATGAGCCTTCAAGGAAAACAGTAAAAAGGATTACAGTGGCTGATAATTGGTCTTGAAAATGAGATTTTTAGTCAGGTGGGTGCATGGCTGGGAAAAAAAGCTGCAGGAGCCTAGAATTAAACTAAAATAGGAGAGAATCATGGGGTGTAGATTTTGTCCTGAGATCAATAATCAGTAGATTATTGGAGGGCAAACATAATCTGCGGTCAGCAGGGCAGTGTTACCAAATGTTCTCCAAGCTAACTCTATTTAACTCTGTTGAATAATGAAATTTTAGTAAACTGTATAATGATAGCTCTCAGTTGCAAGGGAAAGAGCAATGCGTTCCAAGAAGCAAGATCAAAGCCCAGCTGCACAAAGTCAGCCCACATTGCCAAACGTGAGTGGAAAGGCATCATTTGTAGAATGTGGTCAGCTGTGGGCTCAAGAGAGTGAATTTAAGCAGTACAGGAAATGATTACAAGCCATCAAGATGGAGAACAGGGTGTCACTCGGAGACCAGAAGAAGAGAAATCAGGCATTTCGTTGTGTATGTTTCTCACTAGTTGCTCTTGTTAGGGCTCAAAGAAAAAACGGAAATTATCATTTCTATGGCTATCTACAACACTTTAATTATTTTTCCTCTTCGGATTTGAACAAATTGTTGCAAACTGTAGAGTTGGGATTGTTGATTCAGCAACAGAGATAAAATTGAAAACTGGGAGTTTCAACCTCTATAACCATTGAATGTTAAGGCTCAGTCATTCACTCTTATTTTGTTTCTTTTAGGTCTAAATGAACCCTTTATTTATTGAAACTTGCCTTCCTTATTGTGTATTAAGGAATAACCAAGATAAACATCCTAGCAAACAAACTGTGGCAATGACACCAACAGTCCTTAATGCTCTGGATATCAATTGCTTTCGAGTCTTCCAGCTGAGTCCTCAGGCACCACAGAGCAGAAACAAGCCATCCCTACTGTAACCTCTCGGAATTCCTGACCCACAGAAACAGTGAGAAACAATAATTATTGTCAGTTTAAGCCTCCAATCTTGGGAGTAGGTTTTTATGCAGCAACAGATACTAACACAGCTCTTTCTTTTCTTTTTTTTAAATTATACTTTAAGTTCTGGGGTACATGTGCAGAATGTGCATTTTTGTTACATAGGTGTATACGTGCCATGGTGGTTTGCTGCACCCATCCACCCGTCATCTACATTAGGTGTTTCTCCTAATGCTATCCCTCCCCTAGCCCCCCACCCCCTGGCAGGCCCCGATGTGTTTGTTTGTTTGTTGTTGTTGTTGTTGTTCACTCCCTGCAAACAAAGGGCTCTTCAGTCCTTTACTGATTTTATACCTGAGAGCCCCTGTACCAGGGATCTGAGTTTTGACAAGTGTGTCGTGGGACTCACCACTAAACACGAAGATATGGGGCAAGAATTCCATAATTCTTTTTCTAAGTTTTTCTTCAAAGCCATACTAGGCCATTTTTTCTCTCAGACCAAAGACATTATATATATATATATATGTATATATGCGCCAGTTCAAACCCTTGCCCCACCTCTCTATCATTGTGGAGAGGAGTCTTGGGAGAGGAAGTCTTACCCATGTTAGCTTAGCGTCTTGCTAGGAACCACTCATTTCTGTTTTTAGAGACGGGGTCCTGCTCTACCGCCCAGGCTGGAGTGCAGCGGTGCGAACATGCTCCTCAAACTCCTGGGCTCAAGCAATCCTGCTACCGCAGCCTCCCGAGTAGTTGAGATTATGGGTGTGAACCACTGAGCCCGGCCACTAATTTCCTTTTAATAATTATTATGTCATGAGGAAATATATGCAAACACTCTCAAACTTTCTCATATTTCCAGTCTGTGTAACATTTCAAAAATAATGTATTAATAATAAAGTATTTATGATTTTTATATTACAAAATAAAAGAAACTCTTTTGGAATCAGAAAGTATTCTCAAACCCAAATAATTAAAATCCTGATTCTACACATAAGAAATCTGAGGCTTAGGATGAAGAATCTCATTTGACATCACCAGAAAATAGCTGGTAGCAGAACTGGGGCTAGAACAAAATGCTCTGATGGCATGTCATATAATGAGACAGTGTGTACAAAGTGCCTTACTTCCTTCTTCCTTCTCCACTGTGCCATCCAAGGAACCTCTACTGTTCCTCTTACTTCCTTTAGATTTCAACTTATGCTCTCGAACGTGTTCTCCAGAATTGAGAAATGGGCTTCTATTTGCCTTTCAGGATCTTATAACCATTCATCCTCTTTCAGAATTTATCTTTACATCTTGAAGAATTTTAACTTTATTCTTCAGTACTCAATCATCCCCTTGATCATTTTAATTGCCTCATTCTAGAGTTTTTCTACCTTATTCTTGTCTTCAGTTTTAGCAATTGGAATTTTAGGCAGAAAGAATGAAGTTCTGAGGGATTTCCACCTGACAATGGGCATCTGTTGGTCATGTGAGCTAGCTGCAGATAACTGAGAGTGGACAGTAACTCCAAGCTTCTTTCCCTAGGTAGGAGATAACTCAGAGAGTTCCGCCTGCAATGCATCTGCAGGCAAATCACTGAAATTCTCTGCACTCTGTTAGGCTCCTGGCAACAAGCAGTCATAGAAGCTCCCAAACTGGAGAAAAGAAGTCCTAACGAGAAGTCCTCAAAGGAATTTAATTCCTTGGAAAAGCAGATCTGTGAAAGATAGGAAGCAATGATGAACCCAAGAGGAATAAACACCTTTGCTGAGTGGTTGTGGAATTCTCAGTGTTATTTGTGGTGCAAGCGCCCTGAGAGACTGATACAATTTGGATGTTTGTCCCCTCCAAGGTGCATGTGGACTCCCAATGTTAGAGGTAGGGCCTGCTGGGAAGTGTTTGGATCATGGGGACAGATCCCTCCTAAGTGGCTTGGCATGCTCTCCACAGTAATGAGTGGTAATGAGTTCATGAGAGAGCTGGTTGTTTAAAAGAGTGTGGCACCTCCACCCCCTCTATTTGGCTCCCTCTTTCACCATGTGACAACCTGGCTCTCCTTTGCCTTCTGCCATGATTGGAAGCTTTCTGAGATCCTCACCAGAAGCCAAGCAGATGCCAACACCATGCTTCTCGTACATCCTGTATAACCATGAGCTAATTAAACCTCTGTTATTTATAAATTACCCAGGGTCAGATATTCCTTAATAGCAACACAAATGAGCTAACACAGAGATATTCAGTTTTTCTGATGGCAAGAGCCATTTCCTATATTATAACCTGCTAATCCTTATTAACAGAAGAGATGATTCATTGTTCAAAACCAGAGTGAACCCCAGCCAAGTCTCCCTTTCTGAAGAGGGCCCTTTGCTTGGGCTCTCCTGCCTCAATTGCATCATTTGCTGCAGGAACAAACACAAACAAGCTCCTTTTCTCCTTGGAGGGCATCTACACCACCCTTTCAATCATTGTATTATTATTATTAAAATAGTGTTTATTTTCTGTTAAGAAGAAAGTTTATTTTAAATGTTTGTAGAAAATACAACCTGTAATCTTATAACCCTGAGATAACCACTTATAAAATTTTGCAATATTTTCATTCAGGCATAGGTACTATAATTTTATACACTTTTATGTCCTACTTTCACTTAGCTTGGAGAGAATTTTTCCACATCATTAACTATTTCTAAAAAACACAATTTGTCCTAGTTACACACAGTGTCCCATCCTGTGGCTAAATCATAATTTATTTTCTGTTTGCCCATTTAAAGTCACTTTGTTTACCTTGTATTTTCTATTCTAAAAATGCCGTGATAAACATCTATGTTCATCTTTTGTTCGTGTCTTTGATGATTCTGAATGACTGATTGCTGATAATAAAACTACTAGTTAAAAGATTATTTTGAGGTCTTTAATACATATTGCCAAATGAATGATAAGCTTAATTAAACTTTGCAAAACAATGTATGCATCTGCTGCGGAGGTAGCAATATGCCACAAATACTAAAACAAAATAGAAACAATCCACACCATAATCTCCCCTGGGGGCTGAAACTATCTACAGCCAAACAGCTTATAGTCCATAAAGCATGATTTTTCCTATTTGATACTCTTCATTAACATGACATGACTATTCCAGGAAATTCTTGACCCAGAAGATTAAGTTGGAAATAACTTTGAAAATTCATTGACTTTCCACATCTCTTCATCAGAGTAAATAGCTTCCTTCTTAGAAAGATAGATTGTTCAGCTGGAATCATCCAATTGTTTACTCTGAGGTTTGCTCCAAAATCCTCACCTGAGTTCACCAGTCCTGAACTATTATATCACAACTTTGGCCCAGTCCCAGTCAGACCTCCTCATAGAAACACCTGCCTTAAACGAGACCCCTCCAAATCACATAAATATCTCATCTTTATCCTTCCTTTTCAAAGACAGTGCTAAAAAGGCAGTGGTCTTCCTTATTACAGGAAGCAATACACTTGGCTTTGCTTGACCCACAAGCTATTTTGTGGTCTCCTTGGGGTGTTGCAGGTTCACTGCCCTTCCGCAATTGTGAAACATGGCAGCTTTTGTTGAGCTCTTCTGTGACCCAGGGCTTTGTCTTCATTATAGCATTCCATCCCTACAACAGCCCTGTTAGTTGAGCACTGTTATTCAAATTGCCAAATGTTACATCTTTAGAAAGTGGCTTTGTGAACTCTGCCTTAGCATGTAATAGCTCCAACAACTTCTATCCTTACAACACCCAACTAGACACCTCCCAATTTGGTCAGGGGAGGTCTAGTCCTGCATCTTCAGTGCCACCCCTATATTATCACATGGAGTAGGGGTCTACAGCACCTCAAGACAGTAGGTGCCAAACTGGGTGATTTTTTCCCTTTCTTAAAGTGCTTATTATAAAATTTTCTGTACATAACAAAATAGAGAATAGTAAACACGAATACATTCATCTCCTTGATTTAACTATTTTTAATATTTTTCACCTATAATTCATTTTCACATTGCATTTTACTTCTTACCTATGCATTTCTTAAAAATAAAATAAAGACCTTTTCCTGTATAACAATAATTATTTTCCTTTAAGAAAATACTCTCCCTCTGGCAATGTGGCAAATATTTTCATCAATTTGTGCTAGGAAGTTGAGCATTGATTTAGACTCCTCATATACTTTTGTTCTTTCCACCCAAGTCCCAGTTCACACCTTTGTACTTATATACAAATCCATTTATTTTCCATAGTATAGATTCTGTCTCCCTAATGCATCTGTGTCTGCTTACTTCTTGCTCCACTCCCAAAACCAGAGACTGACAACTTCTCTTGGACAGCTGAAATTATCTCCTAGTTGAGCACTCTGTTACACTCAGACCAGATAAGGTTCTTAAAATACAGTGCTGACTGAATATACCCATCTTTTTGGAAACATTTCAGTAGCAGATTTTTTTTTAACCAAACTAGCAGCTCCTGATGTTATCTCTATCAACTTTCTACAAAAATGTTTATTGAGACACTGCAGGAAAAAAGGAAAAAAGAAACACACACACACACAACAACTCCCCAAAAGCAGACACAGAGATACTCTATTTTTTCTGTTCTATCTCCCTGTCCTAGAATCTGGGAGCAACTTCTGCGCGTTGGTAAGGTTGAAGACGCACTCATGATAAACCAGTGAAGGTGCAGTTTGATGGGCTCAGAAGAAAAGAGAAAGCTGCACCCTCTCTCCTCCTCTGCCCCAGGCCCCCGACGCCCACACCAACCTGAAAACCATGCAAGGAGGCCAAAGTCCTCCTGCCACAAATGTGCTTAGCAAAGGCTGTCATCAGGAAAGAAACACAGCGAGAGAGCAGACGCCAATGGTGATTCTCTTTTAGATGCTCCCTGGTCTCTCCCTTCACACGTGGTAGAAAGAGGAAGAGCCTCAGAATCAGTAAACACTGGAGGCCGCCATTTTCACATTCCCCAAAAACATAACAGAAAGCAAGGTTAGAAATAGTAGTATGAGTCAAAGGGAATTCAAAGTGTGAGGGAACTTTATAGATGCCAAATATTACAGTGAAAATAGGTATATCTGTTAATGAATAGGTAATTTTCAAGAACATTTATGCAAAAAATATAAAAATCAGTGTAGAAAGTAAAGCAAACAAACTGTTGGCAGTATGAGGCAAAACTAGCAGAAGTACTATTACGGGAGACTTTAACATCCTCAAATATAAGATAGGCCTCCAATGAATGTAAGGATATAGATAACTTGGTAATGTAATTAACAGGCTAAATGTAAAAACTTGCCTTCACTACAGTTAGAGAAGTACCTCATTTTCAAGTGACCACGGACCTTATAAAACCTAATCTACCATATCACAAAAAAGGCATCAATAAATTCTTAGTAGCAGAAATTACACTGATCACATTTTTTGACCACATTACAATAAGAATAGAAAAATAAGAACAGTAATTTAAACACAAGAACAAAAACTTAATAAGCAGGAAATTAAAAATCACCTTCCTAAATTAATATGGGATCAAAGGCAAACTGAAATAGAAGCCACTTTGCAGAGCGGGGCCGGGGGTGGGGGGGCGGGGTTCAAAAAAACAAAAATGAAGACAAAACTTACCAAAATAGTAGTAAACAAATCTTAAATGCTTTACTATTAGAAAGAAAAATTTAATATCAATTAAGCAAGTTTCCTGAAAACTAACAGGATAAATAGAAAAAATAAAAATGAGCAGAACTGGAATGATAATGAAGCCACAACAACAGATTTAGAAAATATTCTTTAAATCATAAGAAAATGCTACATACAATTCCAGTTATAATTTGAAAATTAAATAGAAATAGGCAATTTATTGGAAAAAAAAACTATCAAGTTTTTTTTAAAGTGGTAGAACACCGAAATACACCAATAATCATGAGAAAGACAATAAATTATCAAAAAAGTTTTGGGGCTTTGGAACCAGGTAGTTTTTAACAATAAATTCTGTCAAATTTCTTAGGAGCGTATACTCTCCATGAAAATATCTATGTGCATATATATGTAAGCCCACACCTCTACACACACGATTATACTCACATCCTGCCTTCTATCCTGGAACAAGACAAATTGCTTCCTACTTTATTTCATAAAAGTTCCCATTCTAACACTGGATAAAAGATAACACCAAGATGAAAACTATGGAACAGACACAGTTACGAACATAGATGCAAAATCCTCATTGAAACATTAATAAATTAAATTCAATAGTATGTCTTTAAAAAACCACCCACTGCAACCGTTTATTTAGTTTAGTATTGGAAAATCTATTAATCAAATTAATAGGTAATATTAGCTCAACTGATGGAAACAAAAAGCACAAGACAAACCTCGACTTTTTCTTATTTTTTCAAAAAAGTGCGTTGTAAATCAGGAATGTAAGGATACTTTCTTAATGTGACAAAGACATCCACTTTAAACCAGCAGCGTGAACAAGGAGAGGAAGACCAACAGGCTAGTGACCACTACTACCATTCAATACTCTGCAGAAGTTTTAGGCAAGGCATTGGTAGCATGATGAAAAGGGGATAGAATTATCATTATGTCTCCTTCAAAAACCCAAGGAATAAACTGAAAATCTACTGCCAGTAATAAGATTATTGAACAATGTTGCTGATAGATAGAAATTTGAAAAAATAACTATTTGAAAATAATCTTTTAAAAATACATAATGGAATAAAATAGCAACAATAGAACAAAGCAGGAAAAAAAGCATAGACTACAACATGTAGGATTAACTTAAACAAGACACATGTAAGAACTATAGAAAATATACAATCACAAAACCTATGTCAAAAAGAAAATGAGCTTCAATAAATGAAGAGGCATACTACATTCTGGGAAAGGAAGAGTGAATGATATAAAGATATTAATTCTTTGCACATGAATGTCCCTGTATTATGAAATTCCAATAAAAAAATCAGCTTAATTTTTCTTCTTTGGAAACATGATGAAGTACTTTTAAAGTTAAGCTGGCATAAAAAGCCAAGAATAACTAAGGGAATTTTATTAAGGAAGAATAATAAGAAAGGCCTTCTACACCAGACATGAAATATGTTTAACAAAATCTTAGTGATTCAATCAGATCATACGAGTTCAATAATTGACAGAAGGATCAGTGCAAAGAGATGAAATGTGAGTAGAATTAGACTCTGATATATACAACAATGATAAGAGTAACATAGTGGGTATGGAAAGGGAATGGAAGGAGTGGGGGAAGAATACAATTTCAAATAGGATAATAAGGAAGCCCTCTCCAGGAAGCTAATTTTGAGCAAAGATTTTAAAAAGATGAAGGAGTTACCCATCCATATATCTTGGGACAGAGCCTTCCAGGAGAGAACAGCAACTGCAAAGCCACTGAGGTGGGAACCAGTCTGACGTGTTCAAGAGAGATGAAGGAGACCAAATCTTCCTCTTGCTCTAGTAACTGAGGCAGGGAAATAGTAGGAAATGGGACCAGAGACAGACTGGGGTGAGCTGGGGATTGGATCATATAGTCTTTTACACCATTATCCAGATTTCACTTTTTACTCCAAGTGAGATGGTAAGCCATTGGAAGGCACGGGACAGAGGCATGGCAGGATCTGATTTCCATTTTTAAATGATCACTCCAGTTTCTTTGTTAAAAATAGGCTGTAAAGAAACAAGACTAAAATTGGGAAGACCAGTGGAAGGCTATTGCGAAAATCCAGCCAAGATATGATGAACAAAGTAGCAGTGCAGATGGTATGGAAGATTTTGCAGAAGGTAGAGTCAACAGGATTTACTGAAGGTGTGAAAGTGAGGTATGAGAAAAAGAGAAGGGTCAAGAGTGACTCCTAAATGTTTGATCTGAGCACCTGAAGGATGTAAGTTTCCATTAGCTGAGTTGAGATGACCTCACAAAAAGCGGCCTTGGAAAGATCAGGAATTTAATTTGGGCTATGACACATCTAGCATGCTCATTTAGACATCTAGGTGGAAATGTTGAGAAGGTTGTTGTATTAATATATACTTTAGAGTTCAGGGGAGAGACACAGACTACGATCATAGACCCTGAAGTCATAATATACAGATTTTATCAGGAGCAGTGAGTCTGGATGGAAGCGGGGTAGAAGTGAGCATAGAGAGAAAAGTCCATGGGCAGAGGCCTAGGTCCTGTCAGCACTAGAGGCAGGATTATGCAGAGGAGAGGAGAGAATTGCCAGTGAGGTAGGAGGTTGTGGTGATGAAACTGTTGCTGCAAGAGACGGTTAAGCTGTGCAAATACCGCTGACAGATCAAATCACATCAAGAATGAAAACTGGCCAATGGAGATAATAATGGGGAAGGCATTGATGACTTGATAAGAGGTGTTTTGGTGGAGAGGTGAGATCTAAAAACTACAATGGGTTTTAAAAAAAGAGGAAAGAAATTGAAGTCTGCCAGCTAAGACTACTAAGAGCATTGCTTTAAAGGGAAACAAAGAAATAGGGAAGAAGTTGGCACTACAGGCAAGGTTCAACATTTGGAAAACAAAATTGAAATAAATCTTCACATTAGTACATATGGCAAAGAATATTCCAGATGGCCTAAAGAGTTACATGTAAAATAATAAAATATTAAAACACTTACAGACAATATAGGTGAATAACTATCTAATGTTGGGATGGGGATGGATAATCTAAGCACAACAGAAAAGAAAAAAATGTACACGTACAATTCATTGGATTGAAAAAATGCCAGGAAACCATAAAATAAAAGTCATACATATTTGAAGAATACATGACACAAATATATTATACAATACTACCGTCCAATGCATTTAGAGAAAAATGCTGAAACACCAAGGGAAAGTTCAGCAAATATCACAGACAAGAAGCAATGCCACTGCCTAATGTGAGAAACATTCAAACACATTTGTAAATGTAGAAGTTACAATCACAATACAATCACAATAAAATGAGGTAAATTTTTTAACCTTCTTAAAATATTATCAGAAGTTGTCAACCTCTAAAATTAGTTCTTATACTCAATATTGGCAAAGTTTGGTTGAGTGTGTGATCACAGTGTTAATTAGGTAAAATCTTACCAGAAAGCAGATTGGCTTTATTAGTAACTTTAGAAGTTCATGGGTTTCGAACGTTAGTTTCACTTCTAAAAATTTTCATTAAGAATATGATATAAACACAGAGGCAAAAAAGCATTTATCAAGTACCACATCTGATGCTTAAAATTAACACAAACTAAGTATCTTCATTGCAAAATAAGAATAATAACTATCTCATGCAGTTCTTAACATTAAATAAATATTTATAAAGTATTTAGTATAGTACCTTGACATATAATTAAATGTTATTTATTTAAAATCATTCGCTAAATCCTAGTTAAACGTCATTCGACAATCATTTGTTGAGTAGGTAAATAAAATAGTCACATTGTGTCAATTGAGAAAAGATGCAAAACTATATGTATTGTATGAATCTCAATTTATATATATAATTATCTGTCTTTTGAGAGAGACACAGCTATTTGTTTTACAAAATATTACTATTAAGTCATTTGAGCCTAACTACTTACTACAATAAATACCATATGTATTGTATGAATCTCAATGTTTTTTGTTTGTTTGTTTGTTTTCGACGCGGAGTTTTGCTCTTGTTGCCCAGGCTGGAGGGCAATAGCGTGATCTCAGCTCACCGCAACCTCCGCCTCCTGGGTTCAAGAGATTCTCCTCCATCAGCCTCCTGAGTAGCTGGGATTACAGGCATGTGCCACCATGCCCAGCTAATTTTGTATTTTTAGTAGAGACGGGGTTTCTCCATGTTGGTCAGGCTGGTCTGGAACTCTCCACCTCAGGTGATCCGCCAGCCTCAGCCTCCTAAAGTGCTGGGATTACAGGTGTGAACCACTGCGCCCCGCCGAATCTCAATTTATTTTATATATATATATAAAATATTTATATATAATATATATAATAAATATACATATATTTGAGAGTCATACAGTATATATGGTTTTGCAACTTACTTTTTTCAAAAGTATATATTTCATTTGACATATACAGGTAAAAAATTGGAAGAAAATATATCAAAATACGTACGGTTCTCTCTGGATAAGAGGAATCGTTATTACTACTAAGAAATCAGTTCTCAGAGAACCAAATACTGCATGTTCTCACTTCTAAGCAGGAGCTAAATATTGAGTACATACGGACATAAAGAAGGGGACAGTAGACACCAGGGCCTACTTGAAGGTGCTTTGTGACAGGAGGGTGAGGATTGAAAAACCACCTGCAAGGTACTATGCTCATTACCTGAATGTAAAATAATGTGAACACCAAACCACCGCAACACGCAATTTACCCACGTAACACTCTGAACCTAAAATAAAAGTTGGAAAGGAAAAAAAGAGAAATCAGTTCTTAGTCTGTCTTTACTCTTAAGGTCATTCTATTTTTGCTGTTCTAGAGTTTTGGTAAAATATGTCTAGATATGTATTTTACTGTATCTATTTTTTTAAAAAAAACACACTTTTTTAGAAATGGGGACTTACTGTGTTAATCGGATCTTACTGCAGGCTGGAGTGCAGTAGTGTGATCAAAGCTCACTGTGGCCTCAAACTTCTGGGCTCAAGTGATCCTCCTGCCTTTGCCTCCCAAGTAGCTGGGATTATAGGCACGAGCCACCATGCCCAGTTTTTTGTATTTATTCTGCTTGTAATTTGTTGTTCTTTCTGAATCTATGAATTTTGTGTTAAATCTGGAAAATTGTCTTGCCATGTCTTTTCCCTTTCTTCTTCTGGAACTTCAATTAGGCATATGTTAGACCTACATGGGAGTCTCTTTCAGTTGTCTTTGACATTTTCCATTTTTTTGTTTCTTTATTTTACATCCATGGTTCTCAAACTACAGGTGAAGGCATACTGGGAAACCAGAGTGAATTCACAGGAACACTGTGGGAATGTTGCATTTTTGAGAGAGACACAGCTGTTCGTTATATACCATGCAAAATACTAAAATTAAGTTGTTTGAGCCTAACTACTTAATAAAAGAAATGTTGGGAATTTCTTTTGCTTTGGGGATACTATAAAAAAATCATTCAGGCACTAACCCATGAATGGTGCCATGAACCAAGGAAGTTTATGAATCTCTATTCTAGATTTTTGGTATTTATTTTCTCAAGATTATCTTCCAGTCATGAATTCTTTCCACAGCTGGAACTAATCTGTTTTGTATCCATCTATTGAAATTTTACTCTCAATTATTACGTTTCATATTTCTACGAAGTTTTATTTGGTTACTTAAAAATATTACTAGGAGAATGGCGTGAACCCGGGAGGCGGAGCTTGCAGTGAGCCGAGATCCCGCCACTGCACTCCAGCCTGGGCGACAGAGCGAGACTCCGTCTCAAAAAAAAAAAAAAAAAAATATTACTGATGGATTTTAATGTTCTCTTAATCCTAAATTATATTCTGACAGCCATTTTTATTTCTTTGCGCATAATTACACACATATATTTTATATTCTGCTTTTGAAAAATTGCCCCAGTTGTAGTTTTCAAAGTTCCTTTTCTACACTATACTATGAGCACTGACTTTTCTTCATGGTGGTCTGTTTCCTCATGTACGTGATGAGCTACATGTTTTACAAAATTGTGGAAATGTTAGCGGTGCCTGCGATTAAAGTGCATTCCTTCAGTGAGGATTTGCCTTGTTTTTACCAAGGATTTGAAGTCTTACCAACCTATGTCCAAGCTTACGACATGGGAGCCACACAGGAGTCGTGAATTAACACTCATGGGAGAGCAGTCTTCCAGTTAAGGATCCCAAGAAGCCTCTCTTGCCCCTCCATCCAGAGACATCTTCAACCCAGCCAGGTAGTCCCACTCTCTCCTTCTGCAAGGCACATCTTCCCCCTTAACCCACTTCAGGGTTTTGCCTTTAGGGTCTGTGGCTCCAGGATAAACTCTGTAATCTTCCCGGCCATTTTACCAGCTCCCAGGCTTTAGCTCATATCCACACAGAATCCCTCAAACTTGCACTCTAGGGAATGAGGCATCAGAAGCCATCCTAGGGCAGAACCGGCTTCACCATAGCTTATCTTTCTGAAGTAATATTGTTTTGTTGCTTTGTGCTTCTTGAACTTTCCCTTGCTTTCTTGCCAGATCACTATGCATTTTAAAATACTTTAAATATATTTTTCATAGTATTTCTAAACACACTGGGATTATTTCTGTGTATGCCTCATCTTACCATATTTCCAAAAAAAGGAAAGCATTTTTTTGTATTTTTACATTGAGGAGAAATTACCTTTATAGTTAGGTGGGATTACACTATTCACTTTCCTCATGAAAGCTCCCTGCCTCCTCACTCACGTCTTCGCTTATTCTGTTTCCTCTACTCAAAATGTCTATGATGTCTATGTCTGTGACATATTTCTAAGTCTTACCTATCCTCAAAGTCCGGAAAAGTGCTGCCTCCTCCCTGTAGTCTTCCTCAAACTCCCCTGCAGCTTCTGAAGTTAAGTTTACCTGTATCTTTCCTTTGAGTATTTGTCACTTTCTCCCTCATATTGAATATATATCAGACCTTGCTCATTTGTGTATAGAAGTTAGCACTTCAACTATTTACAAAGGCTTCAAATTTCATCATGGATATTATATTTTAATTTTTGTGAGGCCCAAATTTGAATTCAATACTCCATGGCTGAAGTTCAGAAGTGACTTCTATAGCTTGTGAGAGCAGCTGGGAAGGCCCAGGGCACCCATTACCAAGTTTATCTGCTTAGCTCCATACACAGGCTAAAAAGGTGGTCAAACTTTGGTTCTTCCAATGGGAGGGGGAAAAAGTTTCTAGTAAGAAAATTGGCTTCTACTGTTGGTAATATAAATGAAGAGAAAAATAAGTAGATCCAATCAAGTGATGGCTTTGGCCAGAAAAAAAAAATTATATATATGTATATATATATATATATATATATATACACACACATATATATATTTAATATATATTCAATATAATATATATTATTTCATATAATACATACTTTTTAAAATAACATTTAAAAGCAAAGATTCAGATTCTGCAGTAGTGCAGACATGAAAGGTCCACCATACATTCTGTACAGAAACTGGAAAAAGCAATTTATGAAGCTATTTTAGCAAGTTCTCTGGATAGTGCAAAAATTGTTCAAGTGAGAGATAGCCTAGCATAGAGTTTATGTTAATGGCCAGATTTATTTTAATAGCTTTATAAATTACTTGAGTTCTGTATTTATAGAATCATTAAGGGTCCAAAGGGGTCACTTATATTTTTCAGTTATATTTTATTGCATTTTATGTAGCAAATTATATGCTATAGTAAGATTCATGAATATGGGGATTGATGAAGGTCTCAGGGTATATCGCTTGCAAATGTCAAGGATTTTATGAATGTTTATTATGTCCTGAAAGATAAAATTCACGTCTAGCTTAACTTTCTCCCTGACTTCACCTAGGAGTGCTTTTCCCATAGTAGGCCCACATTTGTTGAAATGAGTAGGCATTTCATTTGTTGAAAGAAGAAAAAAAAGAAAGCTGTTCTCATCTTTATGTTGCTTTTCCACATTTTGGCATTTCTCCTGGGGTGAGTTTACTCAGGTATTGTCAGAGGAGATAACTGAGGAATATAGAGTCTTTCTTCAGTTTCCATTTGTGGAATTGTAACAAATAAATAACATCCTCATTCATTATTAATAGGCTTTCTAGAGATCAAAAAAGTGGATTCCAATTTCCAATGAATAATTCTACTGGCAATTATTTGCAGTTTAAATAAAAGGAAAGGCATTTTATGTGGACGATACAAGCAGTGGATAATTAAAATACAGTAACTGATTTCCATAAATAATGAAGATGGGAAATTATCTCTGACATTATCTCTGACTTTGTTTGCAAAACTCAATTTCCAATTCATGCCCCGTGAAGAGGATTAGCCATTTCCACTCTAGCCCCACCTCTCTAGAGGGGACAAGAGCACATTACGCATATTGCACAGTTTTGCTCTGGCAAAGGTGTAAGAGGGATCTAATTTCAGCTGCTCACATTTGAAAACAAAGAACTGAGCCTGTATAGTTCCTTTAAAAATTTTTAATTAAGAGCTATAAATAATGATTTCCAAAATACACATGTGCATTCTCAAACACACACTCCACGTGCAACCACAAACAAACATATACACAAAATGTAGTCACAAAATACTCAATTGAGGATTGTGTAGTAGATGAGTTTTAAAACTAGCAATAAATTGTTCATTCTCAAATTTAAAAAAAAATGCTAACATACCTACTGCAATGAGAACAACAACAAAATACTATTTTGCTTATATTGTCCCTTTCAAAAAAAGAAGAAAAATAATAACAAAAACCTAGGAACTGTTTGTTACATAAATGAATGCAAAAAGACTGTTAGTTTTGGTTCCTCCATTTGGTGTATTTTTGACTTGGCAAAATGAAAGATGGAATATAGTGAGGCAACGGGTAAGGAACCGGGTGGCCATCTTTTGTGATCGGTCCCCTCATCCCAAGGCTTTTATATTGATAGAATTCCCCTATTTTGACTTTAGTCAAAATCCACATATTGCATGAGTTAACAGTTTCACTCCGCTCATCTTTCACTTAAAATTTTCTCAGGATCTGGAGGTTCTGGGCTGTTAAGCTCACAAATGTGATCTCAGAGTCCAGCATCCCACATTCAAGTTTCCATATTCACATTTGTGAGTGCCAGGACGTACTATGTCCTGTATCAAGGACTAACTGTAAAAATGAAAGAGCATACAATTAGGGAAATACGGGTTTAGGGCCCAGTTCCACTGCTTACTAGCTGTGTGACCTTGAATAGTTACTAAAATTGTCAGTTTCTTCAAGCTGTAAAGTGAGGATAATAATAGAACCGAACTCGCATGGTTCTTCTGAGGAGCAAGGGTAATACTTTATGTGAAAACCCCCGCGTAACTGCAAAGACCTAAACCTTTCGGTCCTTAGGACTCAGGGGTATGATGGAATGCTTTTCTATTTTGATTCATTTATACACACTCATGGCTACATTTTTGTTCTTGTTTTATGTCAGATGGGTAATGTGCCGACGTCATAACCAGTTTCCAGGGTAGCACATCTCACACATCCGCATGAGCCCAGCCATCACCCTTATGAACCACAGAAGCACCTGCTTCATTTCTTTTCATCTAAGCCTAATGATTGTTTAAGTTTTTAGCACATCTATCTAATTTATACGACATCTTATTTCTCTGACAATAAACCAACATTTATTTGTTGTTAACTGATGATGTTGCCTAATGATCAGGACCCAGATTGTAGTTTGTTATGTATCAGGCAAGCCGAATGCTGTCATTAGATAGACACACAGAAGGGTGGAGCTTGTTCTGCCTGCCACAGACGGAAGCCATTATCAATAACCTAATAATATCAATAGGGGCTAAGATGAGATGGCGGGCAGAAGCTATTTCCTCCACTTTCTCTCTGGGCATCACCTTTTTGGCTCTTCCTGGGGAGTCAAGATGTGCTGCAGTCCACAGTGTAAACGCTTCAGCATCATGTGCACTTGGGAAATTGCAGGTCCTTTCATGGAGAAATCCCACAGAAGACAATTAGGGTCTGGTACACATTTCCTTCAGAGACCTCTCACACCTCAGCCAACCGACTCTTCCCTTCCGCTTTGAATGCAGGATAACCAGAATGGATCACTTAATATTTGCTAAGCACGCCATGCACTTCAAAACCTCTGCAACCCCGCTCACCTCTCCCCTCTCAACCCCGCTCACCTCTCCCCTCTCAACCCCGCTCACCTCTCCCCTCTCAACCCCGCTCACCTCTCCCCTCTCAACCCCGCTCACCTCTCCCCTCTCATTTTAAAAATTTCCAAAGAGAAAATAACAGATTACTTACAATAATACAGAGATTAAATTTACATCTTATTTTTTAACAGCAAAACTGAATGCTACCAGAAAATGATCCGAGATTTTTATTTTAAACCTATACTCCACACCCTGGCAAACTTGCATTCAAGTATGAGGACAAAATGAAGAGTTTTGAACCTGCAAAGACTTGGAAATTTTGCCATCCATAAATACTTCAGGGAAAAAAATATATATAAGGAAAATCCCATAAAATAAAAAACAAAACCAAGTAAAAAGATACAAGAAAGGGTAGTAATCAAATAAAACACTAAAAGTTATAGTCAAGTTTAAATAACTGTTGATGCTTGATGTTTTAAAAATGTATAAAATAACCATCTGGAACTAAAATCCCAGATGTTCTCAACCATGGAGTCTGCCAGAGAGAGCGGTGAGAAGTGTAAGAATACTAAATTTTTTATTCTTATGTAAGAGGAGGATATAGATGTTATAGCTGTCGACAGAATTGTTAAAATTGTTAAAAATATAAGTGTAACCACTAGAAGAATATAAATAGACATATAAATTTCAAATCACAAGGGAGGGAATATAATGGAACAAAATATAAAATCAATTCAGCCACAGGCAAGATCCAAACAAATAATGAAAAAACAAACAAACAAGCAAACAAAACCAGTAAAATTAAAGTATATCAGCAATCACAGAAAAAAGTTCATTTTAAACTCTGAAAAATAAAATGCAGTTACATGTGGAGTACAAGAGGGCTCCTGAAATTAAAAGAAACAGAGGGAATAACAAAGGATGGAAAAATGAATGCTAGGTATGACACAATAAGAAATAGATATTTGATCTTTGCACCTTATTCCCCATAATTTCTGATAGGAGTGATGAGTATGTCTTTGGTTTTAGTGAGGTGACTCTTTGAGGGCCCTAGGTCACTTCAGGAGGGGGGCTGCTTGCCAGGAAGACCAAAGCATAATTAGCCGGTTGCAACTTTAAGCCCCATCCCTGACCTCTGGGGAGGGGAAAAGAGCTGGAGATGAAGTTGATCCCCAACGGTCAACGATTTAATACATCAGGCCTATGTAATGAAACCTTCATGAAAGCCCCTAAGTATTAATAGGTTCAGAGTGCTCCCAGGTTGGTGAACACATCAAGGGGCTGGGAGGGGTGAACCCGGAGAGGGCATGGAGGCTCCATGCCCCCACACACCACACCCCATGCCTTGCCCTACGAATCCCTTCCATTTACTTGTTCCTGAGTTCTATTCTGTATAATCAGCTGATAATAATAAGTAAAGAAATTTCCTGAGGTCTGTGGGCCTTTCTAACAAATTATGGAACCTGAGAAGAGTCGCAGGAACCCTGATTTGTGGCAGGTTGGTCAGAAGTATGGTGGAAACCTGGGACTTGTGATTGGCACCCGAAGTGGGGCAGTCTTGTGGGACTGAGCCCTTAACCTGCAGGTCCTATGCTAGCCCCAGGCAGCGTCACAATTGAGTTGAAGCACTGGACTCCCTGTTGGTGTCCAGAGAGTAAAAGATGTTTTTTTTTTTTTTTTAAAGCCAACCTCAAGCAAAGAAAAATAAAAACAAACAAACCAAACTCCACCATGCCACACCTAGATGAGTTTATAGGAAAAATTCCGTCTGTTTCAGGGAATAGGAAATGCTTATGAGGCCAACCTAACTCTTTTTTGTTTTTTTGTTTTTCTTTGTTTTTGTTTTTTTTCTTTTTTGAGATGGAGTCTCACTCTGTCGCCCAGGCTGGAGTGCAGTGGCTCCATCTCTGCTCACTGCAAGCTCCGCCTCCCAGGTTCACGTCATTCTCCTGCCTCAGCCTCCCGAGTGGCTGGGACTACAGGTGCCCGCCACCATGCCCGGCTAATTTTTTGTATTTTTAGTAGAGACGGGGTTTCACCGTTTTAGCCAGGATGGTCTCGATCTCCTGACTTCGTGATCCACCCGCCTTGGCCTCCCAAAGTGCTGGGATTGCAGGTGTGAGCCACCGAGCCCGGCCCAACCTAAGTCTTATAATAAAACCAAACTAAAGGAGCACTTTTCTTTCTCTAAGATTCCTAAATAAAATATGAGCAAGTCCAATCCAGCTACGAATTAAAAGAATATTATATCATGACAAGCACATTTAATTCAGGAATACCAAAATGGCTGAATATCCAGAACGCCATTAATGTAACTAGATATGATAATAGATTAAAAGAGAAATCCAATATAATAATCTTAATAAAAGTTGAAAAGCATTTGGTAAAATTTAATGACTATTCCTGAGTAAACCAACAAACTTTTTAGCCAGCTAGAAACAGATGGAAAGTCTTTAATTTTATAAAAGCTTTAAGCAGAAACCAGGCCGGGCATAGTGGCTCACACCTGTAATCTCAGCACTTTGGGAGGCCAAGGCAGGTGGATTACCTGAGGTCAGGAGTTTGAGACCAGCCTGACTAACTAATGGCGAAACCCCATCTCTAGTTTAAAAATACAAAAATTAACCAGGCATGGTGGTGCATGCCTGTAATCCCAGCTACTTGGGAGGCTGAGGCAGGAGAATTGCTTGAACCCAGGAGGCATAGGTTGCGGTGAGCCAAGATCGCGCCATTGCACTCCAGCCTGGGCAACGAGAGCAAAACTCCATCTCAAAAAAAAAAAAAAAGAAAGAAAGAAATGATTATTATCAACATTTGGCTGGGTGTGGTGGCTCACGCCTGTAATCCCAGCACTTTGGGAGGCCGAGGTGGGTGGATCAACTGAGGTCAAGAGTTCAAGACCAGACTGACCAACATGGTGAAACCCCGTCTCTACTAAAAATGCAAAAATTAGCTGGGCATGGTGGCAGGTGCCTGTAATCCCAGCTAACTGGGAAGCTGAGGCAGGAGAATCTCTTGAACCCAGGAGGCAGAGGTTGCAATGAGCCAAGACCTCACCATGGCACTCCAGCCTGGCAACAAGAACGAAACTCCCTCTCAGGGAAAAAAAAAAAAAAACAGAAACCTACAGCAATTATATATATATATATATATCTGTGTGTGTGTGTGTGTGTGAGTGTGTATGTGTATATATATATATATAAATCATATATATATATGATTTCTATTAGAGCTTGGAGCAAGAAAAAACAAAAGACCACTTTCCATATTACACTACAGGCTTAGCCAATAAAAATGTCAAAGTAAATATATAAATAATATAAACATCACAAAGAAACAGGAAATTGTCATAATTCTCTGCAGTATGATTGCCTACATCTAAAAGAATTTGAGGGTTTTACAGATAAATTATTAGAATAAGACACTATTAAAATAAGAAAGCTCTGTAAGGAGACAGACACATCCTCATGTATAAAAATCAATTATTATCTTATATGTTAGCACAAATTATAAACTAGAATTTGTAATTAAAAATAAATCCAGGTCTATGCCTCTCTTTCTGTTACACACAGACAGTAAAGTGCATTTGGAGAAGGAAAAAAAGCCCAAGAATGACATGAAAATTTTGAAAAAGAAAAAAATGGTAGGTAATTTCTCTATCATTTTATTATCACATGAAAAAAAAGCCTATTGTAATAAAAACAATTGGACTATTGACACAAAAAGGAAATACATGGAACCGAATTTGAGAATTAAGAAACAGATCCATGAATTCATGGGCATTTATTTTTGTTAAGGTATAGGATATAACTTCAAGTAAATATGGACAGGATATACTATTTATATGACTGTTTCATAGAAAACTAAACTACATAGATCTTCTATCTCACACTACATGCAAACCATACATTTTATAATTTCAAAAGGATTAGAGAGCTAAATATTTAATAATAAATAAACAACCCTTTATGATTATTGTTGTGTTTTTGTTTGTTTGTTTTAAAAGTCTTGTTTGGGGAAGTTTCCTAAGTAGACTTTGAAAGAATAAGTCATAGTGGAGAAAGTGGACAGATTTGATGAAAGAAGAATTATAAACTTCCTTAACTTAAAAATAAAAATGTATATGCAACATTAAAAAACACGCAAGTATCTTTGAAAGATATTTTCAACATACAAATAAGACAAAAGTTCTATATCATATATATGTGTATAAAGAACTTCCAAATTATTTTTTTAATTGTTAAAGAACTCAGCAGAACAGAAATTATGTTAAAAGGTAATTCAAATACAAATTTCAGGTGGTCAATAAATACATAAAAATGTATGTAGCTCTACTAAAATTAATAAAATGCTAATAATAATAATACCTAATGTTTATTGAGTGCTTGCTACTGGCCAGCCACTGTTTTAGGGTTCACTTGTGCTAATTTTGAAGCCTTACAACCAAGCCTTATAGTGAGTAGTTTTCCTACTGCAAAGAAAGGAGACGTTGCCTAGAGAACCAAAATAACTTGCCCACAGATACTCAGCTAGTTGCAGTGGAGCTTGGGTTTAAACTGAATTTGACTAGGTCCTAAACCAGTTCACTACCCTGCCATGCTTTTATTGTTTTTGTTTTTTCAGTCATCAAATTGGCACAAATCTTTTAAAAAGGTCAATAATAATTCAGTGTTAGTAAGGGTGAGACAAACTTTTTATTCTCAAATATTCTTGGTGGCATTATAAATTGATAGTCTTTTTAGTGCAATATGGTGGCCTCTTTAAAAACAGTTTAAAGCATACTACTTGACCCAAGAATTCCACTTCCAGGAAAATAACCATTAAGAAATAGTTAACATATGCAAAGACATTTACAAAAGAATGCTTATGGCACCATTATTTGCAAGAGTGGAATCTCAGAATCAACATACATGTCAGTAAATAGGCTTCCAGTGAAACAATTTGGGGAAAATCCATGCAATAAAACAGCATTCAATCTTTAATAAAAAGGAAGTAGGTCCATTCTTACTAAACTAATATGAACTGATATGGAACAGTTGCAAAACATAGTGACCTACTGTTCCCTGAAAAACGATTGCAAAAGCAAACATATTTAAACGTGTGTGTGTGTGTGTGTGTGTGTGTGTGTGTGTGTGTGTCTTTTTTGAGGGAAGAAGGTAAGAAGAAAGAAGAAAAAAGCTTATGAGTTTATGTGTAATCATTTAGAAGAGACTAGGAAGACACACAGCAAACTGTTTTCACTATTACCAATGGGTCTTGCTTGACAGAGAAATAGAAGTGCGTTTGGTTGGAAAGCAGAGAATGGGAAAATATGGACTTAAACATGATACTTAATAGCAATAGCTATTCTTTGAATCTTTTTCAAGAAGATATTCATGTAATATTTGTGAAATGAAAACAATAATAATAAAAGAAAGATACAAAATAAAAGTGATGAAATGAAAAACTGAACCCACAGAAAACGCAGACAATCTAAACAAGAACATCAGACAGCACATTATTGTAATAGTTGCATACCATCACAGCAATTCAGGGTCATGGCAGGGATACCCATCTGGGAAATAAACGTGATCAACCACTCTAAAGATTCAGGGTGCTTGAAAGAGCCCCAACCAATCTTTTATAGGAAAGCTTCACAGCACCTTTCTGTTTTAGGAAAGTGCTAGGTTCCACATTGGGTGTTTTTATGTATCATGCCAAGTCATTTCACTGAGATCTGCTGGCGATTCAGCCTGGAGCTTTCAGATTCCTTCTCATTTTACCAACATCAAGCTGCCTCCTTAACACAAGGCTGATCCTGAAGTGATTCCACCAACAGATGCAGAGATGGCTTTGGCAGAAATAACTGTAGGCTCCTATTCTCTCTTCCTTGTTGAAACATGCGCAGCATTGCTCATTAATCAGACTCACAACACTTCATCCTGGCTGGAAATAATAGGCCCCATTGTACATTAGTAACCAGGTTACTTCACCCCTTCATTGCTGCAGTTAACACCTATTATTTCCTCCAGGCACTAATATTTTGAAACGGGATCATTTAGCTCTGAAGTATGTTAAGCGTTGTGTGTGCAGCACTTCTTTTGTCAGAAGGAAGAATTCAAGGTGGCTGAGCCTCTGTCCTAGCTATTGAGCTACCTGTAAAAAAGTCAGTATTGACATCCACAGCACACACCCTGTGTTTAGAAACAGGGCTTTAGGGACTGGATACCTTGGCTGACTCCTGTAATCCCAGAACATTGGGAGGCAAAGGTGGGAGAGTCACTTGAGGCCAGGAGTTCAAGACCAATCTGGGCAACATAGACTCTCTGTCTCCAAACACACAAAAAAACTAAATAGAAAGGGAGCCTTGGGTGTCTTATTAATATGCTGTTACTGAGCAGCATGCCTGAGACTCGGAAGATCAGAAGGATTACAGCACTGAGATACTGGCTTTCCCCTCTATTTGCACTGGAAACCTCTGAGAACAGGGGAGACACGGCCTTTTCTAAATGCTTCTCCATGTCTCAAGTAGAAGCAGCAGCGAGGAGTGGAAAAGCAGGCTGCAGCCTTCTTCCTGCTAGCTCTAAACATGTTTAAGCAGAGGAGGACGTAGAGAATGAACTGCTTAATGGCCTTAGAGAGAGAAACAAGGTAGTAGTCATTTGGTGACATAGAAAAAAAGAGTTAGTTTCTTACTCTCAACAAGCTTAAAGCTATCAGAGTATAATTTTCAAAACCTTAAACATGTCTCTTATACAAATATTAAGTGAGCACATATCAAAGATATATTTAACTTATTAATGAAAGAATCAAAAGAAGAGTAAAGCTAGTTCAAAGATGATTTGAGAGACTGAGTTAGTTATATATATAGGTCTGAAAAAATGTTAGAAGAAGATTGCTAAATCAAATATAAAACTGGTTAATGTCCCACAGAACAAAAAAATAATTTCTAGGGTTATCTTTTCTTGCTTTGGACAAGAAAAATTTATGTTGGTATTAGTCATATAAAAGTTGATATTTATACTTACAGGGTAACAAAATATCGTAATCAATAATAAATACTAAGTCAAACAATTGCATCCCTAGAGAAATAGATTAACTTCAAATTGCCTAATAACATTTCATCATGATATTGAAAAACCATGTCATTTTCCTTTTTCTTTTTTCTAACTTTGAGTTTTTTGTTTTTTGGTTTTTTTTGCATGCAGCTGTATCCATGGTGATCCTGGATGGTGGATGGAGACCACCATACCCCATCTACACAATTTCAGGTATGAAAGGTCACCAAGAGACCACACACCATATCCATGGTGATCCTGGATGGTGGATGGAGACCACCATACCCCATCTACACAATTTCAGGTATGAAAAGTCACCAAGAGACCACAGACCATATCCATGGTGATCCTGGATGGTGGATGGAGACCACCACACCCCATCTACACAATTTCAGGTATGAAAGATCACCAAGAGACCACAGACCATATCCATGGTGATCCTGGATGGTGGATGGAGACCACCACACCCCATCTACACAATTTCAGGTATGAAAGGTCACCAAGAGACCACAGACCATATCCATGGTGATCCTGGATGGTGGATGGAGACCACCATAACCCATCTACACAATTTCAGGTATGAAAGGTCACCAAGAGACCACAGACCAATTTCCTCTCTCCACATGGGTTTGGGTTAAATGACAAGAAGTCAATTTTCTGTAAAGGGGCTGTTGACATGAGCTTATGCCATGCCATAAGCTTAAACTCAGGCAGACCTGCTCTCTGCCACTTTTTGGCTAAACATAATCCCAGACCAATTTTCTCTTCTGTGAGTAGAAGTAATAATGGCACCTGCCTCATCAACTGGAGTGGGGAGTAAAGGAGATCACCCAGGCAACGTGTTTCCTGGACTGTCTAGCATTTACCCAACAGTTAGCAAATGCTGCTGCTGTTGTTGCTGTTTCCACACCTTGCAACTAAGTTCTATCATCACTTTTCATCTGGAGAATGTGGTAAAATTTAACTTCAGTTGGATCCAACTTAGGAAAAGGAGAGAAACTCACAAAATAACAAAATAAATTGCAGAAAATGTAATTTCCCCCTTGGCTAAGAAAGTTGTCCTTGAACTGGCTTTCTATGCACTCCAGAGTACATTTTAAGCAAAGATTGGCTCAAGGATTATAGCCTTACTATTCCTCTGAGGAGAAAAGGAAAAGTGAGAAACAAGCAGGGATTTAAATGCAATGTTGGTGGAAGATATAAAGTTGATTGGGAGGATGAGAAGATGGGGCTGAGAAGGAAGGGGGGGCTGCCAAGACTGTTTAAAAAGTCAGATGTGACTGTCTCTTAGCAATGTGTCTGTGATTTGCATGATCTAAAAGGGGGTCAAAAATATCTGTTCCGCCTACCTCCCTGGGATAGGATAAAGATTAAAGAAATAGAGCAAAACTTTAGAAGTATGTTCTGCTCATTCTGCTAATAAGATTCTCATCTTTTTATTCTGCTTACTGGGTCTGTAGGAGGCCAGGAAGCTCAGACAATGTCACTCTGAACTACACAGTGGTTATGAGATTTAAGCATCTCTCTGACAAGAACAGAACTCCCAATCTCCCTTTAGCCTTTTTGTAATCAGTTTTTTAGTTGAAATAGCAATGGATACAGGTGATATCCTTTGTAGTTTGCATCCGTGTTTTCTGTTGGACAAAAGTTAGATATTTGCAGGGTTTTAAAAAATTCCCTTACTATATATTTTTGAATAATCATGATGAGGTATAACTTACATACCATAAACCCGCCCACTATAATATAACTAGTTTATTTTATTTTATTCTTTTTAGAGTCAGGGTCTTGCTCTGCTGCCTGGGCTGTAGTGTGGTGGTGTAGTCATAGCTCGTTGCAATTTCCAACTCCTGGGCTCAAGGGATCCTCCCACCTTGGCCTCCCGAGTTGCTGGGACTATAGGCGTGCACCACCATGCCCAGCTGCTAATGATCTTTAGTAAATTTATAGAGTTGTGCAACTATCACCACAATTCAGTTTTAGAACCCTTTCCAACATCTAAAAATGATTCCTCATTCTTATTTGTTGTTACTCTCCATTTTCATCCTGCAGTCCCAGGCAACCATAAGCTACTTTTTCTCTATAGATTTGCCTTTTCTGGACATTTCATAAAAATAGAATCACACAACATTTTGTCATTTGTGTCTGGCTTTTTTATACAGCATAAGTTTTTCAAGATTCATTCATGCTGAAGCATGTTTCAGTAGTTTCTTTCTATTGTTGAATAGTACATTGCATAGATTACTACATTTTCTTTATTCATTCACCAGATGATGAACGTTTGCACTGTTCCCAATTATTTTGTATGAGTAATTTTGCTATGAACTTTTGCATACAAGTCTCTTTGCAGACATATCTTTTCATTTATCTTAGATAGATACCTAGGAGTAGAATTTCTGTGCCATATATTAAGTTTATGTTTTCATTAAAGTGTTTATTAAACTGCCAAACTCATTTTTAAAGTATCCATACCATTTTGCATTCTCACTAGCAATGTATGAGAGTTCCAGGCTCCCCATATCCTTGTCAGCTCTTGTTATTGTCTGTCTTTTTTTCTTCAATTGAAAAGGCATCTCATTGTGGTTTTAATCTGCATTTCCCTAATAAATAATAATGTTAAGCATCTTTACATGTGCTTCTTAGCCATTCAAATATGTTCTTTGAAGAGATACCTATTTAAATCCCTTGGTCTTCTGTTTTTAATAAATTTAACTTTTATTTTAGATTCAAGCAGTACATGCACAGGCTTGTTGCCTGGTATATTGTGTGATGCTGAGGTTTGAGGTATGAATGATCCATCACCCAGGTACTGATCACAGTACCCAATAGTTCATTTTCAGCCCTGGCCTCCTTCTCTCCCTTCTCCCCCAATGACTTCCCATTGTCTATTGTTGCCATTTTTATGTCCATGAGTACCTAATATTTAGCTCCCACTTATAAGTGAGAACATGCAGTATTTAACTTTCTGTTCCTGCACTGATTCACTTAGGTTAATGGCCTCCAGCTGCATCCATGTTGCTGCAAAGAACATTATTTCATTCTTTTTCATAGCTGCATAGTATTCCATGGAGTATATATACCACATTTTATTTATCCAGTCCACCACTGAGGGGCTCTTAGGTTGACTTCATGTCTTTGCTATTGTGAACAGTACAGTGATGAACATACAATGCAAGTATTTTTTGGTAGAATGGAAATCCTTTGCTTATTTTTAAGTTGAGTTCTTTGTCTTATTGTTGAGTTATAAGTATTTTTATATATTCTATGTATAAGTGTTTTATTAGCTATGTAAGTTTTAAATGTTGGCTTTCAGCCTGTGGCTATCTTTTCATTTTCTTAATGGTGTCTTTAGAAGCCTGAAAGTTCTAAATTTTGAAAAAGTCCAATGTATTATTTTTTCCTTTGTGAATCATGCTTTTGGTATCATTTCTAAGAACTCTTTGCATAACCCAAGATCACAAAGATTTTCTTTTATGTTGTATTCTAGAAGTTTTATAGTTTTAACTTGCATTTAAATCTACAATCTATTTCTAATTGTTTTTTATGTATGATATAAGACAGTGGTCAAAATTAATCATTTTGCATGTGGATATTCAGTTGTCCCATTATCATTTGCTGAAAAGATTATCCTTTACCCATTAAATTGCCTTGGTACCTTTGTCAAAACTCAGTTGACCATAAATAACACGTTGGGCATTTTTTCCCCGAACATTCAATTCTATTCCATGAGCTACATGTCTAACCTTGTCCCGGTACCACCCTTTATTTATTCCTGTAGAAATGTCTAGTGTTTTTTGTTTTTTTGTTTTTGAGACAGAGTCTCACTCTGTCACCCAGGCTGGAGTGCAAAGGCGCGATCTCGACTCACCGCAACCTCCACCTCCCGGGTTCAGGCGATACTCCTGCCTCAGTCTCCTGAGTAGCTGGGGTTACAGGTGCCTGCCACCATGCCCAGCTAATTATTATATTTTTAGTAGAGATGGGGTTTCACCATGTTGGCCAGGCTGGTCTTGAACTCCAGACCTCAGGTGATCGCCCGCCTCAGCGTCCCGAAGTGCTGGGATTACAGGCATGAGCCACCTCACCCAGTCCAGAAATGTCTAGCATTTTTAAACCCAAGTCTTGGATATCATCATCTAGAGATCCAGGAATACAGAAAGGAAAGTTTGTAACATATATTTTGTATACACAATTCACAAGATCAACATGATCACAATGAATATTGTGGTTTATCTCTACTGCCAAATTTGTAATCTATTAACACATACAGACAAATAATAACACATAATAACAAAAGCCACCTGGGAGCCTATAAATATGGTGAGTTTTCTAAATTAAAACTACAAGTGTGGATAATTAACAAGTATTAGTTTATTATTATGCACAATCCATGTTTAGTCTTCACATGTTCATGATTATTTTGGTTTCCTATCTGTAAAAAATATCCCTGTCCTCTTTGCTAAAAGAACTTCCCTTTGTTCAGGTGTTGAGAAATGACATGATCATAGAAGATGTACCTCTCTGTAGCACTAGGAGCTGAACCACTATTACTCTGGACCAAAGATCAACAAGCTTTTTTCTGCAAAAGGACAGAGAGTAAATATTTTAAGTTTTGCTGGACATAAAGTCTCTGTAACAACTACTCAGCTTTACCATTGTCTTGGAAAGCAGCTAAAGGCAATGTGTAAATGAATGGGTGTGGCTGTGTTTTAATAAAACCGGATTTATATGAAGAGGTAACAGCAGGCTTTGACTGGTGGGCCTTAGTTTGCCAAACTCTGGTATAGTGTAGTTTCTTAGGGTTGCTGTGACCAATCACCACAGATTAGGAGGCTTAATAGGACAAACATTTGTTCCCTTACATTTCTGGCCTCCAGAAGTCTGAAATCAAGGTTCCAAAGGCTCCAGAGAATTGTTCTTTGCCTCCCTCAGGTTCTGGTGGCTCCTGACATTCCTTCGCTTGTAGCGGCATCACTCCAGTCTCTATCTTCATCTTCACATGGCTTCCTCTCTGTGTCCTCCCCTCATCCTATGAGAACACTTGTCATTGGAAATGGGGTTCACTGTAAATCCTAGATGATTTTATATCAAGATCCTTAATTAATTACATGTGCAGAGTCGCTATTTCTAAATAATGTCTCACATTCTGAGGCTCCAGGTAAACATGCATTTTGTCGGGGGGCCACAATTCAACCACTATTCAACACCTGGTTTAGGCTAATCATGGTAATCCCATTCTTCTTTGTCATGAATTGTTTTGTAGAAAGCATGGGACCCACTTCTAGCCAGTGAGGCTATAAAGGCTGTTTATGGGGAAATCTGGGAAAATGTCTTCTTATTTGATGAAAAATAGGCACAGGCACATATCTTACACTTTCCTGCCTCTGGGCGTTGTCTTATGCTAAGAGTTGATGCAGTTACCTTGTGACCATAAGAACAAAAGCCAGAAGAATTGCTGAGAAGCTCATACAAAGTCTTCACATCACTGCGATAGTCAATTAACCAACTTTGCCGCTTCCTTACTCTGGACATAGAGTGATGAGAGATAATAAACATCTATTGATTAAGTTCTTTAATTTAGGTTTACTTTTAGGTATAGTCAAAATCATCCTGACTGTTCTCAGAGTAGTTATTCTCAGGTATTCTCCAAATACTACAACCAGATGCTAGAGTGACTGAAAAGCTTGTTGATCTTCCTGCCAGCAATCAATGACACATCGGTACAAATCCATTTTTTTTTTTAAGATTTCTCACTTTGACATTGACTCACTGGGCAAAAAAGCTGTAATCAACCTTTCTAATTTAATTCTGGGATATAATATGGAGACTGGGCAGGAAAACTCTTGGAATACTCAGTGAGAATATCAACACATCTCTGAGAAAAATGGGACTGTCTAAAATAAATAGAAAAACAAAATGGAATTTAAAAAAAAACAAGCGAGTGAGAGAGAGAAAGAGATGCTCTGCTAACTCTGAAGACTAGCCTGGGTAGGTCACAATCCTTGTGTACCCTGTGACTTCCACAAGGAAAAGGAAACAGAGAACACAACGTGAAGGAAAAGTGAAGACAGTATAGGCAAAGAAAAGAGGTGGTGGTCCTATTGGAGTGACAGTTATTGTCCTGGATAGCTCAATGTGATATTGTGAGGTTCCACAGACAGTGGCAAAAAACATTCAGATCAAAGGTCTGGTATGCCAGCACTCATCACAAAATGAATTATTGAATAGACAGTGTACATTCTGAAAAGTATGTAATATCAATATGTTGTTCTCTATACTTAATGTATACATAAAGTATATGCATTAAACATACCATATATATGTATATGCAATCTATGTAATCAACACATATGTTATATAACATTTTCTCCCATTTTTATATTGAGTGTTTATTTTATGTCTCTAACGGGGGAAAAGGGAGACTAGAACTCAAAAATAGTTGTAAAAATTTCCTCCTGAGAGAAATCCATGTTTAAAAATCTGCTTTCTATTTTGGCAATGAAGGAGTAGCTTCTAACAGAACAATCTTTGCACAGATAATAACTATAAAATCTGGATACACACAACAAAATTAAAGGAGAGAAAAACCACTACCTGAAGGTACTGCAAACAAACAAAAGCAGGGAAATGCTGAGGAAAATTTACACTTAGAAGAAGGAAATGGGATGATGCTGGGTAAGTTTTCAATATTTCATGGACTTTTGCCTGAAGGCAGCCCCAATGAGCATGAAGTGGAATTACTAAAACTCAGTAGATATCCTGCAGTCTCACTGGCTTGTGGAAACAGAGGACAGAGTTTGAAGTGACCACGGCAGCTATAAAATGAGGAAAGAGGTGCCAGAAAAAAGATATACACAAAGGGAAAGCCCTAAATTCTGTATTTAAAGATTGGTTTAGGCTGAGCGTGGTGGCTCATGCCTGTAATCCAGCGCTTTGGGAGGCCGAGGGGAGCAGATCACCTGAGGTCAGGAGTTTGACACCAGCCTGGCCAAAGTGGTGAAACCCTGTCTCTACTAAAAATACAAAAATTCGCTGGGTGTGGTGGCGGGTGCCTGTAATCTCAGCTACTTGGAGGCTGAGGCAGGAGAATTGCTTGAACCCGGGAGGTGGAGGTTGCAGTGAGCTGAGACCACACCATTGCAGCCCAGCCTGGGCAACAAGAGCAAAACTCCAACTAGAAAAAAAAAATCGGTTTAAATATCTGGCTGATCTCTGAATGCCTCCTCTGCAGGGAAGACTACAAGCAAACCAGCTAAGGCCAAAAGGACTCCACAATGATTCCTACTGCTGCCCACCACAGAGAACACAGAGGTTGGACTTTGATTATTGCCACATTAACTGTCTGCTAAAACCAAAGAACAAAAATCAATACATTCAGAAGAGCATAACAGAATCCAAAGTTTTGTACCAATGTCCAGAATATAATCAAAATTACTAGACTACCAAGAAACAGGAAAATGTGACCCATAATCAAGAGAAAAGGTAATCAATGAAGACCAACCCCAAGACAACTCAGATGATGGAATCAGTAGACAAGTATTTTAATAGTAGTTATTATAACTATGCTCAAGAATAGAAAGGGAAATACATGAATAACCAGAAAATCTCAACAGAGAAACTTTAAAATCTATTAAAATGCACAAACAGTGGTAGCATTTTAATAATTCATTTTGTCTTTTAAAATAATTCATTTTATATCTTTTAAAAATAGTTCTTTTAAGAACTATTTTTTTCTTAATTAAAAATATCATATAAAATTGGTCACTTCAGTGCTATTATCTTGGAGTTCAATTAGTTTATATAGTATGATAGCAGATAGTCTGGTAAAGTGGAGAGAGTATTACACATTTAGACAAACAAAAACAGGCCAGGTGCAGTGGCTCACACTTGTAGTTCCAGCACTTTGGGGGCCGAAGTAGGAGGATTGCTTGAGCCCAGGAGTTCAAGACCAGCCTGGGCAACATAGTGAGACCCTTATCTCATATTTTATTTAATTTAAATAAAAGTAAATTAAAAAGACAAAGACAAATCTCAATTCTACTACAAACATCTCTACATGACATTGAGTGAGACATTTAACCACAGTGGACCTTGATGTGTTCTTCTGTCAAATGTGAGGCTGGATCTAAATCAGCTCCAAGGCTTTTGCTAAAAATCTAGGGGAAATTTGCTTAGCATCCCAAAATTAGTTTGTATAAAAGTTAAGACTAACTTATGGGTCTGCTACTCATGACCAAAACCTCAACCTCAACCAAAAGTAGCCAGGAAATCTTAACCAAATGTATACTATCTTCAGCAACTTGTCTGTAGATTAATGAAACATAGTTTCAGGTCCAGATCCCTGTTTACTTACCCAAAACTTTTTACTGTGCCACATACAAAGGCTCAGAGACACATCGAACTGGATGCTCTAGTTGAAAGTAAACAGAAATATCACTTTCTCCCTGTCTAGATTTAGCAGAATTGCATTTGGAAATCAAAACAATTCATATTACACCAGATTTCAGCAATGTTTGAAGCATCAAAAATAAATTAAATAAAATAAATCTTCTCCCATGAAGCCTATCAAAAATAAAGTAGGTGGTAACTGAATTGAAAACTTAATCAGAATGAGGTTCTGTTCTAAATAAATACGTGCATTTTAAAAACCCATTTATCTAATGTACTATAATCATAGAAAAGGGACTTTCAAACTTTTGATTGGATGCTAGAATGTTAAACTCTGACGGAAGAAATAAAAGCATTTGTAATTTATTGCTTTGCTTTTCTTTTTCATAGGGTACAATTTATTTATTTAATTTTCCTACAAGGATATCTTATTTCTCCTCTGACAAATGCCAAAAATGAAGACAAGCCAAACATATAGATTGCATTAAAATTGATGTGTATTTTAAAATTTCACTGTTTTTAATTTCCCTGTGCTGAGCTGTCAGCCCTGGCTACCCTTGGGAAATCTGTGGCTGGTGCTCAGTGCACCAGTTTCCTAAACACAGCTCAGCCACAACCTCTTACTTTATTCCAGGGTTCCACTCACCAACCTTGAATCCTCAAAATGTTTTTCTGATGACTCTATCCTCACGTGGCACAAGCTTTGCCACAGATAAGGGTCTTATATGTCCACAAATAACATGGGGATGTATCTTACAGATGGAGAAGAAAGAATAGCAAAATAAATATGAATGTTTGCGGACAGAGCCTACATATGAACTCAAACACATGGATGTCTAAAGTTATGATATTAATGAGATATTTGAAGGTAGATAAAAGGAAATGCATCCCCACAGAAATCTGGTGGAAAAAATAGAATTTCTGTCTGCTGTAGTTTCACACAAGAACCTAATCTTGGGTTTGGAAGGGACGTTAGAGGCCATCTGATCCAACTGCATTCCCGAAACAGGAATCCTGATAGTCGGCGATTCTCCTTAGAATTGCAGGAATTCATATCAGAAGGACCAAATTAAGTCTCATTTGTTTCTAGGGTCATGATAGTTCTGTGGAAATCAAGTTTCATTTTTGTTTTGAACCAAATTGTCTGAGAGTTCTGAAATCTGAGTTCTAAAAATTCATATAAACCTATTGGTTGATACTATGTCTCAGATCTGAATTACTAAAAATGTAGTGTTAACCAGATGATAGGTCCAGCAATAGGAGGATATTAAAGACCAGTCTGTCACTATTCTTTGCTGCTGTTTGTGAGACTTCTTTCTGCCCTGAAGGGGTTCAAAGCCATAGATTAGCAACAAAATAAACACAGGCATGATCTATAGTTTTTCCCCCCGTCCGAAGTGCTTAGAATATTGGAAAATAGGATCAATATTTATTGAGCATTGATTCTGTGCTGTAAAAGGGTGAAGAGTTTTGGAACTATGTAGCTGGAAGAATAGAAGACTGGGATAGAATTCAAGTATTTTCTGATCTATGCAATTTGTCTTAAATAAGATGCTGATCAACCATTATTAATAATTCCAGAGAATAGAATAAAAGAAAAACAGAGTCTAGAAAGGGGAAATAAGCAAATTATTAGTATTCTGACTATAAATATCATAAAAGAGTTTTTGAGGGAAGCTATATCACGATGTCTTTGGAGGACTTTAAGAATAAGGTCAAACATTCATTTATCTTTACTGGGCTGAGAAAAATGCATCATGATGGAAAGGATGTATCACTTATCAACATTTCCTTTCTTGATACTATAAAAAAGGACAGAGTGGTCCAGAGTTGGATAAAAAGAAAGACTGGCCTTTAAGAGTCCCCAGTTTTTCTCATCACTTATTTAGAGAGAGAAGGAAAACAAGTATGTGGGATTCACCTTTTTTTTCCCATCTGGATTATTGATTTTCACCTTTGGAAGTTTGTCCCACTAACTAACAATATGTTTTTCTATGGCTTAGCTTACACAACCCTAAACCCAAAGCTCATTAATCGAAGCTCCAAGTTCATTGTCTTGCATCCTTCACCAACCCGAAAATCACTCTTCTCCCACAAAGAGTTGAGGAAAGTTAACTACTGATTTTTCATAGATTTAAAACAATGCAGTTCTTAAAACACCATGTCTCAAATTGCTACCAGACTACCCTGGACATGCAATTAGTCTTCTTAGAACAGAAAACACCAAAAATAGTTAGTGTTAATTCTTTTATTCTTTATTTAAACCTAGCCTTCTAGTTTTTATAAGCTCCATTTTTAATTTTATGATTCCCACATATTCTACTTCTGAGTTACATACTAGAGGCAGTTTGGGGGTTCTTTTTGCATCTAATGAATGTTCTCAGTTAGAAAAATCAAACCCTACCAAAGATTTTAAGTAGCCATGTGCATAGTGCAATTTAAGGGGTGTCACAAACCCCATCTCCTCTCTGCGCAGTCATTTAAAACAATTCTCCAGTTTGTTCCCAGTGCTGCTTGTCCTTCTTATTACCCTCAGGAAAAAGTTGAGAATGTGCACATAATTAGAAAACATCATAATATCAATGCCTTCCTTTTGCCAGGTACTATGTAAAAGTGCTGAACAGCAGTAAAGTCAGCAAGGCGGCAGGCTAGGAAGGTCTACACCCTTGTTTCCCCACTGAAACATTAAATAAAATATCTGCAGATATACTAAAATGACTTTATATGAGCTCTGAAAACTAGTCAAAGATCTGCAGCCACCAAGTGAATTCCCACTGAAAAAAAGCCACAGTCAAACGGTGGGAAATTTTGTGGTGTTTTTACTCACCCCACCTCACCCCTTCCACTGTGGTGTAGTTGGGAGAAAATGTCCTAATTCCTAGTTTCCTCCCTGGAGCTAGGAGGAGAAGAGCACAACATACTCGCAATGTTCTAACTTGTCTGTGGGCTTTCCACAGGATGGTTTGCTGTCGTGTCTGACTTGGAGCTCAGACAGAAAATGAAAACATTGTTTGTAACTCAGGCTGGTGGAAAACATGGAAGGCAGTGGCAGGTACTGTGGTGTGTAAAATGTTAAGGGGGACTATAGACCCATAGACATTTGGGGGCAAATGATTTTTAACAGAGAAATCTGATAAAGCATCTAATTTGCCAAGGAGAACCTGGGGTGAGACTCTCTGGCAAATTAGGACATTTTAAAGCAGCTATTTTTGTGGAGAGGGAAGATTTTATTTTTAAATCTCACACAGGTCCAACCACGAAATATGCCTTTAAAAGACCTCAGAATATCTTAAGCCTCACTTCAGGCTGATCCCGAGGCTGAAAGGCCCCCTGATTAGTGAAGCTCCTCCATGTCAACCTGCCAAGATTGGAAAGGTTGATGTGTTTTCAATGCCCAATTTTCAATAAACAATCACAAGACATAAAAAAAAAATGGCAAAATATGGCAAAATAAAAGGAACAAAATAATTTCCTGGCCCAATAAAAGGAACAAAATAATTTCCAGAAATCATCCCTGAAGAAAAATAGGTATCAGACTGTCCAGGAAAAGACTTCTTAAACAATTGTCTTAAATATGCTCAAAAAGCTACAGGAAAATGTGGACAAAGAACTAAAGGAAATTGAGAAAAAGATATATGAACAAAATAATAATATCAACAAAGAGACAAAAATTATACTTTAAAACAAACAAATAGAAATTCTGCAGCGTGGCTGTCCCAATCAGACCAAAAAAAAAAAAAAATTCACTGAACTTCAAGACAGGTGATTTGAAATCATCAACTCTGAAGAGCAAAAGGAAAAACTATTAAAAAATTAACTCTTGCTGCATCAAGTGGACAAAATATATACTATCAGAGTCCCAGGAGGAGGAAAGAGAGAAAAGGGCAGTGAGGTTATTTGAAGAAATAATGGACAAAAGCTTCACAAATGTGAAGATAAATACGGACACGCAAATACAAGAAGTCTAAGTAGGATTAACCAACCCAAAGAGACCAACCCCAAGACACATTATTATCAACCTGTTGACACAGACAAAGAGAATCTTGAACAGAGCAAAAGGAAAGTGACGTGTCATGTACAAGTGATCCAGGACAGACTATAAGTGGATTTCTCAGCAAAAAAACTTACAGGCCAGAGAAAATTAGATGATATATTTAAGATGCTAAACGTTTTCTTAAAGCATCAGTCAAGAATCTAGGTTGGGTACAGTGGCTTATCACCGTAATTCTAGCACTTTGGGAGCCCAAGGCAGAAGATCACATAAGCCCAGGAGTTCAAGACTAGCCTGGGCAGCATAGTGAGACTCCATCTCTGCAAAAAATAAAAAATTTAAAAATCAACTGGGCATGGTGGTGCACGCCTGTAGTCCCAACTACTTGGGAGGCTGAGGAGGGAGGATCACTTGAGCCTGGGAGGTCAAGGCTGCAGTGAGCAGTCATCATGCCACTACATTCCAGTATGGGCAACAGAATGAGACCATATATCTATGGCCTCTTTTTATTTTTTTATGTTTTTATGTTTTTTAATGTTATATTTGTCTTAAAGCATATATATGCTTTAAGACACCATATATATATATGGTCTCACTCTGTATTTCATATATGTATAATTTTATATGGTCTCACTCTGTATTATAATTCTCTACATAGCAAAACTGTTATTCAAAAATGGGAAACAAATTATGACATTCACAGATAACTAAGAGCGGACGTAGTTCATTACCAATAGACTTGTTCCAGAAGAAATGCTAACGAGTATCCTTTAAGTTGAAAGAAACAACACTCAAAACTCTGTCAAAATACAAAGTTCTTAGCCAGGTCTGGTGGCTCACGCCTATAATCCCAACACTTTGGGAGGCCTAGGCAGGTGGGTCATGAGGTCAGGAGTTCGAGACCAGCCTGGCCAACATGGTGAAACCCTGTCTCTACTAAAAGTACAAAAAATTAGCTGGGCATGGTGACATGCACCTGCAATCCGAGCTACTTGGGAAGCTGAGGCAGTAGAATCGCTTGAACCCAGGAGGCAGAGGTTGCAGTGAGCCAAGATCGTACCATTGCACTCCAGCCTGGGCAACAGAGCAAGACTCCATCTTGAGAAAAAATATATATATACATATACATATATGTGTATATATACACATATATACACGTGTGTGTATATATACACATATATACACGTGTGTGTATATATACACATATATATACACGTGTGTGTATATATACACACATATATACACGTGTGTGTATATATATACACATATATACACGTGTGTGTATATATATACACATATATACACGTGTGTGTATATATATACACATATATACACGTGTGTGTATATATATACACATATATACACGTGTGTGTATATATATACACATATATACACGTGTGTGTATATATATACACATATATACACGTGTGTGTATATACACATATATACACGTGTGTGTGTATATACACATATATACACTGTGTGTGTATACACATATATACACGTGTGTGTGTATACACATATATACACGTGTGTGTACACATATATACACGTGTGTGTGTGTATACACATATATACACGTGTGTGTGTATATACACATAGATGCACGTGTGTGTGTATATATACACATAGATGCACGTGTGTGTGTATATATACACATAGATGCACGTGTGTGTATATATACACATAGATGCACGTGTGTGTATATATACACATAGATGCACGTGTGTGTATATACACATAGATGCACGTGTGTGTGTATATACACATAGATGCACGTGTGTGTGTATATACACATAGATGCACGTGTGTGTGTATATATACACACACATACACACACATGTGTGTGTATATATATACACATATATATATATAAAGTTCTCCAGTAAACATAAATACATTAACAGAAATTTTGGCCTGTAACTCCACTTTTAATTGTTATGTACTAGGTAAAAGCCAAAAGCAAAAAGAATTATAAGTCTATGTTAATGGGAACATAATGTATAAAGATGTAATTTGTGACCTTGGCAACATAAAGTGTTTGGGGAGGAGGAGCTGTAAAGAAGCAGAGTTTTTGTATGTGACTAAAGTTACATTGGCATCAATTTAACAAAGATTGTCATAACTTTAGAATGTTATATATAATCCCCATAGTAACCACAAAGAAAATATTTATAGAATATACACAAAAGGAAATGAGAAGAAATTCAAAATATGTTACTATAAAAAATCAAGTAAACAAAATGGAAAACAGTCATGCAAAAAATGAGGGACACAAAAGGCTCTAAGACATACAGCAAAAAACAACAAAATGTCAAAAAGTGTCCTTATTAGTAGTTACTTTATGTAAGTGGCTTAAACTCTCCAATCAAAAGACATGGATTGACAGAATGGATTGAAAGAAAGAATCCAAGCATATCCTATATATAAGAGACTCACATTAGATTTAATATCATCTATAAGTTGAAAGTGAAAATATGGGAAAAGGTATTCTATGCAAATAGTAACCAAAACAAAAGTGACCAGAGCAAAAACGGCCAACTAATATTAGACAAAGTAATCTTTAAGTCAAAAACTGTTACAAGAGACAAAGAATGATTATTATATAATGATAAAAGGGTTAATTTGCCAACAACTATAAGCATATATGCATCAAACATCAGAGCTCCCAACTATAAGATGTAAACATGAAAGAATTGGAAGGAGAAATAGATAACTCTAAAATAGTAGGAAACTTTAATACTTCACTTTCAGTAATGGATAGAACAACCAGACAGAAGATCAAATACGAATACAGAGAAATTGAGCAACATTATAACCAACTGGACCTGACACACATATACTTAACACTTCACCCAGCAACAACAGAATATACATTTTCTCCAGTGCACTTGGTGCACTCTTCATGATAACTCATGCATTAGGCAACAGAAAAAGTCTTAATACATTGTAAAAGAATTGACATAATACAAATTGTCTGTTCTTATCACAATGGAATGACGAGAAATTAACAACAGAAGGAAAACTGGAAAACACACAAATATATTGAAGTTCATCAACATACCTTTAAACAACCAAAAAAGAAATCACAAGGAAAATTATAAAATATCTTGAGAAAAACAAAAATAAATCATGACATACCTGTCATACCAAAACTTATGAGATGTAGGAAAAGCAGAGCTAAGAGGAAAATTTATGGCTGTAAAAGCTCACATTTATTAAGACAAAAGGTCTCAAATCAATAGCCTAACTTTATATTTTTGGAAACTAAGGAAAAAAGAGTAAGTCCAAAACTAGCAGAAGGAATGAATTAATAAAGATTAAAGACAAATACAAATTTTTAAAAAGACAATAGAGAAAATCAGTAAAATAAAGAGTTGGTTTTTAAAAAACATTAGCAACATTGACAAACTTTTAGCTAGGTTGACTAAAAAGGAGCAAGAAGACAAAAAAATCAGCATGGAATATTATTGTCAATTTGACAGAAATAGAAAAGATTATAAGGAGTACTATAAACGATTGTACACTAAGAAATTGGATTACCAAATGAAATGAACAAATTCCTAGAAACACACACCTTACCAGGACTGAATCACGAAGAAATAAAAAATTTGAATAGACCTATAACTAATAAGGAGATTGAATTGGTAATCAAAAAACTCACGACAAATAAAAAACTAGGAACAGATGTTTTCACTGGTGAATTACATCAAACACTTAACGAATTAACACCTTAAACCGTTCCAAAAAATTGAAGAGGAAGGAATGCTTCCTAATTCTCTAGAAAATACTAGCAAATAGGATTCAACAGCATATTAAAAGGGTTATACACTGTGACAAAATGAGATTTATTCCTTAAATGCAAAGGTGGTTTTATACATTGAGAAGAAAGTCAGTCAATCTAATAAATCACAATTCATGGAATGAAGGAGGGAAAAAAACACATGATCATTTCATTTGAGTCAGAAAAAGCATTTGACAAAATTTAGCATTATTTCATGATGAAAACACTCAACAAACTAGAAAAAAATCTAACTCAGTAAGAGCCATCTATGAGAAACCCACAGCTAAAATTATACGTAATGGTGAAAAACTGAACTTCTTTTTTTAGGCTCAATAACAAGACAAGGATTCCTACTTTCACCACTTGTGTTCAAAATAGTACTAGAAGTACAAGCCAGAGCAATTAGAGAAGAAAAAGAAATAAGTCACCGAAATTCTAATGGAAGAAGTAAAATTATCTTTGGTTGTCGATGACACCATCTTATAGGTAAAAAACTCTAAATGTCACACATATGCACCCACACACAAAACACTGTTAGAATTAATAAATCAATTCAGCAAAGTCGCAACATACAAAATCAACATGCAAAAATTGGTGGTTGCTGTTCTATATACTAATAGTGAACAATTCAAAAAGGAAATTAAAGAACAATTCCACTTGCAATAGCATCAAAAACATAAAATACTTAAGAATAAACTTAACTATTAAAGACAATGGAGAAAATCAGTAAAACCAAGAGTAAAATTAGTAAAACCAAGGAAGCAAAAAACTTATACAGTGAAAACTACAAAATCTTCCTGAAAAATTTTAAGAAAATAGAAATAAATGGAAAGACAACCCATGTTCATGGATTGAAAGCTTTAAACTTGTCAACACTACCCAGAGCAGTCTAAAGATTCAGTACAATCTCTACCATAACCCAGTGATATTTTTGTAAGAATCGAAAAATTTATTCTAAAAGTCATATGAAAACTCAAGAAACCCCAATAGTCAATATAATAATGATAAAGAAAAACAAAGGTGTAGGTCTCACATTTCCTGATATCAAAACTTACTATAAAGCTTTGGTAGCCTAAACTGTGGAATAGGCATAATGACAGACGTTTAAACCAACGGAGTAGAACAAAGAGCCAAGAAACAAACCATAAAATATATTGTCAAATAATTTTAAACAAGAGTGTCATGACCATTTAATGAAGAAAATATAGTCTTTTCAATAAAAAGTTTGAGAAAACTAGATATTCATATGCAAAATATGAAATTCAACCCTTAATTTAGCCCATATACAAAAATGAACTCTCCCAGATTCAGTAATGGCTGCAAAAAATAAAATAAATTATAAATTATTAAAAGGTAATCAACTCAGTATGGACCAAAGATGTAAGTGTAAAAGCTAAAACTATAAAAATCTTAGAGGAAAACATGAAGACAAATTTTCATGACATTGGATTTGGCAATAATTTTTTCGATATGAAACCAAAAACACAGACAACAAAAACAGTAGATAAATTGGACTTCATCAGAATTAAAAACATTTATGCATCAAAGACCAGTATCATCAGAGTGAAACTGCAACCTATGGAGTAAAAACTAAATTGCATATTATATATCTGATAATGGATAATATTCAGAATATAGAAAGAACTACTACATCTCTACAATAAAAACCAAAAACCCAATTTAAAAATGTGCAAAGGACTTTAATAGATATTTTTCCAAAGATGTACGAATGGCAATAAGCATGTGAAAAGATGCTCAACATGCTAACTATTGGAGAAATGCAAATCAAAACCACAATAGGATATCTCTTCATGCCCTTTAATATGGATATTATTAAAATACCAGAGAATAACAAGTAGTGGGGAGAATGTAGAAAAATTGAAATCCTCGTAGCATTGCTGGTAAAAATGTACAATGGTGCATCCACTGTGGAAAACACTATGGTGATTCCTCAAAAAATTAAGCATAAAATTGACATGTGGTCCAGGAATTTCACTTCTGTGTATATATCTGAAAGAACTAAGAGCAAGAAAATGAACAGATATTTATGTGGCCATGTTTATAATAGCCTTCATTACAATAGCCAAAAGGTGGAAGCAACTCAGGTGTCCGCTGATGAATAAGTGGATAAACAAAATGTGATATGTACACACAATGAGATATTGTCCATCCTTCAAAAGGAAGAAAATTATGACACAAGCCACAGCCTGGATAAAACGTTAAGGCGCTGTCTAAGCAAAATAAGCCAGCCACAAAAGGCAAGCACTGTATGAGTTCATGACATCAGGCTCAAAAAAAAAAAAAAAAAAATCAAAAAAACCTAAGTTTTGAATATACAGTTAAAAAAACAAAAAAAAAAATAGAAAGAAAATAAATGAAGAGGTAAAAAGTGGAATGATAGTCACCAGGGAAAGGTCAGAGAGGGAATCGGGAAATGACTGTTTAATGGGTACAGAGTTTCAGTTTGGGAAGATAATAAAAGTTTTGGAGATGGATTATTGTGATGGTTGCACCATGATTTGTACTTGATGCCACTGAAGTGTACACTTGAAAATGCTTACAATGGTAAATTTTGTTATTTACACTTTACCACAATTAAAAATGGTTATTTTAAAAAGACAATAACAACATTATTTTAAGGGCTTTTGATACACAGTGCCCTCCTGAAAGGATATCCTATTTATACTCTTACCAACAGTGTAAGAGCTCCACCTCACAACACCAAATATTAATATAAAAATACCTTTTAATTAACTAAATTTTAAAATAAAGCCTTATAGATGCTATCTCTCGAGGGGAAGACCGTGTCTATGCTGTTCTAGCTCTCTCAATAAACATCTTCATTCAATTCAGCTATACCGACACCTGGAATGCGCCCAACTGGGTACTTCGAATTTAGCTGATGGAGTAATTGGGCCAAGAAGTAGTTTAGACCTTGGTTCTCCAAAAAAAGTTTTAAAAAATTAAATGATCAAATACAATGCTGACTCTTAAAATTATGCAAATTACATGAAAAGATTCAAGAGGACTCAAAACATTGAAATAGATCTTCAACAAAGCGGGGTGATGGTTGGCAATTGACCCGGGCCACATCTTCATCGGCATCTCCACATTCAACATATCTTTGTGTTCTATTAATTCTTTTTTTCCCAGAGCTCATATCTATCCACTGGTCCCATTTATGCTTTCAACATCTTGGTGCAGAGTTCCATATTTATCTGTTGGGAATATAGATCCCAACAGATAAGAGGGACTCCAACTCCAATCCATCCTGCACACCTGCACACAAGCTGTCACTTCATTTTCCTCAGTCATCAACTTAATTATGTCCTCCACATTCTTTAACACCTGAAAATGTTCTCTATTATTCATAAAGCAAAACTCCAACATTTAAAGTATTCAAATGCAACCACCCAAAGCCCTTGCCATTTTGTAATCATTGTCTTCAAGTCAGTCCACATCCACTCGCTTATTCATTTATTCATTCTTTCTTTTCACATCAAGCAATGTTTTTGTCCCTAGGATACAATGGCAAGCAAAATAGAGCTTTCAGTCAAACAAGAAAAAATAGGCAAGAAATAGTGAATTATAAGAAAATATGATGGGTTTGAGAAGAGAAATGTGGGGCGCTCTGGGGCCATGTGGCAGGAGACCCTCATTGGATGTGGAAGGCTTTCTGGAATGCTGCCCTTCAGCTGAAACCTGAAATATGAGGAAGGATCAGAATCTTTGGAAATGGAGGAGGAACACATCAAGGTATTAACATCCAGAGTGGCATCCTGTGAGAAGAAAGGCCCACGGCAAGAAAGAGTAAGCATGAGGTGTGTGAGAAACTGAGATGAGGGCTGTGTGGCTGAGGTGGACACAAATAGAGAAAAGTTACCAGGAACACAGAGGAGGGGGAGATCTGTTAGCACGCTTTCAGAAACCTAAGTGAGAGGTAACAGTGACGTAACCTAAGATGGTTGTACAAGAGCGGAGGCTGCTGGGTCTGAGAGATATTCAGGACCTGTCATTTGATTGAATGATGGAAATGAGGTAGAGGGTAAGGCAGGCCTTGATCTCAAGGCCCTTAGACTCGGGTACCGCAGCTCTGAGCAGTGGCTGCAGTTTGACAGTGACATGAGCGTGAGGGGCTAGACACAGTAAAGGCTGGGACACTAGAGTGAGCATGGTATGTCTGTTCATTACCTGTGGTTGCTGTGCCAATCCCCACAAACCTGGTGGTTTCAAACAAGACAGATGTTTTCTTTTATGGTTCAGGAGAACAGGAGTTTACAATCAAAGTGTCAGCAGAACTTAATTCCTTCTGAAGGCTTCAAGAGAGAATCTGTTTTCTTGCCTCTTCTGACTTCCAGACACTGCCTGCATTCTTAGACCTCTGGCCCCTTCTTCACATCACTGCAAACTCTGCTTCTGTTCACAGGTCCTCCTGGTGACTCTGACCCCATAACCCTCCTCCTTACCTTGTGCATACCCAAGCGATCTAGAGTAATCTCCCTATCTCAAGATTTTTAACTGACTTACATTAGCAATGTTCCTTTTGTCATGTAAGACAGTTCACAGGTCCCAGGGATTAGGACATTTTGGGGTGGTGGAATGGGCATTATTCTGTCTATCACTATGTGTGTAGATGAGTTTTAGTTCATTTGTCCAACTTTCCGAGTATCTGAGCATCAGCTGCGTGCTAAGCACTGTGCTAGAATCTGGGGTTATGACAATACACCTCCTGCCTTTGTGGAGTTCACATTGTCCTAAGTCAATAAGCACATATATTTTATAATATCATAGGTTTCGTGGTGGAATAGCCAAGAAGGGGTATATTTGGTAGTTAAATTTGGGCTCTGGAATCAGACAGAAGCTCAACTCCCAGTTCCTCCACTCGTTAGCTGAACTTGGGCAGACAATGTATCCTCTCAAAGTTACCTCAACTATGAAATGGGGATCGTCCACCGTAAAGGGACACTGGGAGGACTAAGGAGGCAATCCATGCAAAATATGTAGCCAACAAATGGCAGTTATCATATTGTCATAGTCACTTTTTGTCTTACATTTTGGTTATGAATGCATACATCTATATCCTGAGTTCAAGCATAAATGTTTCTAAAGATTAAAGATTAAAAATATGTTTTATGCATTTGTTTAGCTACAATGCCTTACAAAATAAAATGTCTGTTGAAATAAATCACCAGGTTTGGCTTCAAACTTGGAGTGTCTGAATCATAACATTATATATTTGGCTGTATGGATCACTACATCTCAGAGAAACCACATGGCAATCCTGCCCCTCCCTCTTCACCTATCAACAATGGCGCCTCTATAGAGGATCAAGAAGTATGTAATGTACACTTTTTGATGTGGAAAATTTTAAGTTTTGTGCACTGCTGGGAAGGAGCATGAGACAAAGATTTCCAGAGAGAAGTCTGCTAGAAGATAAGACAAACACTTGAACACTTAACAGTATAATCCAAGAACAAAATGAAAATCAAAAGATTACTCTGGATCAGTGGCTAAGTAATGGGTACAGAGAACAAGCAATTTGGATTGGAGGAAGGCAAACTCATTGTTGTTATGGTGATCTCTTCTGGAAGAAGTAGAACCGGAACCGTGACCTTAGCAAATGGGTAGAATTCTTAAGGAGATGGCCAGTGGAAGCACAGGTTCAGGAGGCCAGGAAACCAGTTTTGCTGAAGCAAAAGGCCATTCTACAGAAGGGTAGCAAATAAACCCAACAAGACAATTTGGGATTAAACTATGCGAACATTCGCTACCAAGCTAAAAAGTTTTAAACTCTCCTGTGTAGTCAAATACCAGCCACATCTTTTTTCTCAGTTTAGAAAATGTACAAAAAATACATTTCTTCATATTAATGTAAATTTAGATAAATTTCAATGATAATATACTAATACTTCGGATTTAGTAACTTGAGTGACAAGAAGGTGGGAGTGAAGAGGAAGAAAGAAGAAGGCAGTGTCCCTAGCTAATGTCTAACAGACAAGACAGGCGGTATCAAGGCTCCCAAAGGAATGTCTCATCTCATGTAGCCAATGGAAGAAAATGGAAACCTACTGCTTTAAAGACTTCTGGCATATCCTCGGGTAGAGTTGTTTTGTTTTTTTAAACAGATATTTATATTTAGTTTGGTGTTCCAAAAAAGTTAACTACTGTTATTTTTTCTTCCCCAAAAAAGTTCATTTAAGAAAGCTGTTGCTTTTTGCATCTGTTATGCAGTTGAACATCTGTGAACCATGAATTAACCCACTGCTCTCCTGATGAAGTTTGAGAACACTGGGGACATTCAAGGGGCATTCCCAGTGCCCCCCTAAGATGGTGGCTTCCTACAAGCGCACTGCCAGGCCCAATGCTGGGCAAAATGCACAGGAGTCCTCTGTCCTTAGAGAGCTGATAGTTTTCATCCCTGCTCTTCTCTTTCAAGTGCAAAATACAACAGGATTCGATATGGATGGAAGTTGTCATGGGGTTCCTAGGCACCCTTAGAGCTGTCCCTACTTGGTTTTACAGATCACCTCCCACCTCTGTCTGCATTCTCAGTCCTCTGAGCATGTCACTAAAATCTCAAAAAAGTCCTCAAGCAAGTCAAATGAAAATAAATTGCATGTGTTTGTATACTTATAGTTATTTATCATTTTGGCAGTTAGGTATTGCATGTCTACAATGGCCCAAACACTGTATTAATAATATTTTTAAAGACTGGAAGAGAATCTCCCCAAAATAAAGAAGGATGGCCAGAGAGGGAAGTAAGAATTATTGAGTACCTCCCTCACTCCATGGCAGGTTCTTCAGATGGCTCATCAAGTGGTACCATTCTCACTTCACCAAACTGAGATATAAGCCTGGTCCCATATGTCCTGAATGGCAGAACTGGTGAATAAGCCACAGTATCTGACTCCCCGGCCTTCTTCTGTGACACTACCAATTCAGGGTGCCCAACTTCTTTGGCCAATTGCTCAATGAATTCCCTCACACTCCAAATTGAAAAAAAGACAACACTCATTCTGCTGTTGGGACCTTGGAAAGCAGTGTGGTGGAGGGGAAAGAATGGCAGCTTTGTTTATATCACAATAGATCATTTGTATAATAGGAGATCTGAGTCTTCTCCTCCTTGGCCACTTACTACCTCTGGGACCTTGGCAATTTTGTCACCTCTACAGTAGGGATGGCAAACAACACATCATGTAAGACTCCTAGTACCTGGCAATGCTCTCAAAATAAGACACCTTAGGTGATAAGGGCTGGCTGCAAATTTTAGTGTTGTGGTTTGAAATGAAGTAGAAGTTTTAAAACAAGTGACAGAATTTAAGGGGTTTTTCCTTGCCTTTCATTGATGGCAATGGCACGGTTTCCAGGATGCTTGCTGCCACCTCTCCAGGGTCCCATGGCAGGGTCAAAGCACAGCACTGTGCTTGCCAGTGGCTCTCAGACCCCTACCTGCAAAGGCAGGTGCTCAAACGTGGCTCTTTTCCTATAGGTGAAGAAAGGATGCTGGGACAGGCAGCGGAGACAGATGCTGTGAGACTGTCAAAGTCATAACTGCAACTCTTTCTGGTTCCCAACACACTCAGACCTTCCTGGAATGGCCCAGGGAGACTGTGACTGCTGCGGCAGCCAGGAGGCACAAGCAGAGCCTCCCAAGTCCTCTAGGATTTAGCCAAGGGTAGCATTGGCTGCAGGAAGGGTGTCAGGTCCAGATGACTGACTCTGATGAGCTCTCAGAACCAGATTTAAAAGTGACAGTGAAGCCCTGGGGAAAATGTCCTAAGCAAATGGGATTAGAATACAAATTGTGTTTGACTGAGAGCCCTTGCGGGCACCTTGGCCCCAAGGGACAATAGGTTGCTTTGGGATAGCTGAGAGAAAAAGGCTTTTTGACAAGCGTTCAAGAGCTCACTTCACAAACACTCTGTTCATTTCTCCCCCAGCCCCTTTCTCTACCTTGTGAAATCATCTACAGCCTCTCCATTTGGGTTGAGGTGAAGAGGATAGGTAAGCAGTATAATATGTTCAGCAGCTCTGCCCTGCAGGTGAGGGTAGAGAATATTATGGAAAAAAACAATTATTGATAATCAGGAATATTCATTGTGAAGTATAAGCACCATCCCACAGGGAAAAATGGTAGGATAGTCACCCGGGAACTGAAGGCTGTGGCTGCTGCCCCAGAGACTGGGGGGCCTACCCTGCCCTGAGGAGCTGGGGTTGGCTTAGGCTGCACATTCTCTCCCAATAGAGAATCAGATCTGCTCATTCACTCTAAGGTATGAATGACTAGATAAGTGTTACTTCTCTCAGAAATACTTGTATCTTTATACTCCCTTTCTAACAAATGACATGAAATAGCTAAATTTATGTTCCACATAATGATAGTTCGGCCAATGATGGACCACATATATGATAGTGGTCTCATAATATTATAATATGGTATTTTTTACTGAACCTTTTCTATGTGTGGAGACACAAATCCTTAGTACTGTGTTCCAGTTGCCTACAGTGTCAGCACAGTGACATGCTGTGCAGCTGTGTACCCTAGGAGCAGTAGGCTCCACCGTACAGCTGAGGTGTGTAGTAGGCTGTACCACCTAGGTGTGTATAAGTGCATTCTGTGAAGTTCACACATGATGACATGTTGCTGTCATACAAAAGCTTCTTAGCTCATTCCTTTTTGCTCCAGTTTCACCCTACTCCAGCCTCAGCCCACTTCAATTCATGCCATATGTTATCACCTGTTTGTTTTTCCTAAACAATTGCTCCAATTGTTTTCTCTTCACAACAAGGCCTTGAGGAGTTCTCATTGCTTTCAGGAAGAATCCTCATCTCTAAACTTGACCTTCAGACTCCTCCGTCTGACCCAATTGGCTTTCTAAGCCTGCAATGCCCTCATCTCCAACACAGAAGTTCTCCTCAAGTGCTCCTCCGACTATTTTATGAAAAACCCCCAGGTTTTTATAGATCCTACCTGGCACATGCTCTCTTCTGTACCTTAAATACCTCTCACCTTTCTTTGTCTCTTATAAAATTCTGCCCATTCTTAAAGAGGCTTTCAAATTTGAAACTTTTCTGGAACCAACTAAGTTCACAATAATCTCTGCCACCTCTAAACAATTAAAATCCTTACAGTCTCTGACACTTAGACAGCATTGCCTTACAGTAGTCATCATTTTATTTGTTTACATTTAGTCTTCCCAAATTACACTGCAATAAGCCGCTTAAAGTTGAGACCTGATTTATTCTACCTTCCCTGCAATCCCAGAATAATGGCAAAGACCTCCATTTTCAAGGGGAAACCATCATCAGGGGATGTTGACTCTATGGATCTGGACTGAAGCTAATGGAACTCCACGAAACTAGAGATTATTATTTTTTTAATCCCAGAAGTCAAGTTTGAAATCCCAACTTGAAATAAAACAACATGATTTTCTCACAAAAGAAAACACTCTTCACAGTTTTTGACCATCACTCCCTTGAGAATGAGCTCTAAGACTGCACTAATGAGTCTATTAGAATTAATTAGACTAATCTGAAATTATTTGCTTAATCTAGGGACAATCTCATGGTGGAGAAAGCCCCCAGAGAGAAGCTGACCAGAGGGTGGAAAAGCCTCACAGCTCCCCCATCCCTGTGACAGATGCAACTCACACAGCTGGTCCCAGACAATCTGGCAAATGTCACGAGGAAGGAGGGCAGGTGAGAAAGCTGGCAAAGTGTGATGTCCTTTCTTTCCCTGGTCCCTGCCACCCTGACCAGTGGTAGGATTTCTGGAAACCCAGCAGAATGCTGTGATTCTGCCAGTCATCCTGAAGTGGGCTTGATCCTAACACATCTGACCACAAGAGCTGATCTTTCTATTGCACTTTGTGCTTTGGCAGACCCCAACTATTGGCTGACTTTTGGAGGAAAAAGTGAAAAGAGCAACTAACCATTGAAAGCAAACAGGGATGGGAATGCTGTCCTTTGTGCCTTGCTCAGGACAAGCCATGTTTGTCTGCATTTCCAGAGATGCTTAAGAAGGCTTTTTTGTGGCTAGAGAGATCATTCAGGGTCAATCCAAACAAAGCTGGTCCCTGACACAGACTCTCTGAAAAGGCAGAGAGTTGGCAAATTTTGTTCCCTGAGCTGTCCACCAAATCAACAAACTAACTGCATCCCTACTAAGGAAAAGGCTTCTGTTAGATGACGTAGTGTGATAGGAGCTACGAAGCAGGATAAGACATGATCCCTGTCCTTGAAGACATCAGTCTATATGGAAAGATACAACTCAAGTACATTAAAGACAGCTAGCAATACAGGAAATGAGTAGTTCAGAAAACAAACAACAGTCTACAGCTCAGCATTGGGAGGGATCACTGGGAGGTTGGAATGACTAGGGATGGCTTCCTAAGAGAAGTTGCACTGAAGTCAGAACTTGAAAGGAAGATTTTGGAGAAACAGAAGAATGGAACGGATGCAGAAGCAATCAAAGGAATATGTAAAATAGAGTGAAGAAGCCTTTATATACTGATATGGAATGATCTCCAAGAAATGTTGGTAGGTAAAAGGGCAAGATGCAGAGCTGAGTGTATTGTATGCTATCATTTATGTAAGAGGAAGAGACAGACAGAGAGCTAGAGAGAATATTGGCTTGTATATGCATATAAGATTTTGGAAGGATACTGAGAACTAATGACATTGATCATCTTGGGAGAGGGGAACTGGTTGGCTGGGGCATAGGCATGGAAGAAAGACACAGATATTCCACTGTATTCCCTTCTGTATCTTTTAAAATATGAAACATGATTTCTTAAAAAAAACAAGAGTAAAAAACCGGAGTGGAAGAAGCAATAGAATACTTACAGCATATTTTACGGACTACTTGAGGTAAAACAGAAGGATTGAGGAGTAGTAAAATGTTTCCATGATGCTCATGACAGGGTCTAAAATTGAATAGGTTATTTTCAAAACATGGATATGCTATAAAGAGAAACTGAGGTCAGGAGTCATTGAAGACAGAGGGAGTAGAGAAAAGACACTTGTAGTTTAAGGGTGTGGAAATGGTCCCTGGTCCCTGCAACCCTGACCAGCAGGAGGATTTCTGGAAACCTAGCAGAATGCCATGATTCTGCCAGTCATCCTGAAGTGGGCTTGACCCTAACACGTCTGACCATGAGAGCTGATCTTTCTATTGCACTTTGTGCTTTGACAGACCCCACCTATTGGCTGACTTTTGGAGGAAAATGGAAGTGAGAATGAAAAGTTAAGTTTGATTTTTTTTTTCTACTGTCAAAAAGACAAGTGAACCCTTTTAACACACTGTCTTTCAGAGATGAAGCTCTTTTAGTTGCTTTTCTTTTCTGCACACAACATTTCACCACTAATCCTCAAATCCTCTGCAAATGCCAGAAGCCGGGCCAAGCCTTTGCCTGGTGAAACTTTAGTAGTACAATATGGCCTTTCAATAGAAATGCATTTCTCTGCATTATCTTCTCGTGATCACAAAGAAATAGGAGACAATGGGCCATGTGTCTTGGAGGAAGCAGTGCTGCTTACATGGTCCCAGTCAGGCACAAGAAAGTCCTGACGGTATTTAGGGAGCAGCGTTTCAGAGCATCATTGCCACCTGGGCAAAGGTGGGGAAGAGGTTTCCATCATGAACGGAATAGCTCTTACTTCCATAATGATGTGATGCAGATCAGGCAAACCCCGATCTTCGGCTGCCATTCTGCTTGGCTGAGAGCTGTTTTAGGGGATCGAGGAGCTCTCAGGGCCACATCACCTGGGCTCAACAGGGTATCTTGCTGAGTTTGAATGCTGAGACTGCCAGCAGAGCCCCAAATAGTCCTCGGATCCAGAAATAGCCTGTGGCAATTATGTTTTGTCTTCCTACTGCAAGGAATCCTTTCATTTTTTCTCATCTGTGAAGACAAATCTTCCAGTGTTTCTGGCAAATGAAAGTCCAAGATTAGCTGAAAATATCTATGAACAGACCCTGCAGCAATTGGCAATCTCGTCCCTGGGGTATGGAGATACTAACAGGATCCTAATAACTGGAACAGGAAGCACTGCTGCACCACCCTTCCCCAGTCCTGTCCCAGCCCTCCAGTGATCCAGCGCCCAACCCCACCTGCCCACACACTAATGGCCCACAGCTAACCCAAAGGACAACATTTTACCATTTTACTAAGGGACAAAGAACCATACTGATGCTGCATTTTCTGTCCCTGGGACTGTCTCTCCCTCTCTGTTTCATACTGGGAGCTCACAAAGGCTGAGACTTCAAATCATTCTTCAGGAAAGATGAGTCTATAATATCACACTTACTTACCTAGACTACTTCTGGAACTTGACTTTGACCTCCCCCTAAGGCAGGCAACAAGGTTGACAAAGGTTAATAGCAGGAAACAGCACAGAAACCTAACCCAGTCTCGAATTTTAAATAAACCCAGATAGAGAGGCCTGAGGATGAGGAGATGGCCTCCATTGAAAACAAAACACATTGTGTCTGATAAAAGGATGCTAGCTTTCTCCTGCAGCATCGAAATTCCTGTGAAAATGTTTGTTCAGTCTTATTTTAAAATTGTGTGGCTAAATAGGTTTGCTGACTTTAAAGTTGCCTGCAATTTTAAATAATTTCAACCCCTTTAAAAAGTTGAATTGCTGAGTCAAGTACTTAGAGACAAGGAAATAGGGGTTGGTTAGTGAACAAGGTTACTCCATGTTTTGTTACTACAAAAAAGCACCCCACAGAGAACAAAGGAAAACAAAATCAGACGAGACTCAAAAAGAGAGGGGAGCCGTCTTGAGATCTCTATGCATAATCTTCCCAACTGTTCCACAAAAGTCTCAGAGTTCAGTCTCTTGGGACACATCTGGGCCCCTGCCTATTTCTTGTTGCTTCCATTGGCTAGGCCTGGATCACTGGCCATCTCTGGATCTAACTTTGTGCCCAGTACATCCAACCCACATGGGCAGGGCTGGTGGAAGGGTTGGCTTCCCAAGAGCTATCTGCATACTAATAACCGGAAAAAGAAGAAGGAAATGTTGTACACACTTACAAAGCTTTTTAAGAATATGCTATACTGAGCATAATATTTTACAGAGTAACACTTTAATAAAGACATATTTGTGATTGGAATGGATTCTAATTGAGAATGGGCTGAGCTAAAAAGGGTTAAAGCAAAGCTATTACTGACTAGCTAAGAATAGAAATAGTATACCTCTTTGGTACATAGAAGACCCCATCATCTTTTTACATTCTATTTTTTCCTACTTGTTATTTATTTATTTCATTTAATAAGTAAATTAGCTTAAGTCTTGTTATCATACATAGTTATATTCTTAATGTAAACATGAATTTAATATTCCTTGAGGGCTCTTAATTGGCCAGTCTCTGACTGAACTAGAATGCATGGTACGTGCTTCACGCCAAGGATATCACAGTCTGCTATAAAGGACCAGAGCCCAGATAGGAAAGTAGATGGACTCTTTGTAACACACATTGTAAAAATCCCAGCTGTCAATCATGTTTCTCATTTTTATCAGGTCTACCTACTTCTAAAGTGAACAACTAGAATGCCATTCATTTATGAATTCAAAAGCTGTTATCAATCACCAGCTGTTTACCAGCCACTGTTCTAGGTAAGCATGTTATTCTTGAAGAGATTACAGTCTCATGTAGAAGAAGAATAAGAAATAGACGAGTTTCCTGAACTGTACTAAGTTTAAAGTCAGGTAAAATCATAGGGTGCTGTGGAAGCACAGAAAAGGCATCTCAAGCCCTGCTGCGGCTGGGGGTATGGGGCAAGGTAGCCATGATTCCTGGAGAGGTGGATTCTTGAAGGAGAGAAGGGCGGGGCTGGAGGAGCATGGACCCGCAGAACCCAGCTCACTCTGGTTGCCCTCCAAGACTTGGCCTGAACCTACTTCTTTCAGATTCATTCTTTGCATGAAAAGACAGATGGCAGGAAGTCGGGGTGAGAGAGAATATAGGAGAGGAGGGTGGGGAGTCTCGGATGTGCTGGGGCACTGGCCTTTGAGTGCACACAGCAAGCGCCTGCTTCCTTCAGAGATTATGTCAAAGACAGAGGATCCTCAGGAGGTACCAGTGACGTGCACACATATGGGAGGGAATGCTCCTGCCAAGGAAGCACATCCTGCCAAGCAGTGCAGGCACCTACCACGGTTACCAAGAAAGTTTTTGGCAATCCGTGGGACATGCCACCTTTACCCCCTAGGCCTGAAACAAGGAGGCCCTGGCTGCTCTTCTATACCCTGTTGCTGTTATGGAAATATTTCGGCAGTTTTTAAATAATAGTATTCCTACACAACTGAATGTTTCAGAAATGTTTGTTTTTTATTTTTTATTGTGTGTAGGGTTTTTGTTTTGTTTTTGTGGTTTTTTTTTGTTGTTTTTTTGTTGTTGTTGTTGTTTTGCCACCTAGCATCACGTCCAAGACAATACAAATATTTCAAGCCACATAGGATGCAAATGCAACAAACAGTCACCTCTTTGACATTGCAGACCTCAGGAGAAACAATCACTCATTTCTCCTCCTCTCTTTTCACCTTTCTCCTCCTCCAACCATTTTCTATCTTCTTTTGTTTTTTTATCCATTACAGACAAAGAGACAACCCCACAACATCCAGCCTATGCTCATGGACCTTCCAAACAAGAAGCACCAGACAGAAAGCGTCCTCTCTGTCCCATTGCAGTAACACAAAGGAAAAGGAAGGATTTGAGATTTTGCAAAAGAATTAATAGCATCTTCACAGAGCTGAGATTGCAGGAACAATCTCTTTCCTTCATAAACCTACCAGCTCTCTCTCTCTTTTTCTTAGGTTGAGAAAATAAGAGAGACATCAGCAGGAGAGTTGACTGCTGAAATCCAGTCTTAACCTTTGAAAATATAATTTATTTAAACCCAGCGTATTACAGAAAGCCCAGCGTGGATGGCGGATTAGGTGGCTGAGGCAGCTTCAGTCAAAGAACAGGATAAACTGAGTGTCTCCCCTGAGATCATTCCTACGGGATGAAAATGCTTTCAGCCAAGATACTGAAATAAAAGGTCCTTGCCTGGTGGGAGAATGGATGGTAGGTGAGATGGCAGTGGAGCCTCCCAGGGGCAATGGCTAGTGAGTAGCAAGCTGCATCCATTTGGAAATCTCCCTGGGAGTGCAAAGAGGATGAAGGACAAAATGGCTTCAAAAGCTTCTAAGGACCACCAGCAAAATCATGGCCCAGACAGGGCTCTCCCTATATTCACACAGCTGTCACCACCCAATTGACCTGGCAAAGTAAACAGGAGACCAAGGCATGTCTGGAAAACACGTTTGGGCCAAAAACCCATTAAGGTAATTTTCAACATACAGGCTCATCCTCTGGGGACTTACAGCTACTCCCTTGATGGAACTATAAGTAGACAAACAGTACAACATCTACTTACTCTCCCAAAGCCTGTCAAAGTTGCTGTAGACCGACCCAAATGGCCTGATTGGGGTGCACAGAGAGAAGTGAGTAAAGAGAGAGAAGAAACACCAAGACAAATTCTACATACACTTTTTGTACTCTGTTGTTAGTTTTTTTTTTTTCTGATCCAAAATGAACTTCATAGGAGAAATTTAGTATCAGTGAAAATGGGCTCAATTGCACAGTTCAGATTTCAAATATTTTCCCTGTGTAGCAATCATTCGTAGTGAATTTGCCTTTTTTTCAGTAGGAAAGAAGTCACAGGACATTCATTCATGTATTCATTCAACAGAAATACATTGGGCATTTGTGATGTGTTGGACCCTATGGAGGTAGTGGGCAATGCAGCAATGAACAAAGTAATCCCAACACTTGCATTCCTGAAGCAGATCATCTGGCAGGAAAGGCAGACTTTGTCCTGGTGATGATTAATACCAGGAGTGTCGAGGAGAACGGCAAGACAGGGCAAGCAGTGAGAAGCACCCCGGAGGGCCGGTAGTTTTGGCCCATTTCACACCCCCGCTGGCTCTCCTTGCCATCATTTACATTCTGAAATCAGAGTATAAAACCTCCTCCCAGGAACCTGTCTAAAAATAAGTTGGCCATTCATAAATTATGGCATCAATACAGAAGCCATGTATTGTTTTCCCTCCATTTTCAGGCACTAGACTGGGTGTGAAGGGGAGAGGCGGATAAGACTCAATGGCAGAGGGCTGACTTTTACAAAACAGGACCCTTGGGAAATGCACAGCTTAACTGCGCACAACCCTCCCTGAGGTTTGCCACAGGAAGGTCAGTTACAAGCCAGCAGTGCCCCCTGCCCATCAAGGGGATGTCTACACTTAGCAAAAGTTTGGTTGTTTCTCCATTACAGTTGTTTTTCCCCCCACGTTTTTCTGTTCGCCCTCTTCTGCCTTCAGCACACGAAGAGTAGCCATCGCTCTTTGCCTTCTGTTTAGCATAGATTTTAGAGGATGCAAAATAATAACTATCTCTGGTCCCCTTTAACCTGTTCTCTGGGCTTGTCTCTGCAGAATGGGTGGCTAGCAATTTCACAAAGAATAGATCTTTTCACTTTCAACACGGTGAATGCCCTGGCTTCTAATCCCAGTTAGCACTCCCACAGGAATACATCAGACACCTGCGATCCTCAGTGCACTAGAGGTGGCAGTGGGTGGAAAATGCACATCACAGCCATTCAGGACTTCAGAAATGCTTTGAATCCCATTCATTTTCAAAATTTAGGCTAGGATTATTGGTGGAAGTTTGATGCGGGTTTTTTTTCTTTTAGAGTAGAGGTGGACAGGACCTTTTCTACACTGTCCACAGTAACGCAACTGTAAAGAAATCTAAGCTGGGACCTGGGATGTCCTTGGCAGGAAGCACAAACCAGCCGCATGTCCATCACGGGCCAGGCATTCCTTAGTTTGGGAAGATCCTTCAAGAGAGAGGAAGGACTGGAGACTTTTCTCAATCTCCTGGGGAGAACATTTATAACTTTCTGAAGAATAACCAAACTATGTACAATTTGCCCTCAGTTCTCTTCAGAGACTGAAAAGACAGTGATAACTTGAAATACTTACGTAGGGGTAACCAAAGACGAGATTTTATCTGCTGCTGTTGTGAACCAAATTAGATATATTTTGAGGAAAGGGTGTATGTATATTAGATTTTAATTAAGTAGTGTTAATTATAATCTATGAGATGTGCTTACTGCTTATCAGATAATTATGAGAAAGCCAATTTGGCTGCTGGCTTGCGACTAATTAAGTGGAATTAGTAATGATAATTATAGATTTCATTTTGGTTTGCCTTTATTGGAAAAGGGGCAAATCTGCTTTGGCTAAGATGCGTCAGGGTGGCAGTACAGAATCCCCAAACCCCTGGAGAACATCCTGAGCTTCGAGACATCGGGAATGGCAGGAGGATGAAAGGATCAGCCTCTGTTGTGGCCTCCTGCCTGCCTCTCCCAGCATCACAATCTTACCAGACTAGTCCTTCTCCCCTGCCTCTCCCTCCAGCACCTCCTCCTTCTTCCAGTACAGAGAAGTTCCCCAGTCCATTTTAGCGAGGAAGAGGTTTGACTCCGAGTAAGAGACTTTAGTGACCTGACCAAGGGTCTCGGACCTGAATTTGAGAGAACAGGGACCATCTGTGCTCCTGTTGTGTAGATCGTGTCATAGTTTGTGGGGTCATGGGGAGAAGGAATGGCTCACAGCATCCTCCATGTCCCAACCCCAAATATACCACCTGTACTGCTTAAGAGAATCATTGTATATTGCAAATTGATCGGTTTCTTTCAAGCCATCTTTCTTCCAGAAGTTACGTAACACAAATGGAGTAAGACAAATAATTGAAGTACAGGATCTACTTCCTTTGAAAGGCCATTGAAACCAACCTAAACTATAGACAAACTAAAACGATACTTTCTGTTTCATGTTTCCATGTGAAACACTATTGTGAGGTTTCAATTGCATGTCTCCTCATTTAACATTCGCTTATGCCTTTAATATTAGAATTGGAATTCCTTGAGAACTGATGCTGTAACCATTTTTTTTTTTCAATTCTGAATGCCTGCTACTCACCCTGGAGCTGTGGCACCTGAGGCACCAGAGTTAAATAAAGAAACAAGTCACGCCATCCTAATTTCATCCCAGGCCATCACTTTGTAGCATTTTTCTCTTGGGCAAATCACTTAATCTACCTAAGCCTTGGGTTGCTTCATTGCTTTTCTTTTTTTGTATCTGTATAATGGAGATGATAACAGGACGCACTTTAAAGGATACGTAAAATGACTTATGTAGCGTTTAGCACAATTCTTGGCCCACAGCAAGCGCTCTGCAAATCTGTGTTTCTCAGTTGGTCCATGAGCTGCCTGCAGCTGAACCTCTTGGAGGAACTGTAACAGATGCAGCATCTCAGCCTACCTCAGACCCATTGAATCAGAAACTCAAACTAAGGCCCAGGTGTCTGCATTTTCCACAAGCATTCCCCAGAGGATTCTCACGCACAGTGGCACATTCATGGCCATCACAAGCAATATCAGCTCTGTGTAGAGTCCCAGTGCACATCAGCATACCACACCAAATGTAAGGAACATTCTTGGGGTGGGCTCAGCCCTACCTCAGCCTGAGTCATGACCAGAACAGATTAAAGGAGTTAAGACAGGTAAATTGGCAACCTGGAAGCTCCATAGCCTATGTGTTGTCATTACTGTCAGAAATGCAGCCCCAGTCAAGAGCCCTCGCAGAACAGACTTTGCTGTGCACACAGGCCCTGAAGGGCTTCTTGCAGAGCTTGGAGGCAAGAAGGGCAGCACACCAAAGGAATCCTACAGTGACTCAGGTCAAGCGTCACACAATTGACCCTGCCACTGCTCACACTGTTGAGTGGGGTCCTCACCCATTTGGGCCCCACCCAAGTCGCACAGTCTCGAGGAGCCCATATGCTGGGAACCAGCTCCACACCACAGAGGACCACACACACCCACCGAACAAATGACACCCATGGCTTAATTATATCTTTGGAATCCACCCCCATTGTGCACATTCTTGAGAAAAGCCACCACCGGCCTCTCCACCCACGATGCTAAGGCCTGGCCTGGCCTTCGAAGAGCACTGATCTCTAAGCTTGCCTTGCTAATACCACCTGCTTTCTGAGCACCACCCAAGGAGCCAGCCCGGGAGGCTTGTCACCTCAAAATCAAGAAAAAGGGGAACGTTTCTAAAAGGGGCAGTGCCTAACTTAACCAATTTCTGCACACTCATTCTGTGGACCCCAATCCAAGACACACAGTGCTCTGGGCTCCCCACTTTTTCCTTCTTAGAGCAGGCATCCCAGCACATCCACCCCTTCCCTTCCCTTGATCGGATGGCTTGGTCTCAGTCCTGATCTCCTACATCTACAGCTAACCCATGCTTGCTCATCCATTCACTGGTGATCTCTTGCCCTGAACTGGCTCTGTTGAATCTCTCACATCTCATGAGGTGCTATTATCACTGTATTTATTTGACAGATGAGGAAACTGTGGTCCGGAGGGTTGCCTGCCTTGTCCTTGTTCATGTAACCTGGAGTGGTAGAACCAGGCTTTGGCCTTGCTCTGCACCTCGGCATCCCACTGCCTTCTGCTTTTTCTGAGTTCAGTGAGTGTGTGCTCGTCCCATCCTTACCAGTGTCCAGGGCCTTCTGCCTTCCACTTGCTCGCCACGTGACTTAAGAGCCACAGTGTCTGGTTTATGATCTGCTCCCTCTTTGAGACTTGAACTATGCCCTCAGGCAGCATCACTCAGGCTCTTGTTCTGACTGTAAAATCCTATCCATTCTCTACCAGGTCTGGATTAAACCTCCTATCATGCATGAAACTCTTTCTGACCCCTTTTCTGTAAAACACTATCTCCTTCCCCTGAAACCTTGTTGTGCCAGCTAACTGTCTTGTATTATTATGCATCTATTCCAGTGCCATCCATATCTGACTTTCCTAAGTTGGAGATAAACTGCTTACAGAGGATCATGCAACATTTGTATTTTTAAGCCCAATGGCATCTACCATAGAGCTTTGCCTGTAGTTGATACAATACTGAATGGGATGACTGAATAATCTGGACCTAAATTACTTGCTTTGTGTATGAAGTCTCACTTCTGTGTCATGCTGGAATTATTTTCCACTTAATTACATGCCATGGCACCAAGAATGCAAAGGCTTTTGTTCACACTGAGTGGGGCCCAGGCACTTGGGGGCTCTGGCCAGGCCTATGTAGACATAGGTGGCAAAGATAACTGAAGAGATTACTTAGATGAATAGCTCACCAATGCTAAATAATTTTATCGAGATTAACCATATATGACTGTGAAGTTGTAACACAAATTTGGGACCAGGATTTCATCATGAAGCTAATTCAATTTGAGACATTCATTGAACAGCTTATAAATACAAAAGTACACGAGGCTGCCTCTGTCCCAAAAGAGTTTACAATCAAATATAACATTAGAGCTTAAAAGACCCTTAAATAATAAGAATCTAATCACCTCATTTTACAGGAGAGAAGAGTCAAGCCCAGAAAAGGGAAATTACTGATCAATGGCCACACAGCTTCCCAGGGGCAGACACAGTATTAGAGCCCAAGTCTCTGCCATTGTACCATAATTCTTCTCCCCAGTTAAAAAAATAAATAAATAAATAAATAAATAAATAAATAAATGTATGTATGTAACTGTGGCTACAATTTTAGATAGAGAAAATAAAATGTATTCAGGCCATCCATGGGAATTATTTTGTAGCAGAGGTCCACAAAAGATCATGTATCTTAAATCAGTGGTGAAATCCATTGTTTATTGATAGGTTTTATTCCACTATGAAAAATAGGCTATGACTACACTAGGTGCTATATCAGAGGTCTGTCTGAGTTAAGCCTCGAGAAACAGTTTAAATTTACACAGGGTGAGATGAGACAGAAAAAAAGGGGGAAAGTTAAATGAAATAATGTGCAGGACAGTGTTCATAACCTTTAAACAAAACTAATGTAAGGTGTTGACTATTCAACGGGATGGAGGAGTACAGGAAGGAGGGATGGGACACTGAGGCCCTTCTATTCCAGGGATGGCAAGTAAAATGGACCGACCTAAAGGTCTGATTTCTAGGAGATGAGAGAGGAAACCTGAGGTCAGAAACCTAATGGGCTTCGAGTGTCATGACAAGGAGTCTGTACTAAAGAAATTCCAAGTGGTGCAGTCTCCATAAAGCAGAAACCTGGGCACTTAGAGGAATCGGAATCAGAGTAAAGCAGATAGCTCTGTCACTAAGGCACAGCCTTGGAAGTGGAAGCAAGGAAGTCAGAAAAGCACAGTAACTGAAAATTCAGGGAACCCTGAAGCTGGGTTTTCAACTCCACACAACTCATCAATATAGATCAATGGTGGTGAGAGGAGTCACAGATATTTGGGAGGACAATGATGCCAACGGTGTCATCAGTGACATGGGAAGAGAACATCTGAGAGGAAATGGGAGTTTGAAATCAGACGTCCTGCATTTGAGGCAGCAGACAACATGGAGTTAAGGGTGGCTAGCGAGGTGTTCCTTGTTAGCATATCTGGTTCACCGGTTTCATACGGGAAAGCATGGGTTTTACAAATTTACAACAGCAAAAATATCAACAATGTCTGTGAAAAGCCCCTGGAGGATCTGGGTGCTGCCTTACACCTGAGTGGGAGGGAGGGTAGGCAGTGGCCACAACCAGAAGGGAGGGTGGCCGGGGCATGGCAGTGAGGGGTGAGTGGGAGGAGGCTGCTGAATGCTCCTGTTACCTCTGTCCCATCTCACCCTTGAGCAAAATGAGCCTGTTCTGTCACCACTGAAATCAGCTACCAGAGCTTTAAGATTCAATAAAGATGGCAGCATAAATAAATGGGATGAAGAAAATTGATGTTATGAAAACTAGCTTATTATATGGAGAAAAATAAAGCTTGTTATCTATTTTAACTCAGCAAAGATAGACACAGTATAGATTAAAAATTAAAATGATGAGGGTAAAACTGAGAATTCAACAGAAAAAAAAATAGAAGAATATCTTCATGACCTGGGGTAGAGAATGTTGGCTTAAACAAACGCCCAAAATGTTACACAAAAAATATATACATTTGATCACATTGAAATTAAAAATTCACTTCAACAGAGAACATGATAGAATTAACAGATAATAATAGACTAGAAAACAATATTTGAAGTGTCTAAAAACTGATATGGCTAGTATTTAGAATATACAAAGAATGCATATAAGGAAAAAGACAATAACCTCAATAAAAATGTGGGCAAAATATTTGAATGAGAAATTTTAAGAGGAGAAAAAACAAATGCCTTACAAATATATAAAAAGAAAATTATTTAGTAATTAGAAAAATGTTGAGGTAAAACAAAAATGAAATACCAGTTTGTATCTGGAAGAATGGCAAAATTTAGGAAATACTGAAGAAAGTGAAGAGTAGGACATCCATAGCATTGTAGTTGGAAATGCGCACTAGAGCTGATAGATAGGCAGATAGATAGATAGATAGATAGATAGATAATAGATATAGATAGATAGATAGCTAATAGATAGATATGATAGATAACATAGATAAATAGATGATTGATAGATTAAATAGATAGATAATAGGCAGATTAGCTAGATTGATTGATAAATAGAAAAAGAGAGACAGTCTTCTAGATTTATAGATGGATAGATAGATGATAAACAGATTAGATACATAGATACATAGATGATAGATTAGATAGATAGATAACTAGACAAAGGAATGGATGATAGATTAGATAGATTCATAGATAGAAAGAGATTTATAGATAGATAAATAGATATATAGATAATAGATTAGGTAGATAGACAGATTAGATAAATAGATGATAGATAGATAGATAGATAGATAGATAGATAGATAGATAGATAGATAAAATAGGCAGATTAGATAGATTCATAGATTCATAGAGAGAAAAAGAGATTTATAGATGGATAGATACATAGATGATAGATAGATAGATAGATAGATAGATAGATAGGATGGATACATAGATGATAGATGGATAGATAGATTCATAGAGAGACTTATAGATAGATGTATTTATAGATGAATAGATGATGGATAGATTCATAGATGAAAGATAGATAGATTAGACAGATAGATAGACAGATTATATAGATAGGTAGATAGAAAGATAGCTAGCTAGCTAGATAGATAGATAGACAAATAGATGGACAGATTAGATAGATAGATAGATAGATAGATAGATAGATAGATAGATAGATAGATAGATTCATAGATGAATAGATAGATTAGATAGATGATAGATAGATGATTGATAGATAGATGATAGATGGATAGATAGATAGATAGGTAGATAGATAGATAGATAGATAGATAGATGTAAGAGCCTAAAAAGCACACATTAAATGTGTTTGAATTATTCTTTACAGGGGGATGGCAGTGGAAAATGGGGATATCAAAGAATAACTCCATAAATAAAACAAGAAAAAGGTCTTAACTGCGTGGTCCAATGATGATAATGTCCCATGAATGAGATATTCAATATTCTATATCTAGGTTTCTAAATTCAAAAAAAATCCAGCCAGCAGTTGGAAATACGAATTGGTAACTCAGAGAACTGAGATAAAAAGGAGGGATTGGCAGATGCACACCTAGAAGTGACAGCCAAATCCACAGGTAGGTAGTGGATATGTTGCCAAAGAACAGAGCCAAGAAAGGAAATCAAGAAGAACTGAGGACACATAACAGATAGTAAAAACCACAGGAAAAAAATAAGCAGAAACTTTTCAAATTCATTTATAAGGCTACAACCATGCTGTGACAAAATCTAACTGGAAAATATTTAGACCAATTTTACTAATGTGTATATTGTAAAATAATAGTAAAATAGAATTTAGTAGCATATTAAAAATTGTACCATATCCAAGTAGAGTTCATGTCATGGACACTAGAAGCTTTCAACTATCAAAGATTTATCAATGATAAGTTGTTACATTAAAATATAAAGGGAAATTACTTTCTTGGCATTCAACAACATTATTACTGTTATATACTTAACAGTTGTTAAAATTAACAACTATATGTAACGAAAAAGAAAGTAAAAAGAAAAATAGGAAAAAAGGAAATTTCCTAAAGCACATAAATCTTCATAGCAAAAACCAACAGCAAATATTATATGAAATTTTGAAGCACAGAAAGCAATTCCTTAAGCATGGGAATAAAAAAAGAATATCCAGTACTATTTTAGAGTTTTAAATAAACACTGTGAGAAGAAAAAGAGAAACATCTATTGTCATCGAAAAACAACATAGTTATCTTTTTAAAAATACAAACACTTCATTTAAAAATGAAAACTTGCTAAGGATTCAATAAAGTGACTGGATATAAAAGAAATATACAAAAAGCAATAGCTTTGTTTTACACCAGCATTAAGCAGTTATAAAGTACAGTTATAAGGGAAACCCTTTCAAAACATCAAAATGTGTGACATACCTAGGAATTAATGTAATAAGAAATGCACAAAACCTATATAAATAAAACTACAAAAATTATGGAGGAATTTTTTTAATGTCCTGAATGAACAGGGAAGTCACCCATGATGAACTAACTCTTGCTGCTGTAATCAAAAGCTACCCTTTTCACTGGTGATCTAGATTCCAATTCTTCTCATCTTATTGGAGACTTTGCTCAGTAAACAATTTTCCTTTCTGCATCATCAAGTTTCTTTCTGTACCAGATCAGTCCTCTCATATAAATACCCATAACATTACAAGCAAACTGAAATAAGACCTGCATTACCACATCAGAGCTTGCAGCAAAACATCTCCAAAGAGTTCCTTAGAGTTGGTACATTCCATCTGCATTATTCTGGGTTCCATATATGCAAATCCACCTACTTGCTAAAAATTATTTATAACAACAAATCAATACTTACAGAGCATTTCTGGTCATTTGTGGATGTGTGCAAAGCAGTAAACACATTTGAGTTGCCTGGCATGCACATTCCCAGCTGAGGTTAATCAAGGTGGTGCTCTGCTTTCTTGTCCAACGTTTCACAGTCTACTTAGTGCCATGTTTTTTCTGTTTTTTTTTCTTTTACTTTTTGTTGGTGATTTCACTGTTTAAAATGGCCCACAGGCATAGGGCTAAATTGCTGTATAGTATTCATAAGTGCAAGAAGGCTATAATGTGCCTTACAGAGAAAATATGTGTGTTAGAGGATCTTTGTTTAAGCATGAGTTATAGTGCTGTTGGGTTCAATGTACATGAATCAATAATATATATGAATTAAGTCTTTGTGCAAAAACACACATAACCCAATAAAGAACCAGAAGCTTGCAGGAACCTAACCCTGTATTTTCTCTAGGAGCAATGGTTTCATATTCACTAAGAGAATGTTTGTGGTGATTTTATAGAACATTACCACAAATGACAAAAATTGACTGTATTTCTGTTTCCTCTGTTTCATTCTTTCCTCAACTCCAGTCAAGTTTCCAAACTCAACATGTCTTTGTAATGACTCTGGTGAAGGTCACCAATTACTTTTGCATTGCCAGTTCCAAAGGGCTGAAGAATCTGTCTTCTTCCCTCATCAAATTTGACTACCAACAACTTCCTACACAGTAGCCACCTCTTTTTAAACACTTCTTTTTTTTTCTCTTCCTCAGAATTACACTATCAGGTTTTTCTTCCTATTCCAATGCTTGCTCCTTCACAGCCTCCTCTGCTGAGTCTTCCTTTCCTCGACATCTATGTGGGATTTCCTCAGAGCTCTCTTAGCAGCCTCTTCTCTGAGAATCTTATCCAAACCGATGGCTTTAACAGATAACAAGATACTAATGATTCTCAAATATCTACACTAGCACACACTACTTTGAACTCAGGACTTGTAATTCCACTTGCCTCTTGCCGTCTCTACTCGGAGGGTACTTTAGGGTACACACAGAGTATGCGGCCATTCCTTATTCTTTGCAGTCTTGTTCCCTCTGGCTTGCTCTCTCTCTCTCTCTATCTCTCGCTCTCTCCCCCCCTTCTCTCTTCTCTCTCTCTCTTTCCCTCTCTATCTCTCCTTTCCCTCTCTATCTGTCTCCCTCTTCCCCTCCACCCCCTACATAACCAATGCATCAAAAACTCTCTGGCTCTATTTCCAAAACATATGCCAAATCCATTAGCATCCCTCAACTCCTCTGATACTGCCATATTCCAGAGCCCCCATCATTGTTCATTCTGATTACATCAACAGTTTTCTAAATAACTTCCTACCTCCTCTCTTTCCTCTCTCAACACACACATAATCTATTCTTGTAAGGTACTAGAATAAGCTGGTAAATTGCAAATCAAATCATTCTCTTATACTCAAAACCCTCCAAAGGCTTCTTACTGTATTCAGAATAATATCCAAATCTTTTATCATGACCCCTGAGACTTTACATGATCTAATCCTTGTCTGTCTCTGACCAGGGAGAAAATACTTCATCTTGCAGCGTGCTCCCCACTGGTCTTTTGTGATCTTTTGAAATAGACAGTGTAGTTCCCACCTTAGGGCTTGTGTCCTGGCTGTTCCCTCTGTCTAAAATGCTCTTCTCTCAAATTTGTCCTTAGCTGACTCCTTGTGATCAGGTCTCAGCTAAAACATAACTGTCTCTGAGAAGATTTCCTGAATATACCATCCAAACAGACTTCCTCTCAATTATGTTCTATTTGATCAACCTGGTGTTTTTCTCTTCATAGGGCACACATTATCTGAAATGGTCCCTTTGTTTTCTTTTATTCATCTGCTTATCATGAGTCCTCCCCACACCACTCTGCACAATGTTTAAGTCTAATAACAGCAGGAACTTTGGCAATCTTGTCTATCTCAGAGGCAAGGATAGTTTCTAGCAATAGATCCTAAATAGATATTTATTGATTGAATGTGTGATCTGATTGGGAAATCTCAATATTGCAGAGATACTCTGTGTTTGTGTGTGTGTGTGTGTGTGTGTGTGTGCGTGTGTGTAAATTTAAAGTAATCCCAATCAGAATCTCAGTGATGTTGGTGCTTAACTTATCAATAAGAAGTCATTCTGTAGCAAACTGAATCCAACAGCACATCAAAAAGATAATGCACCATCATCAGGTGGGATTCATCCCAGGGATGCAAGGATGGTTAAACATATACAAATCAATAAATGTGATATATCGCATAAACAAAAAAGGATAAAAATCATATTATCATTTCAATAGATGCAGAAAAGGGTAAAATTCAGCATCCATTCATGATAAACATCCTCAACAAAGTAGACATAGAAGGAACACACCTCAACATAATAAAGGACATATACAACAAACTCACAGCCAACATCTTACTTAACAGAAAAGTTGAAAGCATTCCCTCTAAGAAATGGAACAAGACAAAGATACCCACTTTTATCATTTCTATTCTCCATAGTACTGGAAGTCCTTGCCAGAACAATCAGGCAAGAGAAAAAAATAAAAGGCATCCAAATTGGAAAAGAAGAAGTCACATTATCCTTGTTCAATGATGATATGATCTTATATCTAGAAAACTCTAGATACCACCAAAAATCTCTTATATTAGATAAACAAATTTCATAAAGTTTCAGGATACAAAATTAACAGAATCAGTAGTTTCTATACACCAATGATGATCTAACCAAGGGCTAAATCAAGAATGCAACCCCATTTACAACAGCTAAAGAAAATAAAATATCTAGGAATATATGTAACCAAGAAGGTGAAAGATACCTACAAAATTATGATGGAATAAATCATAGATGACACTAATAAATGGAAAAAATTCCATGCTTATAGATTGGAAGAATCATTACTGACCAAAGCAATCTACAGATTCAATGCAATCTTTATCAAATTACCAATGTCATTTTTCGCAGAATTATAAAAAACAATGCTAAATCTTATATGGGACAAAATAAAAACCAGAATAGCCACAGCAATCCCAAGCAAAAGAACAAAGCTGGAAGCATCACACTACATGACTTCAAATTATACTTCAAGGCTATGGTAACCAAAGCTGCATTGTACTGACATAAAAATACACACATAGATCAATGGGACAGAAGAGAGAACCCACCCCCCACCCCCAAAAGCCATGTACCTGCAACCAGCTGGTTTTTGACAGGATCAACAAAAATGTGCACTGGGGAAAGGACACCCTCTTCACTAAATGGTGTTGGGAAAATTGGATACCCATATGCAGAAGAATGAAACTGGACCCCTATCTCTCACCACATGCAAAAACTCAAGATGGATTAAAGACCTAAAGGTAAGACCTGGAACTATAAAAATCCTAGAAGAAAGCCTAAGAAAAACTTTTCTGGACATTGGCCTAGGCAAAGAATTTATGACCAAGTTCCCAAAAGCAACTTCAGCAAAGCCAAAAATAGATAAATGGGACTTAATTAAACTAAAAGCTTCTGCACAGCAAAAGAAACAATCAACAAAGTCAACAGACCACCTAAAGAACGGTTTAAAAAAAAAAACTGTAAACTATGCATCTGACAAAGGGCTAAATCCAGAATCTACAAGGAACTCAAACAACTCAACAAATAAAAAAACAAATAACCCCATTTAAAAGTGGACAAAGGACATAAACAGACATTTTTCAAAGGAAGACGTATAAATGGCCAGCAAACATATTAAAAGTGCTGAACATCACTAATCAGAGAAATGTACATTAAAACACAATAAGATGCTATCTTACACCAGTCAGAATGACTATTATTAAAAAGTCAAAAAACAACAGGTGTTAGTGAGGATGCAGAGACTAAAAAATGCTTATACACTGTTGGCGGAATGTAAATTAATACAAAATAGAACTACCATTCAATCCATCAACCCCACTACTGGCTATCTACCCAAAGGGAAATAAATCATTATTTCAAAAAGATACCCACACTCATATGTTTATTACAGCACTATTTACAATAGCAAAGTTATGGAATCAAGCTAAGTGTCCATCAACAGAGAAATGAGGAAAATGTGTGTGTGTGTGTATATACATATATATATATATATATTTTTTTATACATGCACACACATATACATATACACACACATACATATTTATACATACATATACATCCTACATGCACACATGCACACACCATGGAATACTACTCAGTCATAAAAAAATGAAATGTCTTTTGCAGCAACATGCATGGAACTGGAGACCATTATCGTAAATAAAAGTGAAGATTTAGGTACCTCATACCAAATACATGAGGAGCTTAAAATCAGCTATGGCTAAGGATATATACCCTAAAATCAGCAAATGCTACATATCAGGGTTTGTTTTACTCCTTCAGAGAGCTTGTTGTTTCCTGCACACCACTGTGCCCAGGACGCATGCAAGAGAAAAGTTCTGAGGGTGAGAATAAAAACAAAGTGGCATAAGGTTGTAATTCTCAACAGGAACCCACCTTTCTGAGATTTCCATCCCGACCTACATATTAAAGATGAAAAATCTCCAAATGACCTGCTTTTTTTGTAGTTCAATATTTCACTGTGAGTTCTTTGTATTTTACATGCAGATATACTTGAACATTGTATATTCCTAATTTTTCATCTTTTGAATCTCATATTCTGTAAGACATAAATTGATACAGCCATCAGTGAAGCATGTGGAGGCCCAGGATGGCAGGCAAGGTCAGTGAAGTAAAACGAGGGTCAGGAGTGAGCTACTAAAGCCAATGAAAGTGAGAATCCCAAGAAAAGGCAAATATGCTTCCAAATAAGCCACCTCCTCTCAACATGGAAGCCCGGGTCAGCCCAGGAGATATAAGTGAGACCATGCCACTCCTCTGTGGACAATGGTCTTCCAATGACTTTCCAACTCAACAAGAATAAAAGCTCCCATGGCAGTCTCTCCTCCTTTCTTGCTTTTTTTGATGATTGAGGCCTCCTTCCAATATACCAGCCATAATCCTACATCAGCAGAGAGGCTACATCCCAAATGGCTGTCCTCATGGCTTGCTATCTCATCCCCTTTACATCTTTAAAATGTCATCTTCCTTCACCCTAGGCCCCCGTCAACGTTATGCTGTTCCATAACTCTTATCCCCTTATACCATAGAGTTTATTCTTTAACTGCCAATCTCTTCTCACTAGAATGGAAGCTGCATGAAGGCAGAATTGCTAAGTGTCTTGCTTGCTGCTATATCCCCTGTACCTAGAACACTGCCTGACAGAGAGTGAGTAGGTGTTTATTAAACATTTATCGAATGAATGAGTGAGTGAATGAGAAGTCAGCAGTGTGAAATTCTATGGGAAAGTTGATCAAAGGTCAATGAACTGGGTAAGGTCTGTGCAGTGTCGGATGATGCCCAGGTCGACAACCTCAGGCAGGAAGAGAAGTGAGGAGGCAATCAATGGGTGTGCAGAAGTCAGCCCAGACACTCCCTTGCTGGGCTTGCCAGGGCTCACGTCCCACCTATGTTGAGGCCTCCTAGTCACTTTACACCTTCCCCTCAGCATCACACAGCCTTGAAAAATGTCTCTTTCCACTCATTTTTGGAAGGCACCACGACACACTAGGTGAGGGGAGAAAAACAGTTCATTTGATCGATTTCACTGTAACGGTCCTCTTGAGAGGAGAAGAGGCTGGGCTGGGAACATTCTTATTGTGTGGTTATAGTTTGGCTCCTGCTCATAAACAATATTTCCCCCACCCTCTCTGCAGATCCTTGTCTAAGGAATTCCTGCTTTCTATTTCCACTAAGGACATCAGGGAGCACTGGGAAAGGGGAAACATGGGTAAAAAGTACCCATAAGCTATGCGAGGAATCCCAGAAAATCGCCCAGAGGCAGAATGTGACTGAGGCAGGCTGCAGCAGCATGATGAGGTTTGAAATCTTCTCGTTGATCCCTTTCTATAGACCAGAACCCCTTTTCTGGCCACAGGTCCTTGGAGAGAGAGTCGCTTCCAGCACATCAAGAAAGGGAAGCACTGAGCATTTACCATTCAGTTAGCAGAGCCGAAATGCCAGGGGGAACATGAGGTCAGGAAAAGTGAAAGAAGGATCAGGAACTCCAATCAGGCAAGACCCAGAAATAGCAGAACTCTTGTATTCTCACTCACGAGGCCTTTCTATCCTGGGCTCCCACAGCAAGTGTCACACCTTGATTAAAACTTAGAATAGCCTGGGGTAGGCAGGAGAGGAGATGAGGAAAGCACGCTCAAATCAGTGCCTAGAATCATACATGGGGTCTCATCCACAGAAGGAACACATGGGAAGCTCTCATCATGACTGCATATGCTGGCTTTTTCAGCAGGCAAACCTCGCCAGTGCTCTGTCCTGCTCTAAGGAAAAACGTAGCCTGGCCAAAGGTGTAGACTGAGTGGACAGGAAGGGAAGAGGGGGAGTGGGGACCATGGAGAGCTACAGCAGAGCTAGGAATCAACCTGCCTCCCCACCGCACTGGGTCCTGCTTCTCTGGGAGAGGATCCATTTCACAAACATGTGTTTCCTACTGAATGCTGGCCTCATATGGATGCTTTTGGCCTTTTTTTCTTTTAGTACTTAATCCCCTAGGAGACGAAACTCTCATTCCAAATCAGCTTTTCACCCACACTTTTTCTACCCTTGATAACAGCCTTATATAAAAGCAAAGGGAGGAACAACCCAAACGTCATGAAGATTTGAGGCTAAAATCATGGGTAAAAAGGCTGCTCAGAAGTTGCTGGGGTTTTTTTAATAACAAAGTAAGACATGGCCATATGAATGGAGAGATAAGTCATTAGAGACTAAAACACGTCCCAGGGTTGCAGAAGAATTAAGTTGGAGACAATGATGCCCAACGATCAAAGGGGAAAATAAAAAGTAATCCTGATGTTAATATCAGGGAGACAGATAAGAGCTAAGCAGGCAATTACTGCCAAAAAAAAAAAAAAGTTTAAATTCAGTGCCCAGTAAAATTTCTGAATAAATATTAACGGGAAATTTATAAGCACTTAGTGGCTAATGGAAACTTGAGGGAATGTCCTAACTGCGAGGTCTATTACATGGCAGAATAGTCTATTAGATGCAGAAGCAGTCTCCTTGGGGATACAGCAGCACCATCCCTGTGGGAGTCATTTAAAACAGGATAGAAAGGCACACTGGAGAATATGCCATAAGAAGCATCAGGCACCACCACGAGGCAAGGAGAAGGGTTCAGTTAGGCTCTGCTCCCTTTGGGAAGGACCACCTGTCAGTCCTTCGGAGCCCAGTATCTGCATCTCAAACTGAGGGCTCCTCTCCCCTCAAAACTCTCCAATGCACCACCTGGGACCAGTGATGACAAGCGCAGGATTGAGGAGCTCATGACCTTGCCCCCCAGAAGGCCACCCCCATCCTGGCTGGGAGCCTCTGGCCTGTACCCTTCTGAGAGAAGATGGTAAGAGCACAGGAAGCCAGCCTGCTTAAGCCTGGAGCCTTGCACGCCGGGCAGGCCTCAGGGGCCACCCAGCACCCTTTGGGGAGATCCATGAAGGGCTCTTGCTGCCATTATTACACAAATGACATACAACTGTAGACATAAGTAGAAAGTGAGGATAAATACACAAGGCACCAAAATAAAGTCACCTCGAATCTCGTTCAGTCACATGGGTGCATAGCCTTCCCCCATGTGTACATGCATACTTTTTTTTACAGAAATGAGTTTAAACATAGCATTTTATAACCCATGAATATATTTCAAACCAATAAGACACTTCTACAACATCTTTTCTTAATAACCATTATTCCACTGCATAAAGGCAGTATAACCTATTTCTCTATTGTTATACATCTCTTTGTCTCCATTTAAAAAAAAAATAAGCATGCATTTAGTGGACATCATTGCAGTCATCTTAATTACTACATAAGATAAAATCATAAAAATAAAATTGTTGTGTCAAAGAGTATGCATAATATTTTAAGAGTTTTTTAATGTTTTAGACATGAAGTCCCTGCCCATGCCTATGTCCTGAATGGTAATGCCTAGGTTTTCTTCTAGGGTTTTTATGGTTTTAGGTCTAACGTTTAAGTCTTTAAAATTGACATATGGGATCTAATTAAACTAAAGAGCTTCTGCACAGCGAAAGAAACTACCATCAGAGTGAACAGGCAACCCACAAAATGGGAGAAAATTTTCACATCCTACTCATCTGACAAAGGGCCAATATCCAGAATCAACAATGAACTCAAACAAATTTACAAAAAAAAAAAACACACAACCCCATCAAAAAGTGGGCAAAGGACATGAACAGACACTTCTCATTCTCAAAAGAAGACATTTATGCAGCCAAAAAAACACATAAAAAAATGCTCACCATCACTGGCCATCAGAGAAATGCAAATCAAAACCACAATGAGATACCATCTCACACCACTTAGAATGGCGATCATTAAAAAGTCAGGAAACAACAGGTGCTGGACAGGATGTGGAGAAATAGGAACACTTTTACACTGTTGGTGGGACTGTAAACTAGTTCAACCATTGTGGAAGTCAGTGTGGCGATTCCTCAGGGATCTAGAACTAGAAATACCATTTGACCCAGCCATCCCATTACTGGGTATATACCCAAAGGACTATAAATCATGCTGCTATAAAGACACAAGCACACGTATGTTTATTGCGGCACTATTCACAATAGCAAAGACTTGGAACCAAGCCAAATGTCCAACAATGATAGACTGGATTAAGAAAATGTGGCACATATACACCATGGAATACTATGCAGCCATAAAAAATGATGAGTTCATGTCCTTTGTAGGGACATGGATGAAGCTGGAAACCATCATTCTCAGTAAACTATAGCAAGAACAAAAAGCCAAACACTGCATGTTCTCACTCATAGGTGGGAATTGAACAATGAGAACACATGGACACAGGAAGGGGAACATCACACTCTGGGGACTGTTGTGGGGCGGGGGGACGGGGGAGGGATAGCATTGGGAGATATACCTAATGCTAAATGACGAGTTAATGGGTGCAGCACACCAACATGGCACATGTATACATATGTAACTAACCTGCACATTGTGCACATGTACCCTAAAACTTAAAGTATAATAATAATAAAATAATAAAATAAAATAAAATAAAAGTTTTTTCAATTTTATTTTTCCATAAGTTATTGGGGTACAGGTGGTATTTGGTTACATGAGTAACTTCTTTAGTGGTGATTTGTGAGAGTTTGGTGCATCACCCAAGCAGTATATGCTGTACCATATTTGTAGTCTTTTATCCCTTGCCCCCTGCCACTCTTTCCCCCAAGTCACCGAAGTTCATTGTATCATTCTTATGCCTTTGCATCCTCATAGCTTAGCTCCTTTATATCTGTGAGAACATACAATGTTTGGTTTTCCATTCCTGAGTTACTTCACTTAGAATAATAGTCTCCAGTCTCATTCAGGTCACTGCAAATGCCATTAATTCATTCCTTTTTATGGCTGAGTAGTATTCCATTGTATATATACCACAGTTTCTTTATCCACTCATTGATTGATTGGTATTTGGGTTGGTTCCACGATTTTGCAATTGTGAATTGCACTGCTATAAACATGCGTATGCAAGTATATTATTCGAATAATGACTTCTTTTCCTCTGGGTAGATACCCAGTAGTGGGATTGCTGGATCTAATGGTAGTTCTACTTTTAGTTCTTTAAGGAATCTCCACACTGTTTTCCATAGTGGCTGTTTTAGTTTACTTTCCCACCAGCAGTGGAGAAGCGTTCCCTGATCACCGCATCCACACCAGCATCTACCGTTTTTTGATTTTTTTATTATGGCCATTCTTGCAAAAGTAAGGTGGTATCGCATTGTGGTTCTGATTTGCATTTCTTTGACCATTAGTGATATTGAGCATTTTTTCATATGTCTGTTGGCCATTTGTATATCTTCTTTTGAGAATTGTCTATTCGTATCCTTAACCCACCTTTTGATGGGATTTTTTTTTTCTTACTGATTTGTTTGACTTTGTTGTAGATTCTGGATATTAGTCCTTTGTAAGATGTATAGATTGTGAAGATTTTCTCCCCCTCTGTGGGTTGTCTGTTAACTCTGCTGACTGTTCCTTTTGCCCTGCAAAAGCGCTTTTGTTTAATTAGGTCCCAGCTATTTATCATTGTTTTTATTGCATTTGCTTTTGGGTTCTTGGTCATGAAAACCTTGCCTAAGCCAATGTCTGGAAGGGTTTTACCAACGTTATCTTCTAGAATTTTTATAGTTTCACATCTTAGGCTTAAGTCCTTAATCCACCTTGAGTTGACTTTTGTATAATGTGAGAGATGAGGATCTAGTTTCATTCTCCTACATGTGGCTAGCCAATTATCCCAGCATCATTTGTGGAAAAGGGTGTCTTTTCCCACTTTATGTTTTTGTTTGCTTTGTCAAAGATTAGTTGGCTATAAGTATTTGGGTTTAATTCTGGGTTCCCTATTCTGTTCCATTGGTCTATGTGCCTATTTTTATACCAGTACCACACTGTTTTGCTGACTATGGCCTAATAGTACAGTTTGAAATCAGGTAGTGTGACGCCTCCAGATTTGTCCTTCTTGCTTAATCTTGCTTTGGCTATGCAGGTTATTTTTTGGTTCCATATGAATTTTAGAATTGTTTTCTCTAACTCTGTGAAGAAGGATGGTGGTATTTTGATGGGGATGTGTTGCATTTGTAGATTGCTTTTGACAGTATGGTCATTTTCACAATGTTGGTTCTACCCATCCATGAGCGTGGGATGTGTTTCCATTTGTTTGTGTCATCTATGATTTCTTTCAGCATTGTTTTGTAGTTTTCCTTGTAGAAGTCTTTTGATTCTTTTGTTAGGTATATTCCTAAGTATTTTATAGCTTTTGCAGCTATTGTAAGAAGGGGTTGAGTTCTTAATTTGATTCTCCACTTGGTCACTGTTGGTATATAGAAGAGCTACTGATTTGTGTACATTAAACTTGTATCCAGAAACTTTGCTGAATTCTTTTATCAGTTCTAGGAGCTTTCTGGAGGAGTCCTTAGGGTTTTCAAGGTAAACGATTATATTGTCAGCAAACAGGGACAGTTTGACTTCCTCTTTACCAATTTGGATGGCCTTTATTTCTTTCCCTTGTCTGATTTCTCTTGCTAGGACTTCCAGTACTATATTGAAGAGGAGTGGTGAGCGTGGGCATCCCTGTCTTGTTCCCGTTCTCAGAGGTAATGCTTTCAACTTTTCCCCATTCAGTATTATGTTGGCTGTGCGTCTGTCATAGATGGCTTTTATTACATTAAAGTGTGTCCCTTGTATGCCGATTTTGCTGAGAGTTTTAATCATAAAGGGATGCTGGATTTTGTCTAATGCTTTTTCACCAATTATTCTTATGTTTGGTCGTTTAACATAATCCCAAACTTCTTGGAGTCTTTGTTCATATTTTCTTATTCTTTTTTCTTTGTCATTGTTGGATTGGGTTAATTTGAAGGCCTTTTCTTCAAGCTCTGAATTTCTTTCTTCTACTTGTTCAATTCTATTGTTGAGAGTTTCCAGAGCATTTTGCATTTCTAAAAGTGTGTCCAAAGTTTCCTGAATTTTTGATAGTTTTTTCTTTAAGCTATCTATTTCCTTGAATATTTCTCCCTTCACTTCTTGCTTCATTTTTTGGATTGCCTTTCATTGAGCGTTTCCTTTCTCTGGTCCCCCCCGATTCACTTAATAACTAATCTCCTGACTTCTAATATTTTAGGAGCTTTGATTCTTGTTACTACGATGCTTTCTGGACAGGTGGAAGCTCCCACCAGCACAGTGTGAAAGTGAGATTTTGGTCACGTCGCTCTTGTTAACAGCATTTCTCCTTTGGGCCCTCATGCCTCTGGCTTTGAGTATGCGTACAGAGCACACAGCCAGCTCAGTCCAGCTAGTGTCAAGCAGGAAAGGAAAAGGAAGGCCCCTTTAAATAGGCAGTTTGTGCTATTTCCCCAAAGAGAAGGAACTCAGCAAAAGGCTGCAAACTGTCTTAGAAGGAAGAGGCTATCTGCTTGAAACAGCCAAGACCTTTAGCTCAAATCCATTAATCCTCTTTATTAAACCTGGGTCACCTCTGAGTCCCGGCAAATTAACCAGCATCTCCCCACTGCAAGTGAATCGAGAGACAGTGCACTGCACACTGCCTGTCAGTTTCACGGACCAGGGCACCAGGGTCAGAAGGCTTCCCAGGCTCCATCCTCTGCTTTTGTCAATTTAAAAGGGAACATCAGCTGCACTTGTATAAATTACAGGCCAGGCTGTGTGAGGGCCGGGGGCCAAGGCAGCATCTCTGCACCACCGGAGAGGAGAGGAGAGGGTGCCGGGCAAGCGGCGGTTGCTCCAAGGCTTCCCTTCATTCCAACACCTCTGAGTGTGTACAGGAGCTCTGAAGGGGTCCAGTTCAGAGTCCAGAGTGAGCCCAGGTCTCTCCCAGGAGCACCTCTCCTGGCTTCCCTGCGTTTTCTGCTTTACTCCCTTCCAAAGCTGGCAAGGAAGGCCTGAAATTCTACCTTTGCTGGGTCAAGACATGAAGTAGAGACAATGCCAGAGCCAAATGTGGAAGGGCCAGAGACAGAGGGAGACAGAAGAGGAGACAGAGAGACTGAGGCAGTGAAAGGACACAGACGAGACCCAGAAGAGTCAGAGAAAAGAGAGTCAGAACTAGAGCAATCCCAGGAAACCGGGCACAATATCGCGCAGGGCCCCTTCTCTCCAGCCTTCCTCGCACCATCTGGGCCTCCCAGGGCCTAAGACAACTGTACTTGAAAATATAGTGGGTCCTTCTCCCCACCCATCTGGCTAAAGCTTAACAGTTACTCAAAGAACAAGTGCGGTCTCAGCTGCAAGACAAATGTAGGCACATAGATGCAGGCCTTATTGGAACCAAAGTCCAGTAGCGTCGCACATCTGATTTTATGCTCCACTTAATAGGAAGGATATGAAAACCAGGGAGGTCCCAAAGGAGAACTGCAAAAAGGATTTAAGCATGAGAAATGAATCTTATAAAACAAGGCAGGCCAGAGGAGTGATCTGTGGTCACTTTAGATGTAAGAATAACAGCTACCATGGATGGAGTTATGGAACCCAACAGGCTCTAAGATGGAATGATGGCTTTATGTTTACAAGAACCCTGTGTGATATGTGGTAAGATTGTTACCACTGTACAGATGACTACAATGAGGCACATGAGGTTCTCCTACATGTTCAAGTCCACAAATCCCAAGCCTGGAAGCTACAGGGCCAGCGTTGGATCTTGACCTGGAACCACCATGGTATTTATGCCACTGCAGTCACTGAAGGACGGTGACACAATGCTCCCTGTCCACTGAGGACAAGCTGAAAAGCCGTCCAGCTCCCTCCAGAAGTCAACGTTTTTGCTGACCTGGCAGCAAACCAGCCCATATGGAAAGTGGAGAGTGAGGGAAAAAGTCTTGGGAACCAGGGATTTCGGGCGAGGGGCAGGCAGGGTCAGAGGAACTAGTGGGCATGAAAGCAAGTTTCCTTACACAACATCTCCATCGCATTCCCAATAGGAAAGAAAAATGGTGCCTAGCTTTGTTTAATATTTTCTCCTGCTATCCAAATAGTGTTAACATCTGTTACATTTCCAATCGGGAAACAAATACATGCATCAGTGTATATGCTAATGATCCCTGGCCTCCCCTCCTGTGGGGGAGAAATGGAACCTTAACCCCTTTGCCACCGTGCTCACTCTTCTGACCTTTCCTTGGTCCCAAGGGAAGCCCATGCTTTGAGATTTTGAGGCTCTTTGTGGGCTGCACTCGTAGTTCATCTCTACCCTGGAGGCAGACTCTCTGATGGATTTGGGAGAGAATATCTCACAGCCTGGAAGAAGGGTCACCCACCTGCTGCCTGGGAGTAGAAGAGGTTTGTTGGGGTTTTTTTTAAAATAATAATAATTGGAAAACCTTCCAGGAGATCAAAAACAAATGACCAACACCACCAGCAGAAAAATAAATATATATATATATATACACATATATATATGTGTGTGTATATATATATACACACATATATATGTGTATGTATATATATATACATACACATATATATATATATATTTTTTTTTTTTTTTGAAAGGGAGTCTCACTCTGTTGCCCAGGCTGGAGTGCAATGGTGAGATCTCGGCTCACTGCAACCTCCGCCCCCCGGGTTCAAGCAATTCTCCTGCCTCAGCCTCCCAAGTAGCTGGGATTACAGGCATGTGCCACCACACCCAGCTAATTTTTGTATTTTTAGTAGAGACGGGGTTTCACCATCTTGGCCAGGCTGGTCTTGAACTCCTGACCTCATGATCCATCCACCTCAGCCTCCCAAAGTGCTGGGTTTACAGGCGTGAGCCACCGCACCTGGCTAACTTTTTTAAATCAAAGGATTAATTCAATTCCAAACATCAAAGGAGAAATAGCAAAAATCACTATTTCCTCTCATCTCAGCACTAGCACACAGCATCTGTGAGCAGGAACCAGGAGCCGGACCTACCTCACTGAGACCCAGGTCAGTGGGGCTGTGTCTGCCACCCTGGCGTGAACAGTGGATGGATTAACTCCTGTCACCAAGAGAATCCTGGCTTCTGTCAGCTTCTCTCCAGGCCATTATGCTATTAAAAACAGAGGGTGTTTTGCATATTTAAATACTCCAATGTCATTTCACTGACATAATGCCTTCTCCTGGCACTGCGTATATTTCTCGAGTCTCCAGTGTCATGCCCTGGGCTGAGAGTAAGGCCAAGAGGGAAGCCTCGCTCCCTTCCCACCACCTCCCCTGCAGGGCTCCCATTAAGGGACCAGGAGACAAGGCGAGGTGCCCACTAGCCAGCTCCCATGGCAGCTCCTGCACGGGGAGAATTACCCGGCTCGAGTCCTCCTCCTGCATCTAGCCAATTTCTGCTCCCTTAATTCAAGTCAGTTCTTCCTGACCCCAGCAGGCTGGAGTTCCCAGAGTTACTCTCAACGGATAGCACCAATTACTGAGGTGTGAAAATAGAAACCTTCGAATTTTGAGAACAAACTCAGAGACTAGGACTTAACTGAACTGAGAAAGAAGGCAGGAAAGTAGAGAGGGAGGAGTCTGAGTAGGGAGGAGAGATGACTCCTTGCAATTAGGAAGCTTGCAGAGGGGGAGTGCACAGTACAGGGCTCCTGGGGAGGGCAGATGGGGGCGTGGGGCAGGAGGCTTGGAGCTGAGACAGTCCTAGCAGAAAAGAAAAAACAAAAACCTGTGGCAGCTCCAGCACCACTAGCCATTCTGCTGGGACAGAGAATGCTGGGGAGCTCCAATCTCCCCCTGCTCCCACCACCCACACTGTGCAGTGTTGTCTCCTTGCCCGTAATAAGGGATCACCGCAAACAGAACATGGAGACACACAAGCGCCAGATTCACCCGTCCAGCTTCTATACGCTGTCCACAGGCAACGCAAACTGTGTGCTCCCTCCAGGGATGACGTTCCCCTTCATTGGAGACTTCCTAGGGACCCCCCCACGGTACAGTGCGGCTAGTGAAATCCAAACACACGTCATGACCTAATCACACTGGCAAAATTAATTAATTATAGCCCTGGTTTATGCTTTCATGGTCAAAACCAATTAATTACATGTCCCTTTTATATTGGTCTGCCATCCCTTCCAAAACTTAAATGAAGTAGGTACCCAACAAACATTTGAAATAATATTTTAAATCAGATAACTGACTTCCTGAAAGCTCTTTTGTTATATGAGAAAAAGAAGACATAGTCCCATGGGGTTAACTCTGGGATCATACATCAAATAAAGCTACACCTTCCCCCACCCCAATTGGCTTGATAAGGAACTACTTGGGGGAAGTCAGTCCATCCCCTCTGCCTGCAGGTTACTGTGAGGGGAGCTGGCTTCATGGGGGAGTGCAGGGGCTTCAAACGACCTGAGCCAGGTAGTGACCAAGACCCCCCACCCCGCCCAGGGTGCACTGGCCATCTTCGACGTGAGTCACATAACCTCCTCCACAGGGCACTCCAGGCCTCTGAGCAGCTCTCCCTCCTCACCAGTCCGGGCTCCTCACTTCTGCCCCTCCCTCCCCTCCGTCCTAATCCAGCAGCCTTTCTGCCCACCAACATGCCTCGAGGCTGTGCTCATTCCTGCCTTTCCCTCCTTCAAAGCATCTCCTCCACAGCCGCCCCTTCCACGACCGCTGCTGCCTCCTACCCATTCCCCCACCCAGCCATTCCTCTCACCCCCCTTTCCTTCCATGGTTCACCCTCCCACAGTCCTCCAATGCCCAAAGTGCATCTCTGACTGTGGAGGACAAGTCAGCCTTTGGCAGAAGCGTGGCAGAAAAGAAGCTGGCACAACTTTGCCCCGAGAGACCTGGTGCCCAGACTTGAGCCCTGTCTCAACAGCTGACTGAGGAGCACCACGTGAACTCTGGTATGCTCTCCTCAGGTGTGTGTTCTCTACAAAGTGAGAAATGACGCCATACAGCAGCGGCTTAGAGCCCACCCCCTCTCCTGCCCCCACCCTGCAAAAGGGACAGACAGAGGCAGGGTGGCAGGGTGGCTGGCCAGTGGCCGAGGCAGGGTGACGCAGTCCATGCTGTTCTCGTACACCCCAGCGTCCTCGTCCAAACCGGCTGACAAGCTCCCTGGGAAAGGAGGAGGGGCCGCTCCCTCGCCCCAACTGGAGCAGTGCTGAGGTCATGACCAGAGCTGGAGTGAGCTGGGTGGAGGGACGCTCTGAGTGGGATGTGGCATGAATCCACAGGCAGAGCCTCTAAACATATACCTGTACAGGAAAAAAGAAACCAAATATTTCTTCTCCCTTCCAAGGCTCAACTAAATGATCACGATTTTCAGGGAAGAAAGGAATCTGAGAATGTTGTAGCCAGATCCTTTGATTTTCAGTCCAAGTCCTCAGGTACCACAGTTCTGGGCCACTTGCTTCCTAGCCTGGGGACAGGTCCCACTATTCTGCTTCTCAGGAGATGTGTGCCGTTGCCTATGTTTAAATGTGTGGCCAGAATTCCTGAGATGGTAATGGCAACACTTGAGCCCCTCACCTATGACAGAAGAAGGCCTTCTGGATGGGACTGAGGAGGGCCAGCCATCCTGGTTTTCCTGGGACTGAGAGCTCTCAGGATACAGGGCTTTCAGTTTTAAAATCAGGACAGTTCCCAGCTAAGTTGTTCAGTACAAGATGCACAGCCTAGCCTGAACTAAACTTCCCTTCTCCTTATTAATATTGATGGGGCAGGAATGCCACAATTTGAAAGGACACAGGGGATTTGAGGGCTGGGAATGCAAAAAGGATCTATATTCTAAGCTCCGTGATGGTTTTCTCACGTCCTTTTTGCATAAAGAAAGTGAGTTTCAGAAAAATGTGCTGGCCTAGAAGTCACCTTTAAGTAGCAGAGTTAGGTTTGAAACTCAGATCTGTGGGATCCCTAAACTCATGTTGTTTCCCTGGCCCTATGAGCTCTGTGGAACCATCACTACCTTACAGCCCCCAAACCCAGCATCATAATACAAGGCAAAGGCTGCCTTTGAGAAGATTTAGAAACATGCAGGGTCAGCGGAGTTTAAACTCAGCTGGTCAACAACCCCTCCCTCACCCTCTGTGTTGTGGCCACAGCTCCTCCAAGCCCAGCTGTAAATCCTGCTAGTCTGTAAACAGCCAAACGCAGCTCCTCCATTGCTTAGCAGCTTTTGACACTAATTGCTCTACAGAGTGTGTGCAACTGGCAACACCTTATTAAAAGTGAAATATATGATACTGTCCACTTATTGCTGCTTTATAGAGATAAAGTATTCTTACTACATGGAAAAGCTGGCAACAAGTTTGATAAAGTGGTTTCTAAAGAGAAGCCTGCACGAGGCAATTCCTGGGACATGGGATCTATCCGGGTCAGGCTGGGAGCTTTCCCAGTTTGACCTAAAGATTTTACCACACCAAGAATCCCTCCCTTTCGCCACTCTGACTTCTATCTCAAAGATGAGCCTCTTCAAAGCCTGGGCACTGAAGAAAAGACAAACATGACTGCTCTCAGAGCTGGGAAAGCAGACCTGGCCCCATCTGCAGAGTCAATCCATCCTCTTCCTCCCGAGGACTAAGCAGGGTGCAGAGGAGATGGACAGCCAGAAGTGTGGGCAGGGAAGGCGGGAGGAGGAGGAAAGGCAAGACAAGGACAAGAGAGCTCCAGATTCAGACAAGCACGGGCCAAGACGGGCTTCCTGAGGAAGACTCTACTAGCCCCAGGTCCCACATTCTCAAAGGAAATCAAAATCAGCACTCTGCGGAGACTTGCTGTATCCTCCACCATCAGAGAACTCATCTGCCACCTAACCTCAGGGAAGTCACTATCTGGGGCTCTGTAATGCAAGGCAGACCTGTCCTGAAAAGAAACTAGATTAAGCTCCTCAATCCAAATCCCCTAAAACACTTTCACGGAGAACCCCCAAATCCAAGGTTGCCTGACATCTCATATGGTTTGCAAGCTAAGAAATACTTTTTGCATTTTTAAGAGTTTTGAAAAGAAGAAGAATTTGAGATAGAGACTGGATGAGGTTCACAAAGTCTAAAATAGTTTCTGTCTGACCCTTCACAAAATACATTTGCTGACCCTGTCTTCAAGGAAAGAATTAGAAAGCCAGAGAAAGAAGACTGCAGACAGGAGCAGAGGAAGCCCCTGGCATGATGGAAGGACAGAGATGGATACAGAAATGCCATCAGTAAAAGACTGCCCCGCTTCCATAACAGACTTTTGTGAGTGCTGAGATCTGATTAATTGTGCCAACCGCACCTACTGGACAGAGCCAGCCACGGGAGCCCCCAGCTTTGTTGCGGCGATGTTTTTCTGCTGATCTTCATCCATGCCAGCATTGAGAAGCCGTCAAATGGGACTGGGTGGCCCCAGGAGCTAGCAGATAACAAGGGAGATGAAATGACGAAGAGAGGAACCATTGTCCCTGCTAGGTTTTGTGTTTCTGAGATACCAAATTGCCTGATCGCTTTGACATTTTCAAGACCAAATTAAAATGCGCCACCATGGAGACAAAATGTCATTAGCCTCATTATAAGTGATTGTGTTAAAATAAATACAAAAATAAAGTGGGAATTAGTCCAAACCATTAAAATACAGAAGCAAAAATGGCCAACAGGGACTTTACATGTGACAGACTAAGAAAGGTTGAGACACCCCCTAAGGGGACAGGGAAGATGAATGTAGCAGGCACAGGGGCTGAGCAGCAGGCTTTCGGGCCATGCAGAGGTCAGCACTGAGGCGATCGCAGGCTCTCCGGGTGCCTCACACCACATGACCTTAGGGAAGGACCCTCGACCTCATCAAACCCCGGAATTCCCTCTCTAGGAAAATAGGAACGTAACACCATCTTTTTCAAGTATCTGTTAATAGTTTCAGTGCTTATTGGGAAGGGATTAAGACCTGGCCTTTTGAGATGGATACTGTCTTGGAGCTGGCACTGGAGAGAAGGGGGCCGGAGGCCTCCTGGGCAGGGACAAGGGGACCTCACAGGGCCAGCTCCTGGTTTTCTTCAAAAGGTGAGCCTGGCTACCAGGCAGACTCTCCATGGGGAGAAAGCCCAGGGGGAACACAGAACCCAGGCTGTTCTGACGGCTGAGTCTGGCTGAAGCTCAGCACCTGCTCGGGAACCTCCTACCACCAAATGCACCTGTCTTCCTCCTCCCTCAATCTGCTTCCTCTTCTCTGCTTCACTCCTCCTGACCCTTCACTGTTTCTCTCCCCCACACCATCTTCCACTGACACCTCAGACTTCATCCCAGAAACCTGGTCTCAGCCTCACATTTTCCATCTACTCAGTTTCTCTTTGTCACCCATAGACATTGGCCTCCAGTGCCCCTGTCTTATAATCGTTAACCATAAATAAGCAATGAGGTGAACTGATGCCTCCCAAAAGGAAGAGAACAAAGTTTTTCTCTTGCCTCCTTAGAAAGAGGACATGAATTATAACTATCACCGCTTCCTTCCTCTCTGCCTCCATGAAGGCCACATGAAGCCTTCCCTGCTAGGAGTAATGACTGAATATGCAAGTTCTGTTTCCACACTCCCGGCCGACCTTCCTCATCAGTCATAGGTTTCTTTTCCAAATGAGCTGAGGACTAGGACCTATTGGTTAGAAGTTCGCACCATTTTCTTCCCCTTGAGATTAAGGATTGTGGTTTTCACCATGCACAAAATAAGCCTCTCTAATAAGTATCAACCAACCCAGCTGGAAGCACAATGTTAGAATAATAATGTCTTACATTAGCAAGATATTTCTTCCTATTTTCTAAATGTCCCTCTCCATCAGTAGCACCTGGACCCACACATTCTGTAGTGTGACAAAGGTAGGTATTTTCATTCCTTCCCAACGTTTAAAATAATGGAGGCCCCTGGAAAGAAAGTGTCTTGTCCCAGGTCCCACAGTAAAGAGGAACTGAAAGCCACAGGCCTTAACCCTACATTCAGTCAAAATTCTTGAATTACTTTTTCTGCATTTTAAAGAGTAGAACAAAGAACTCCCCAGAGCCCTGAGAGGGTTACTTCCCTAGTGCCTGCAAATGGCTTGGCACATAAAAAGCACCTCCAAAATGCTCAGGGGTAATGAGCGCGGGGGCTCAGAGGGCTTTGCTGACATGAGCTCACTAATCCCCAAAAGCTTCCAGCACAATATGTGGCAGGAGATGGTCTCTCCATCTTTGCCTCTGCTCCTCTACCTGCTCTGGCGTTGTGATCCCTCAGGAAATCTGTGAATGGATTAGCAACACTATTTTATTATTATTTCAAATAAGCCTGAGACAAGGATCCTGGGAGAACAGTGTGGGAACACTGGCCGGCAGAAGAAACAATGAGGTGGCTCTAATCATCCCTGATAAAATCAGTGGAAGCAGTGGCTGCAGGAAACAGTGCATGGTATTGTCCTAGCCACATAAGCAGAAAAGTGTTACCCTGGTACCCCAGACAGAATGGTTACTGTTTAATCAGCATACGCCACTGCCCATGTGCTGTCCTGGGGCAGAAGGCAGGAGAACGCACTCGGTGCACGCCTTCAAAGCTGGCCCTGTGCAGGTTCGGGATGGCTGCCTGCCTCTGCACTAGACCACAGTTTTCCATTTGAATCTGTGGTTCCCACAGTGCCCCCACTCATCCACTTTCTTTCTTCCAAACCCAACAGGCATCTGACTGCTCTGATATATTTTTTATCCCTGCATGTGGGTCTTTCCCCCACTTCCCATTTTCATCCTGTGACTGCTGATTTTAAAGTGTGTCTATTTCTCCCTTGCTCCATAAATGAGGATCAAAACAGAGAAGACCGTTATCCACTGCCCGCTAGCCCAGCCTGAGGGCCTGAGGACCAAGAGACCCTGTGGACTGGGCTAAGTCTTCGTGAAGAGGGCCCCAGCAAAGCCTGATACTGGACTGAGAAGACACAGCTTCAAAGGGGAGAACTCCAGCTCAGCACCTCCCTCTGTGGAGCAGGAGGATGGGACACAGTGCTGAAATGGGTGCAGCCCCAGGCTCCAAGGCAGTGGGCTGGCTGCAATCAATCCCCATTTTCAAAGTGCTCATTCGAACTATGAAACATCAGCGCAGGCAGCACCTCAGGGGGTCATCTACTGCAGTCTTCTTTTGTAGAGAGGAAATTGGGGCTGAGAAAGTCCAGTGGCCACACAGCCAGTGATGCTTGCAAGAACAGAGTTGAGGGGAGCTGATTCCTAGGGCTCCTCTCACCAGGTCGTAAGCACTGACTCTGGGAACTAGAGATGATTCCTGTCCTCAAGTTAACTTTCTGATTATGGCGACAACAATGTAAAGACAGTTGTAGAAGTGGCCACTGAGAGAATAAATCCTTAAAATCTCAGGCTGGGCACAGTGGCTCACGCTTGTAATCCCAGCACTTTGGGAGGCCGAGGCGGGCGGACCACCTGAGGTCAGGAGTGCAATACCAGCCTGGCCAACATGGTGAAACCCCATATCTACTACAAAATTACAAAAGTTAGCCAGGCGTGGTGACGGGCCCCTGTAATCCCAGCTACTTGGGAGGCTGAGGCAGAAGAATCACTTTAACCCGGGAGGCAGAGGTTGCAGTGAGCTGAGATCACACCACTGCACTCCAGACTGGGTGACAGAGTGAAAGTATGTCTCAAAAAAAAAAAAAAAAATCTCAAATGACTCAGAGCCAATAATGCAAGCTGTAAGATCGTTTTCCCCAACACTAGATATTAGGATTACCAGGGAAGCTTTTCAAAAATATTAATATCTGATTTCCTACCCGGATCAACTACATCAGAATTCAGGGAAGCAGGGCCTGAGTGTCGTGGTTGTTTGTAAGCTTCCCCAGGTTGTCCTGATATGCAGCCCAGGTTGAGAGCCATTGCTCTGGGAGGTAGCAGAGAAAGAGTTTTTACTGTGTACAGTGGCCAGGAAAGGCTACTTGGAAGAAAATGTGCTTGGGCTGGGTTTGGGTACAAATCAGAGGAAGGTTATAGGCCTGGGTGCAGCCCAGGATTCTTCATTTCCATACTGCTGGTCTAGGAACCACATTTTGAGTGAAAAGACTAAGGACAAGAACCACTGGATGTCAATGTCTTCTTTCTCTGAGCCTTTATTTGCACTTTCTATGTAATGATCCAGGGTGGTTTCTGCCCTCAGTTTCCCAAATGGAGCAAGTTAGGCAGTTTTAGTGAGGGCCCCATGCCCTTGAAGAGGGACCTCTGCAAGCTCAGCAGCCATGGCCCTGGCTGACCTGCCTCCACACTGCAAGTCCAGCCCACAGGAATCATCTGGGCTGCCGCAGGCAATGCTCCCTCTGGCCTCATAAGGAACTGGCCCGAGCCTCCCAATCACTTGGAGGAGTGGGAAGAATGCAAGTAATTGTGAAAGGATCTGCCAAACGTCTTCTGCCCCGTGACTTTACACCACAGATCACATCTGCCTGTGTCAGCAGCCTTGTCCCTCCACGCCGGATGCAGCTGGGTGCGCACCAAACAGCAAGGAAAGCGCTGAAAACGACTCGAGTCAAGAATGAACACTTGCTGTGCCTCACCTCTTGCTCGGCTTGCCCCAGCACCTTCCAGACAAGAGGACGGGACAGAGCGACAGGGCCTGTGCTTCCCAACGTGCCACTCCTAACTTATGCTCAACCCTTTCTCTTTTTTTGATATATATAAGTTCGTTTTTTTTTTTAAATTTAAATTACTACCATTTATTGAGTGCCTATGTGTCAGGCACAGTGCTGAAGCACTGTATTAATCTCCACAGCAATCTTTTTAAATTTTATGTTCTGGGATACATGTGCAGGACGTGCAGGTTTGTTACATTGGTAAACGTGTATCATGGTGGTTTGCTGCACCTATCAATCCATCACCTAGGTATTAAGGCCCGGATGCATTAGCTATTTATCCTGATGCTCTCCCTCAACCCCCGTCCCACTGACAGGCCCCATTCTGTGATGTTCGCCTCCCTGTGTCCATATGTTCTCATTATTCAGCTTCCACTTGTAAGTGAGAACATGTGGTGTTTGGTTTTCTGTTCCAGTGTTAGTTTGCTGAGGATAATGGCTTCCAGCTTCTTCCATATTCCTGCAAAGGACATGATCTCATTCCACTTCGTGGCTACATAGTATTCCACGGGGTATATGTATCACATTTTCTTTATCCACTCTATCATTGATGGGCATTTGGGTTTATTCCATGTCTTTGCTAGTAAGCTCAGCCCTTCTGCAACTTGGCGGTGGTGGCAATGCTGTTCCATACTCACTCTGAGATTGTCTTGAAAATCCTCTCACACTTCCTATGACAACTCTCAATCAACCTTCTCCCACAGTTCTAAGTCGGGAGCTCCAATCTCATTTCTGGGCAGAAACACTAAGTTCCAGAGAGGTTAACCAAGCTGCCCGAGGTCATACGGGTTGTTAGAAGGCATTGGCTTCTCTCCTCTCTAGCTAACCTGCTTAGGTAGCTGTTTCTGTTAGGTGGATCACTCATTTACTCTATGAGTACTCACTGAGTACCCTTTCTATGTAAGTCTCCATTTACTCCACGAGTTCTCATTGATTACTCTTCCTTTGTGAGGCACCACCTCTGGGGTGTCTCTTCTTAAAGGCTTTGGGGGTCCTACCTCATGCCCACATCCACTCCCCTCACCAGGCACATTACCCTAACCTTGGTGGTGCTCTGACTACTGGAAAAGTAGTGAGGCCATGTGGGGAAGTCTTTAAGTGGAGAGTTCTGCTACAGGCTTGCTTACCATCTGACACTCCTAACACTGCAGGTGTGCGTCTCTACAGTCACCCAGCCTGTTCTGAGCTGGCCCTGGTAGGGAGTGCACTTCCTGACACACAAGTTTGAGCAGCCAATGAGCAGTGCCCAGGCTGCCCCTGGACCACCCAGGAGGCCCCTTGATTCAAGTCTCGCCATCACAGGCTGAGAAGAGCTGCTATCAGATTTTCAGAATACCATTTCTTTTGTATGCTACAGAGTAAACTTCCTGCAAGATGGAAGAGGGTATAGGGGAAAGTGCACTGCCCAGAAGTAATTAGAGCTCATTTCTGTACCTGATTCTGCCACAAGTTGCTGTGTGAGCCTGATTAAATCAGTTTACTTCCACACCCCAAGCCTTCTCATTTGTGATTCAAGCTGTTTGTCTTAAATGGTCTTAAGGTTCCTTATGATGCAAATCGTTTGTGGGCATAGAATTAGCTTCCCCCTCTCTTGGGCTTTTCTTCATGCCCCAGCACTAAATACTTAAGGGACTGATATAAATGGAATCTGTACTTTAATAGCACTGCCTTTGTTCCTTTAATTGTGTCCTGCAGTGATTTAGGATAGCATGTGGTCAAGACCTTTGTGCCAACATAAAGCCTGCAAGCCAAGCAAGGTTGTTACCTTGACCCATTTACTACCTGACCTACACGTTACCATGGATGAACTCGTCATGCCTCCATGTAATCATCTCCCTCACCTCTTTTAGTTGAAGTTCCCCAGAGCTGCATGTTGGACTCTCTTCTCTTCCCTTTCTGCATTCCTCTTCTGGTGATCACATGCAGCTTTGCAGCTTTACATGTCATTGATATGCCAGCCACATACACACACACACACACGCACACACACACACACACACTCCAATCTCATTACAAATCCAACTGCCTACTCAACATGCCCCATAGCCATTTCAAGTTCAACACATCCAAAGGAAACTCCTGATCCCTCCCTAAAGCCCTGTTCCACCAATAGAACTCCATTGCGATTGGTGTCAACTTTATCCTTCCAATTGTACGGATCAAAGAATTTGGAGTCCTCCGTGAATCCACTCTCTCTCACCTGATTCTGCCATCCCGGTGGCCCTGCCTTCAGCTACAGCCATAATCTTCCACTATCATTTCCTCTGCAATCTCCCTGTTCCAAGCTACCTTCATCTGCTTGGACTGGGGCAGTATCTTCCTAACTGGTCTCTGCCTCTAAGCTTTAGCAACCAGAATGTTCTTTTAAACAAAGCGAGTCCTGCTACTCCTCTGCTAAAAATCTGAATGAGCTCCTCATCTAACTCAGAATAAAAGCCGAACTTCTTACACAGGACCGCGTGGCTAACTGGGTACCCCAATAAGCTCCCTTATCCTTTAAAAACCTCTCTGCCCACATCTACTACTCTCTTCCCACTTGCTTACTCTGCTTGAGCCTCACTTGCCTCTTGACTGTTGCTTGAATAAGCCAGGCAGATTCACTCATGCCCTGAGGTCTTGCACCAGCCAGTCCTTCTGCCTGGAATGCCCTTTCCAAACTCCTTTACCCCTTTCACATCTCTGCCCAAGTGTGGCCTCCTTCAGTGAGGTCTGGCCAGACTGGCCTGTTTGTAATTGCGACTCTCTTCCCCATAATCCCATTCTCCATAGCCTGATGTACTTTTTTTTTTTGCTTTTTTCCATATTTCTTCAGTTGTTCTAACATACTATAAAATTTATCTACATGCTATGTTTGTTGTGTATTATAAGATTTTCTCCACTAGTATGTAAGCTTCCTAAGGGCAGAACTCTTAGTCTGTTTTATTTGCTGTTGCACCCCAAAGTCCTAGAACAGTGCTTGACCCATGCCAGGTAGTTACTCTTCATTTGTTGAATGAATGAGTTAAAGAGCAATGGCCATGTCTGAAAAGATAGGGACAAAAGAATCTCTTTTTCCTACTCTCACAGAGTCACTCAACACACTTTTGACACCAGATGTTGTGGGGTTGGGGGTTCCTCGCACACTAAGCAATTTTCTGATGAACACCAGCTGGGTGTTCCAAGAGCATCAGATCCTGCAGGTTAAGAGCTTGGTTCCATAAGACTACTCCACTTCAGAGGCCATTAGAAAGCTCCAGGTTGTGATCTGTGTTTCTGACCAACCAGCAACAAATCAGGATTTGTCCCAAACCTACTTACCTGTGTTTGATTAGCGTTCTAGATTCCCACACCTACCACCCAGTCTTTGATTGATTTACTAGAGCGGCTCACAAAACTCAGGGAAACACTTTGCTTACATTTTACCCACTTGTTATAAAACACGTTACAAAGGCTACAGATGAACAGCCAGATGGAAGGAATGAATGGAGTAAGGTATGGGGAAGAGGTACAGCCTCGGCACCATCCTCCAGGCATCTCCATGTCTTCAACAATCCAGAAGCTCTCTGAATCCTGTCCTTTGGCTTTTTAATGGAAGCTTTCTTACATAGGCATGACTGATTACATTATTAGCCACTGGTGATTAGCTCAACCTTCAGTCCCTCTCCCCTATTCCCAAATCTCAGGGGAACAACTGGAAGTCCCAACCTTCCAATCACATGTTTGGTTCCCCTGGCAACAAGATCACATCATGAGTCCATCCAGGAGCCTACCAAAGAGTTGCCTCATTGGGACAAAAAGGTGTTCCTATCCTCCAGGATATTCTGAGGTATTTAGGATCTCTGTCAGACTAGCCTATCACTCAGGAAATTAGGAAGGTCTTAGGAGTTCCATGTCAGAAACCAGAGCCAAAGACCAAATATCAGAACAGAAGATTCTCCTAGGATCCCTATCTACAAGGATATTAGCAGCTTTGTCCCAGGAACCAGGGCAGAGACCAATATATATTTCTTATTATATCACAATATCACACCATGTAAACCCATTTTCAAGAAGTCAATGAGCAACTAAATATGCCTTTATCCTGAAATTTGAGCACACTCTACAATTAAAACAAACCTTTCAAGGCATAAAGCTGAATTTCTTCTTATTGGACCTGCTGTCTGGAATTTATAAACCTAGAGGTAGCAATTCTCCCTGGGAGTAAACACAACAGAAGAATATGAAGAGAGATGCACCATGCCTCTGATAATGTGAGAAGCCCCAAACATTTAAAAAAAAAATGGTTTCTCACACCTTTGACTCTATTTATAACATGGACATTGAGAAATGTGTGGGGTTATTAAAAGTTCAGATTTCACCAGCCCCATTCGTAATTTTTCTGACATTTAAATGACACAAACCAAATCTTCAGCACGACAAGAGTGTTACTGCTTAGATCACAGAGCACTGCCACTTTTCTCAACACTGCAATTTGGAGGTTGGCTTGGATTACTCCTTTCTTCCACTGCTTTACCCCCTGTCTCCTGTTTCCCAGCCAATCCCCAAACATCAGTGCATGTGGTTAATGCAATTCTCATCCTTTAAAAACCCAACTCAAATGTCATCTCATCTGGGAAGCCTCCTTCATGAAACCTGGCAGAGCTAGTTTCTTCCTTCCTTGCGCTTCCATAGGATTGTTTATGCAAAAGACTGCAGAGGCAGTACATTGTGTTTTGTTAACGTGTTTACAGAATTGTGTCTCCCTGAGTGAAGCACTCAAGGAGAGTGGCCTTGTCTTAGACATCTCGCCATCCTGAGCCTCTAGTGCCTGGTAGAAAGTGAGTGCATAACTGATACCTGTTGCATAATGACCTTGTAGAATTAGTTGTTGCCTATGGAGCTTTGCAAGGAAGTAGCTTTTATCTAAACTAAATTTGGCATTTATAATGGTTCATGAAAAGATCTTAATTCATGAGCTGCATTACAGAGATTAAGAGTTTAGCATCTAAAATTGTTGTTGTCAGGAACACAGCAGCAAAGAAATCGAGCCAGCAAGGTCAGTTGAATACAGGAAAAAAATCATGATTCAGTATCCCAAAGGGTCAGTCCCTACACACCAAGCCCCTCTAGGGCTGTGGAGAAGTCTGCCACAGAGAATTGGAGAGCAAATTATGCAAGATAAAGAGACACTTCAAGGCTGGTCACGAAACGAAAACAAAGACACCCCAAAACTGTGGCAATGGTTCACATCGCCTGGCATCTGCAAGACCTTGGAGCTACAGCATTGTCAGTGTTTGCAGTAGGGATCATGAGAGGCTTTGATGCAATGAGGAACCAGTACAGGGGATACTGGTCACATAACCTTCACACATGCCTTCTGCAGTGATTGTGTGCAAGGGAGGCGAGTTGGCTGCTCCCTAGTTTTGGAGCTTTGGAGACACTGACCTCTGGAATGTGGGCTTGATTCTTTAGCTCCTAAGTCTCTCCCAAAAGGGACTGAAGAGAGAGGGAAAAACCAAACACTCTTATTTCCTGTTTGCCAGCTCCATGTCAGCTTCCCATGTGTGCTCCCTTCCTCCTCGTCTGGAGTGCTTGGCATCTGCCGTTACTTAAATCATTGCAGGGAGATACAGGGTACTCTGAATGTCCTGCCAACGACCCCTTTAGGTTAGAAGTAACCTAAAGACTAAAGTCAAGAGTCCTTTTTTAAATATTTAGGACAATTCTCACTTTTTTATGGTAGGAGACTCCTTTCTTTTCAAATTGGCTCAGTACTCTTAATTGATCTCAAAACTCTATTGCCATAACTGTACGTAGGTCTGCACTGTTATTTATAACCCACTGATTTTAAATACTGCCTTTTAGTTTAGCTTTATGTTTTTGTCTATAGGAAATTTGTCTGAGCTGTCACTCTCACTCCTGTGTACCCTCAAGATAGTAGACTAAAATATTGAAGTCTACCCTAAGAAAGTTGCTGGAACCATTTGCCTGGTAAAAATCACATGCTCATTGAGAGAGTCAGTCCAGCTAAATTAATAATGCAGCTATGGTGCAAGCCTTCTCATATCTAATTTATTCCAGATATACCACTCTAGAACAACCCTACTATTATACCCAATAGTGTTACTATCAAATATGTTCATCTTATTAGCCATCCCTAAAAAGTATTCATTAAAGAGCATCTGGAAAAGAAGAAAAATTTGATGACTTGATTCACAGGTTCTGGATAAACTGAATTTCCAGGAAAACAGATAAGCTGAGAACCAGAAGCTCCTCACAGACTTGAACCAGAGCAGGTCAGAGGTGCAGTCCTGTAATACAAGAAGAGAAGGCCATCTTCCACCAGCTGGGAGGAAGGCAACTCTCTTCAGCTAGAGGGGTTGCTAGGATACTGCACTGACCATTTAAAATCACAGAGCAGTGGTTCTCAACCAGAAATGATTTTGCTCCCCAGGGGGCATTTGGCTGTGTCTAGAGACATCTTGGGCTGTCACAGCTCAAAAGGTGCCACTGGCATCTGGTGGCTGGAGGCCAGGGATGTTGCTAAACATCATACAATGCACAGGAAATTCACATAACAAAGAACTATTGTGCCTAAAACGTCAAGAGTGCCGGGGTTGAAAAGCCATGCCATAGGGATAATAGAAAAATCAAGTTCGAGAAGCTAATACAAAACCATAACAATCAAGAACAGGAACAGTACTGAAGGGTGGACCAGCTTTATGAGCCAAACAGTGACTACGCCCCAGATAACCAACCAGGAATATGAGAAATACACAGAAGATGGATTGTAATGGGCTTGGGGTGCATCAAGAGGGAAAGGAAGTACCTTTACCACCAGTCCAGAAAAGCCCGAAACTCAAGTTAGAAATTTGGGGAAACATGTCAAAAAATGTTTAATTTCCTCAAGGGTCAAGGCAGGGTCTCCAAGGGCTGGGGCTCCTGGATTCTGCCAAGAAGAGGAAAAAAAAAAAAAAAGTTTCTACTGATCTTAAAGATTTCCCAGTCCTCACAGCGCCATGAGTGAGTCCTAGTTCAACTTCGCAGAGTGAGCAGTTGAGCAAATAACAGACCAGAAACTGATAAATGGAGTCTGGCGCTGGCTCCCATGCCTGCTCAACACAACGCCAGCCTCATCCTCCAACAACCAGAAGTAAGGACAGGTCTACGTGTGCAGGGCGCTTATCGGGAGAAACAACTGGGAGAGAAGCTGGGCAGGAGCCATGAGATCTGGGAGAGCTTGGGGACTGCGACCCCCGCAGAGGGAGAGCAAGGCTGGCAGCTGGTGGGTGGAGGCAGACAGCACAGTGCAGCTCTGGGGAAGGCTCTGAGGTACCTGGAGAGGCTTCGTGTCAGTCTCCATCAGAGGAGACGCATCTCCCACCAGCAGACCTGACTTGATATCTCCACTGCGTTCTGTTATGGCCAGATAGTGGCTGAGAGAACGCGACCTTGGAGCCGTCACAGCCAGGGGCTTCGGAGAGCCACATCCGAGGCTTCTAGTCAGTCACACTTCCCATAGCCAAAGATCTGGGGGGACACACTCACACCACCGCCGCCGGGGCTGGGGCTGGACTCCAGTCACTTCAGGACAAAAACTATGCTAAGGAGAGGCATCCACTCCCAGTTTTTCCGAGTTTTGCTCTTTTCTGTGTATCTCCATGAATGAGTTTTAATAATACCTCTTTTGAAAAATTCCAACTCTACCTTAGCTGAATTTCTCCTCAGGGGCAAGGGTGCTTTCCAGCCTAAACCAGGAAAGCTAAGGCCTCAGTGTCCCCAGGGTAGATGGTCCCTGGTGCAGAGCCGGTGCAGAGCCGGGACAGAGCGGGAGAAGGCGGAGAACCCTGGAGATGGAGAGTTACGAGCCACGGGGATGGATGGTCCCTGTCCTTGGCCTTTTCTTCTCGCAAAGACTGTTTGCATTGATTTCCCTTCAGTGGTCTTTTTTATTTTTTATATAAACAACAGAATATTCTGGATGCAGGTCTGTATTCACTGATGTGTTACTCATTTTTACCACAAAGGTAGCATTGTTGAAGAACACTACAGCTGCCACAAGATGGGGTCTTCCGTAGCAACGGCATTGTACCCACATCCAGAGTGAGCTGTGGCCAAGGACACATCCCCACGCGAAGTCCCAGAGGGAGGCAGTCAGAGCCAAGCCATTAGACGCATCTTGCCAAGAATGATTTGACATTTCTGTCTGGACTCCATTCCCAGTCACGTGGCACGACTCTCTGCAATGGTCTCCAAAGAGGTGCTTGTCCTCAAGGGTCCTCTGAGTGATACACGGATGTGAAAGGAAGGAATATCAGAATTCCTACTTTTATCTATTTTTATCTTACTCTTTTTATCATTATATATAAGAAAAAATATGTGTAGTGATTATATATTTCTATACATGTGTAGTAGTAACCTATATACATCATTTATACATGCATAAATATATATTGCATGTGCATGCCTAAAATGGTTTTTGTAAAAACCACAGGAGCTCATAAACAAGAATTTGGGAGCCCACTGATAGTACAGCGGGTCTTAATTTTTTAATAGTGGAAAGTGATCGTGTACTGCTAGTGTAATAAAAGCGGAATTCCTCTGGTTGATAAAGGGCAACAGGGAGTCAGGGAGTGGGGGCAACTCCCCCATACTTACCGCTAGGGCGGTGGGGGTTTGGACTGTACAGACAGAAACCCAGGCATCAGGACAAGGAGCTGTGGGAAGCTATCTGAGAGGCATCATCTCAGGGGACAGAAAACTAATTGGAGCCAGGCTGACTCCTGGGCAAAGCCATCGGTGCCAGGGTCCAAGCAGCAGTGAGCAGCGCCAGGCCACAGAGCTGAATGGAGGGACACATCTCAGCAAGAACAAGGTGTTTCTGAAGAAGGGAGGTGAGAACTGGAGGAGTTTTCTGAGCCAGAGTGAGTGAATGAGTAACCACAGCCGCTCTTTCAGGGGGTACTCGTGACCACTGTGTGTGCAGAGTGGGAACAGTCAAGGCTGTGCACCTTGCTGAGCACCAGGCACAGAATGGGCAAGGAGGATGACTGGGGTCCTAAATTTCTCCATTTCTGACACCCAGGAAGCAGTCTCTTTCTCTAGCACTGCCAGTTCCGAGGAGGAGTCCCATGGCACTTCTGCCTCTCATATTACAGAGAGACAGCCTCCAAAAGACCCCTCATAAGCAAAAAAAGGTTCACGAGAGGAGTGTGGTGTGCATATGTATGTGTGGTGTGTGTGGAGAAGAGTGTGCATGTGTCACGTGTATGGGTGGTGTGTGTGGATATAGGCAAGGTATGTATGTGTGTAATGTGTATGGAAGCGTGTATAAGTGTGTGGGGGGGTGTGTTTGTGCTCATATGGGTGGGTGGTGTGCAGGCATGGTGTGTGGATATAAGCAAAGTATGTATGTGTGTAATGTGTATGGAAGCGTGTATAAGTGTGTGTGTGTGGGTGTGTTTGTGCTCATATGGGTGGGTGGTGTGCAGGCATGGTGTGTGTAAATAAGTGTGTGTGTGCATAGGGATGTGCATGGATGGGTTTGTGTGTAAGTGTGGGCAGGTATGGGTATTTGTGTGTATAAGTGTGTGCATGGATGTTTGTGTATAAGTGTGTGCGGGTGTGGGTGTGTATGCAAGTGTGTGTGAGTGTGTGCATATAAATTTGCATGCACAAGTGTGTGTGTGCCTATGGCTGGGCAGTGTGCAGGTGCTGGTGTGTGTGGGGCTGTGGCGTGGGCAGTGGCAGGTGCTGGTGTGTGTGGGGCTGTGGCGTGGGCAGTGGCAGGTGCTGGTGTGTGTGGGGCTGTGGCGTGGGCAGTGGCAGGTGCTGGTGTGTGTGGGGCTGTGGCGTGGACAGTGGCAGGTCCTGGTGTGTTGGGGGCTGGGCTGTGAACAGTGGCAGGTCCTGGTGTGTTGGGGGCTGGGCTGTGAACAGTGGCAGGTTGGAAGATCTGTGGCAGCCACTGTCCATGCAGAGATGCCCTGTGCCCGCCCCCTAGGGTTCTGCCATGTCTGATTGCTGCAACTTGCCCTCTGGTATGTCAGGCCAGGAGCAGCCCACAGAGGTGCTTGCCCTGTGGGTGACAGTCCCTGAAAGCCTCTCTCCTCCTCTTCAACACGGGAGGTCCTCGGCCCTGCACAGGAACATCCTGAGGGCTCAGGATTCCTTCTCCCTGGTGCACTGTGAGCTCCCGTTGCGGGGTGGCTGACTCATCTTCTGCCTCCGTCTCTGTCCCAGCAGAACCTTGTGCTGGGTGGTCTGGGCTTCACCTTTGCCCTTCCTTGTCTCTGGCTTCCAGATATTCCTAGTCCCACTTTCTTCCTAACTTTCTGCCTAGTTCTAACCTTGGCTTTCTGGCTTCCCTCTGCCACCTACCACCAAATGTTCAATGCAATACAAAAGAGGAGACTTCAGGAAATTCTGAAAGCATAATTAACATATTTTTATGCATTAATTTATTTGTGAAAAATAAAGTCCAGCCATAGACCTAAATGTGAGATCTGTTGATGGTGAAGCAAGTCCTACAGCATCTGGGAGAGACACAACAGAAGGACGAGGGAAACTTTACTGAAAAATCTGTCACAGTCACTCTGTTCCCAGATGTCACCACCAAAATATAGCTAAAAAATAATCATGAACAGTTGAAAATAAAGGAGAATCAAGATTATAAGATGCTTTTACCAGGGGAAAAAAAGCTATAATGCATCTTCCTTGATTTCTCCCATCTCCCCTATCTTCCTGAACTCTCTTGTGTTTCTGCTCTTCAGCCACAGCATAAAATATGACCTTGATAACAAACAAACCTCTTGCCCTCCCAGGCACACATGCTGCAATGGTGCTTCTGGAATACTGACTGAGTAAAAGTGTCAATGGCTTCTCCCGCACCTCTAATCTACAGGCACGTGTGCCTGCCAGACAAACCTGACTTCAACCAGCCAAGCTTAGCTGTGTCTAATTGCCTTCTAAAGTAGCATCCACTGTTTCTATGAAATTTGACCACATCAACATAGCTTCTGCTGCATGTGAGACAGACCTGGGGCTGGGTGCTGAGCAGCTCACAACCAAAGCTAGACGGTGCCACCTTACGTCTCTGAGAGTCTGCCCATACAAAGTGAGGCTCAGAGACCTTTATGAATATTAAGACATAATGAAGAATGAATTTTCTAGTCCCAAAGGAGGGTTAGAGCAGCTCTCCACCCCACCCCAGGCAAGACAAAGACTCAATGTGTGGGTAAGTTACAAAGAGCTCCCCTGTCCTCCAGAGACCCAGTTTATGCTGAAGTCCTGCGGACTTTTGCTGCCCAGAAGACAGCCTGGTAACACAGACAGAAGGACTCTTCCCAAGTGCAGTGTGCGTGGGAGGTTCCTGGTCTCAAGGGCCATTTTCAGAACTACAGGCCACCTCACTATCCCTGCTCAAGCTGGGTCTTTTTCTGAGGCTCCCAAGAAGCTGAGCCTGCTGGATTAGGGCAGAGTACAAGATGGGTATATGACTGATTCCAGAAAGGCAGCCCCTTTCTCCCACGCAAGCAGAAAAACAATGGTGCTAAATCAGTGGTGCTCATTCTGGACTTAGCCCAGCATGGGTGCAAGGCTTTGTGGGGACACGAGATGATGTTGTAGTTTCCCCTTGGGCCTGGGCAAAGACGAATCTAACCTCTAGGGATGCATTCATCAGCCCATGTGTAGAGAAATCAGTCAGGCCCCTTTCTAAAACATGTTCAGTAGTGTCAAAGAGGACCCCTCTTTCCACAAAAGAATATTCTGCAGCCAAACACCATTCCCGGAAGTTCTACTTTTAGTAGTGACTGCAACTGTAAGAGGCAGGCATTATCAGCCAGGCCTGGTCTTCACGGAGCCAGAGAGCACTTTTAGCTTCACTTGAGGCTCCGTGTTGGAGCTCTTTCTGAACCCGTTTCAGGTCTCTCATCACAACCCAAATGGCAAAGTCCACGTTCTCTGGCAGGGCTCAGCTGGGGAAAGATAAGCCACTTCCCAGTGTTCTCCATGGGAAAAAAGAGGCAAACCAAACATTGACTCATGCCTGGGAAGTGAATGCAGGAGTTCCCTGGATAGGCCTCCTGCTCCAAAACAAGAGTCACAGACTCTTTGGCATGCACTCCACTGCTAGTTATCATCACAAGCCGTCCTAGCCAGAGAGAGAGGAAGTCACAGAAAATGGAGAGAGAAATGCCCAGACAAGGGTCGCCTTCCGAAGCAAGGCAAGGAGACCTGGCAACCTGGAACTGCACAGCACTTCGGAAGGGGTGTGTCCATCGGGCTCCTCTCCTGACCTTTGGGTCCACTTGCGAATTAGGCAAAACAGTTCTTTTGGATTTTACAGAGAGAATTACAGGTATTCAATACATTAAACTGCTTGCCCAAGATCACTTGGCTCATAAGCTGTGAGGCAAAGTCAGAGGCAAAGTCAGGGGCCACATCCTGGGTCAGGAAGTCAGTGCTTCCTTCCACACGGTGAAGGCAGGATAGCTAATTGTTTGCTTTAAAAATAAGTAATTTCAGTGAAAGAAGAAAAGAAACAGTCATCTGGGCCATAAGAAAGAAGTGACCCAATCTTCATGGACATTGTGGGCTAAACTGATGGCAGTTATAAGGTAGTATCCATTGACTCTCAAGAATTCGCACCAAACAAAAGGAGGGTGGGGCCCACCAGAAAAACATGCAAAATCCTGATAGTGGTTTTCATGATTCCTTCCCATCTGGGCTTCACCCAAAGAGGCATCCATCCCAGTGCCAAGTAAGACTGGGCACTCTCTCCTCCATGGGATAAAGCCAGGGGACTCCCAAGGAAACTGCAGCTTCTCTTGGAGCCTGTAAGCTGATGGGCTATTTCCATCTGCCACATTCTCTCTTCCAACATCCTCCTCTCTTTGAGGGGTATGGGAAATCCCTTGGCACTGGGATGTTCAGGAGAACCAGGTTAGCTTATTCGGAGAAGCCAAAGGCTTCTGTAGGCCTTTCTTCCTAGAATGGAAATTCTCATAGGGGCTTGGCCTCCCCACTGTCCTGTTTCGGCCTGCTACCATCTGACCATATCTGGCATGGTTTTGAGTCTGAACTCTGGCTTCCTGTTCTACATTTGTCTACAGCTCTTTTGGACCTATTGTTTTGATTGCACCCATGTCTATGTTGTCAACTGTGAAGGCAGTGTGGTGGTATTAGGAGTGGGGAGGTAAGAAGACCTAGTGCATTTGGCTCTTTCCCTTAGTAGCACACAAAATAGTCATGCCGTACATGTATGTGATTTGTACACTCTAAGCCACCATTTAACATGAATCATTAATGTAGAGACTGTGGGATTCTCAGTATAGATTTTCTCTTGGCTTAGTGCAGAGCCAAGCCCAAACAGATATTTAAAAATAGATGTTTTGATAGTGTAGTGATGATAAAATCAGGTACCTGTCATGGTGCGTAGACCAAACAAGTCAAGTTGACACGTATCTGGCATTTGGTATTGTACTACCCTGAACATATTCTTCTGCATATCAAGGAGCAAAGTATTTCTGGAAGTCTCCCAGATCATTACAAAGGTCATTCGAAGTATGCAAATGCCACTGAAGGAGACAGGGCTTCTGTTTGTTTGTTTTTGACCTAGATTCTGATCTTTGGGTAAGAGGGAGCTTGGAGCTACCTTGTTCCACAATGTTCTTTGTACACTAAGGTGAGAGAGCTTCAAGGGAACACAGTAATGGTCAAGGTTATAGGTCCGTTTTCCAGCAGCGTAACAGATTGGGAGGCAAAGTTCAGTCCAGCCCTTCACTATGATTTGATATGACACGCGACAGGTGACGAGAAGAGCTGTATTCAAGAGGGGGCTCAGTCACTATCTGACTATGTGACTTCAGGTAAGACACTCAGATGCCCTTTGCCCGAGTGCTTCATCTATAAAATGAAAGCACTCAACTAGACAATTTCCAAGGTCCCTTTTGATTCCAAGGACCTTTCACTTTTTAAATAAATTACTGCAATTTAAAAAATGTTTGTAGGGAGCCAGCCATAGATGCCACTCTCTGCTCAGAGGGGTCTAGGCGGTGGGCCATGTGGAGGTCATACATGCTTTGCATCGTGATAATATTTGTGAACTAGTTGCATCTTGGTGGCCACAAGCTACTATGGCGTCCAATTAGCGCTTTTCTAAAATGCCTGATTTCTTCCAGGAGGAAACAACCACAGACAGAATCCAGAAGACAAAACACAACTAGGGCTTTTTGTAATATTTTTGAAGGGTAGAGAAACCGAGTTATTCAATTTTAAGCCCTACATTAGACCCAGAGAGGGCACCAGTTAAGAGATTGAGATTATTAGACCGCCAAGAAGTATGGGATTTCTAAAAACAACCTATTCCTTGTTCCAGGACAAGATCACACCTAAACTGAAAGAGATAGCATACAAGCAGGAACCTGAGGACGGACGCTCTTCTCAGCACTCTCCCAGGAGTGTTGGTGCTGACAGTGGGGAGACTTAGATTTCAGTTCTGCAGATTCTGACTCCCACCTACAACTTTCCTTTAAAAGTTCCCAAGTGCATTCGTGTCTCCATTCCAACCAATATTTCCTAAGTTCCAAGGCACAGCCATCTCCTGCCTGAACTACTACAGTAGTCTTCCGACTAGTCTATCCCTTCCTGGTTTGTTCTCTCCCAATCTATTCTGCCAACTGCAACAAGAACAAGAATAAAAAATGTAAATCATGAATCACATCAACAGAGTTCCATTATTTCTAGGATAAAGACCAAAATGATTCACATGACCTTCAAGGGCTGTCTTCATCTTCTGACCCCTTACCAGGCTGCCAGCCTCATCTTGGCCCATGCTTTCTTCCTCTACACTCCAGTCAGGTGGGAGAATGTGCTCTGATTCTTCATGCTATGGGACTTTGCCCGTCCTGTTCATTCTGCCTCTTCCTTTGGTCTTTGCTCTTGGGTGTGGATAATTTCTACTCCTCCTCCTTCAAATCTCTGTTCAATTGTCACTTTCATAACCAAGGCTTCACCAGCCTCCCTGGCAAGATCAAGCTCTCCTGACAGACAATCACAGCACCACACACCTCCCCTTCCATAGTTTCATGTCGGTCATGATTTCACAACTGTCTGGGTGTTTGTTTGACGCATGTCTGTCTCTCCCTCTGGACTGTAAGCTTCATGAGAGCAGGAACCATAACAATTTCTGTTCAGGCATACATTCCCAATGCCTAGCATAGTATTTGTCACATAGTAATCACTCAATAAATCACATGTTGAATAAATAAATGTGCTTGGTACTGTAGAGTATTCAGAGATGAATAAGTCAGGATGTCCGCCATTCAGAATCCCACAGCCATACAACAGCAAGACCGTGAAATAGGCCAGACTGCGATAAGTGAGTAGGTGCAAGAAGTGATACAGCACCCTTTTTTATATCCTGTGATTTGCTAAGCTGCTTTTTACCTTTTCCATATGAACATCAACCCGTTTAAGCATTGATTGACCATTCATGACCTTCTGCTATGCAATTGCATTTTTGTATCTCTAACCCAACATTGCACTTCCTATGAACAACAGAATTCTCCTTTTGATTGGTACAGTTTTTGCTTGTTAGCACCATGGGCCTGACTCTAAATTTCAAATAACTGGGGCCATTTCAGCAGACACCCTGATTAAACGTGCTGAGTAATTTTAGTTTGTATTAAACCAATAGCCCACATTAGGGCCCACATCTGTGTTTACGGAACGACTCACACTCTCAGGCGTGTCTGTCGCAGTGTGCGATGTGAGATCCAAAAGTGTGCTGCTCCAGCTCTGTGCTGCTGCATGTGTGTTTGGTCGGTAGCTCAGAGCTGGTGTTTATTGACAAGCAAGAACACTGGAATGAGTAATCATTATAAGCATTCCCTGCACATTCCCGTCTCTCAGAAGCAAGGCACATCCCCAAGCTTCTTGCCCTCATTCTGCAGGGGACAAGCTGCTGGGCAGGCCAAACTGGGGGCCTCAATGCCTTTGAGGACTCAGTGGGATGGAACAGAATGATTGCCTAAAGTAAGTGAGCACTCAGTGTTTATTTATTCATTCATTCATTCTCTCATTCATTTGTTCAACAAATACTGTTTGAGCACTTGCTCTCTCCCACCCGTGCTAGGCACTGAGAACATATTGGAGAACAAAACAGGTGTGGTCTCTGCCTGTATAAACAATGGTCTAGGGAGGAAAGAGAGACATAAAACCAAGAATTAGTTTGAAATACATGGACTCACAGTTTTAGAAAAGAGAAGTCTGGTTCCGAGGACTTGCACAATAAACAGGGAAGCCTCGCCTACTTTGAAGCATAAAGAATGAGCTCCTGGGAAAGCAGCATTTAAGCTGAGTTCTGAAGGATGGAAAGGATGTGTAGCCAGAAAAAATTATAAGAGGATCAGAATTTTCCAAGCTCAGGTAACCTGACAGGTGAAGCCCTTGAGGAAGGAGGGAACAGGCCTTGTCTACGGAACTGTGATTGTCCAGAGTGACTAAAGTCCAGAGCTGGAAAGGCAGAGAGCTGGAGATGAAGCTAGATGAATGCAGGGCCAGATCATGGCCTTGTGGGTCATTTGAAGTGTTTCGAAGTCTATTCTAAAGTCAACCGGAAGTCTACATAGGGTTTTAGGCAACGCGAAGATCAGATCACAATAGGGTGACATCTACACTGCCTACCTCACAGTCTCTTAGTGAGGAACAAATGAGACCAAAGATAAGTTTTTCCAGGTGATCCATAAGGAATGAGACCACTGTGTTTCTAAAACCGTTAGTAACTCCCAAGTGTGGTAAAACACCATTTGTAAATTCCCCAGGAATAAAGGTTCCAGAATGACCGCTCAGGCCACTTGAGAGACTCTGCCCCTTGAAGTGCCAGATAGCCTGGTTTTCTCCACGTTGGAGTTCACTGTGCAATCTGATTGTCACTTATCGTTTCCCATGCTAAGTGCAAGGAGCCATTCCAATCAACGGCCTGTGTCCCACTGCATCAATTCATCTTGGCCTTTCCGGGGGTCTCTCAGCACAGCATCTCCGCTCATTAACGAGAATGCGCCTGCATCATAATGATAATCCTTTGCACTTACCCAGCACATTGCCCAGGGGGTTCTCAAAGCATTTTGTAAACTTTTAATTAAGTTAGGCTAGTGACTGCAGGATGGTCCCCAGCCTCTCCGAACCAAGAGGTCTGGGGTGGGGGTGGCGACAGGACGTGATGGGAGACAAGCAAAAGCCCTGCCTCTAGCACCTACTTACTGGCTCTGGGGCGCAGAGGCGAGTGGGTGGATGTGCAGGGAATCTCTGCGTTGCTAGGAAGAAGCACTCACACATGTATGGCCGTGTCTGGCACAGGCAGCCTGTGGGCCTCCTGCCATGTGTGCCCACAGGGAGAGCACCAAGGCTGGGGGCTAGAGTTGGGAGTTCTGGAAAGGCAGATATAGAAGGCAAGAGGGAAGACTTGCTTTCCTTAAAGAGCTGTGAATGTGATTTTGAGAGTAGCTAAACTCTGGCTTGGAAATGCATGTGTGCCTTGCGTGTATATGTGTGCAGGAAGGGGCATGCATCTATGGTTGGCAAGGGGGTGGTGAAGAAGAGAGGAGGGAATGTATGTTCACATGCTTAGAGGAAGGCAGTAGCAAGCACATTCATCTTCAAGCTTCTCTCTGGTTTTGGATTTCTTTTGGCTCCCTTCTCAGGGCTACCTTTAATCCTTCCCTGAGCCATACAAATACCACCATCTTGGGGTATCAAGTGAGTGGTGTATAAATCCAGCAAGTGGAACTACATCCATGCCCTACTGTGTTAGAACCATCCCCACCCCTCAGGGAAAATGCAGAGGCAACCAAGGCTTTGCAGATAAGTAGCAAGTTGTAAGTCTGGGTCTCCCACCAACAGCATAAAAGGCAAGAGGGACAAATGTCCTCAGGACCTAGCCCTGCACTGAGGACTGGGATCAGAAGGAGTGGGAGAGCAGAGCCGCCCCAAGGTGAAGCCACCTGCCTGGCCCTCTCTGTCTGGAAAGTGCCAGTCGGTATCAGAGGTGCTAACATCCACTGCTCCTGACAGCCTGGCTTGTCAGCAGCCACAGACCATCTGGGGGCTGACACTTGAGCTCACTGACAGGAATCACAGTTTGCTTCCATATCTCTCTGTCTCCAGCCCCAGGCAGCTGCAGGCAGATGGCAACAGTCCATCTGCAAACAGGGCTGCAGGCTGATGGGGTCCCTGTCCAGCGGACCAGCATCAGAAAAGCCAGTGCCCATAGGCCAAAGGCTATTAGATGGGGCTCCTGGAGTTCCAGCTGTCCAAGGCTGACATACAAGTCCATGTATCTAGCACCCCACCAAATATACCACAAAGCAACGTTTTGAGAGACCAAAGGTGCCATGTCTGTTGCCTTAGTTTTCTACAGCAGAAAAACTAAGACCTAAAAGCTCAAAGTCAGAATGCATATTTTATTGGGGGTCAAAAAGAAGAAAAAGCTTAACAATTTCCTGTTTTACTCGATTAATGATTTTTGAGGCAGGAGAATATCTTAATACATTGTTTAATCAGAACGTATATAAAGTCTTGTTCAATAAATGAAGGAGTAGATTGTCTTTTACTAATTTTCATCACTGTGACAAAGACATACATATATGGTCAGTATGATTCTACCTTATCTTCTCCCATTTTTAACAATATGGAATGTCCTCTCCCCTTCTCCAACATGCGAGTTGCCTTCTCTCTTTACCCTATTCCTAGAGGACCAGGATGAGTTTTTTTATAATAAAAATTTAGAAGTGTTTATTTGTTATCATCTAACCTAGGTGTTCAGCTACTCTGTGCAGTTGGAAACAAGGTTCATACATGGCTGGAACCCATTCTACAGATTGGTAAACTGAGACTTAGAGAATGCCTTGAACCAACCAAATAAGCCTCAAAGAGCCACTAATCAAAGAGATCACTCTCAGCTTTCAGCATACTTAGAGGTTTGGGTGGAGTCCCACTTAAAGGGAAGTGCACTCAGCCCCAGGCAGCCCTGACACAGATTTGAGGCTGTAACCACCAGAGATAGTTCCCAGTAGCTGGCATGGGAGACCCAGGCCCAGAGCTGCTAGACAACAAATGCAGGCAAGTGCCAGCTGTCTAAAGAATCTCCTTCTGTAATTTTCTAGGTTACAGAGATGTGGCCAAGGGTGCTAAGAATTCGAGAAAGCACAAAGGCAGACAGGACCGAGGGAACATGGGAGAACCTCAAGCCCGTCGGGATCTCTGATTAATCTCAGGTTGAGTAGTGCTGCCCAGTTCCAGGCTACTGAAAAAGCCATCTTCATGAGGCAGCTGATGCTATCTCCTTCTCAGCACCTGCTATTGCCACTGGGCCCATGCTGAATGCAGATGACGCAGTCTAACCTTATTAACATGTCGATCATTTTTAAGGGATTGAGGGCCACATGATGGCGTGAATCCATGATGGGCTAAAGGACGATGGGAACTTGCTCATGACCAGATGCTCTGTCCTTGTTCCTATCTCTTTCTTAGTGAGTCTGGCGCGTGGATTCCCCCACTAGACCCCTTGTGCACATCAGGCACTCTTAGCAGGTTCGCCGGCTCTGGGCTGGTGAGAGGCTAAGGAGCAGGAAAGGAATTCATCAAAACTTGGCTGTAGAGCCTGCCCCCAGGCCTTACCCCAAAGCCAAACATCCCAGCCCAGAAACTCAAGATTTGGGGACTTCCCTGAAGGAAGAAGCAGGAAGGTGTGTGCTAGAGAAGGAAGAATCCTAAACCTCGGGGGATTTTCTATCCAAGCCCAGGGTTTTCTGACCCTAAACGGGCAAAGCCTGTTTAAGGTGCAAGAGATGAAGTTGTACCCAGAACCTGGACTCACAGATCAGCGCATGAAGACACAGCTCAATCCAGGTTGGGTAAATGGGGACCCCTCCCAGCTAACTCCCCTGCTTAGAGTCACAAGACGAAGGAGATACAAACAGGATGGGCCAAGAAGAAGGGGACAAACAGGAAGTCATGGTCTGAATTTGAGCAAAGAAGTCTTCCAAGTTAGCAATCCTTGCATCATGGTGCTGGCCCCTGGAAGGACTTGGGCAGCACTGTGCCTCAGGAACTGAGCCTTGGCTGCTGGCAATGACAACATCTTCTTGCCCTTACTCCACCCTGCCCCATGGCCACAGAGCCATTTCTCAAAGCTGGAGGAGAAAAGACAAGAAGAAGACAGGTTTTGACTCAAATACTCAAATACTCAAATACTGTAGGCCATGGTCACAGGTTTTAAGTGACAGACAGAGTGGTTTGCAGGTAATCAGAAGGACCTGGGATGCTAGTTCAAAATGCTTCCGTCTGAGACGAGGACAGGGACTCCACATTTTAACCTGCCTCTCTCCTCCTAGGTGATTCTGATGCACATATCTAGCAGTATTCGCTTCCTGCTTCCTACAGAGCCCCCAGACCCAAGGTCAAGAAGGCCACCAGCCCAGACTATCTCTCTCCTCCTACTAGAACAACAAAATTACCCCAACCAGGGGTGTCCAGAGCCTCGGACTGTGCCTCTAGCATGACAAGTCAGTTGGCCACGGGCCCTCTGCCCTGTCTTGGGTGTGGGCTCATCTCAGTCTCCACGTGGTGACTGTCTTTTCCATCCCAGAAATTCTGCCTAGAAAAGCTATTTGTGATATCAGTGGAAGGTACCAGGCGACAACAGCATTAACCTTAAAATTACTCTGGGATGGATACATGTTTTACCAAGAAATAGAAGCTGCAGAATAAAATGGCATTGAGGCCTAACCAGGTCAAGGTTCCATTATTACATCAGCCTTTGGTTTTTAGACGCAGTGAAAGTAAGTGGCTAACGAGCTGGTATTAATCCCTGTGGGAGAAAAAGCATCATCATTTGAAACAAAGAAAAAAAAGTCTAAAGCTATAACAGGAAGTAAAAGAAAAGAGAAAGGAGAAGTCGCAAGTAAGCCATGGCAGCTCATCAGAACTTCCGGATCCAGCCAGGTTTCCCACAGGAACCCCTCAAGATGCGAAGCGTTCTTTCACCGACACCTTCTAAGGCTAACTTTTTCTCCTCCCCGTTCTTGTTCTTACCGGGCTCCTGACACAATTAGCATAAGAGTAGCCCTCAAAGCAGGTAACAGACTCTTCAGAAAGAGGGCATGTTGCAGTGATGTCCACACCCTGCTCTCCCCCAGAAGATGGGGGCAGGGGGGTGGGGGGGATAGCTTGTCATTGTCGTTCATCCACCATGCTCAGGACGGTCAGGCAGGGGTGCAGGTTCATCCTCCTTTCCCTCAGCCGGCTTTAGTTTCGGGTACTTCTCCTGCAAGCAAGTTCTGCCTGCTCCCCACCAGTGCAGTGCCACGGGACCCCTAGAAGGAGGTCTCACCCTGGCTCCTGGCTCCTTCAGGGCGCGCTGCAATGCAGCTTCTGCAGACTGGGGCTCACCCCCCGCCTTGCTTTCTAAAGTGTAATGTTATGATTTCTGCCATAAGGGGCGCATCCATACAGCCAGGATTCCCTTGGGATGGGGGTCCTGATCTTTGCTCCAGCACAGTGAGAGGAGGGGAAGCGGGTATGAGGAGGCCCCCCGGAGCTGCCATCCAGCTGGGGACTTGCCTACGCAGGAAAGTTTGTCTTCTCCTGCCACGGACCCAGTGCACCCACCTAGCTCCCTCTACCAGGCTCAGGCAGGTACTGAGTGTTCCGTTGGCTCTGCCTTCCCTGCTGAGCACAGCCCCCAGGCTGGACCCCCTAGGATGCTGCTGGAATCTGGAATAACAACAACAGCAACCC